>NC_000012.12:98672249-98975279 GCF_000001405.40 Homo sapiens | reverse complement strand
AAGGGAGGGAGGGAGGAATGAAGGAAAGAAAGAAGGAAGGAAGGAAGGAGATGGGAGGGAGGAAGGAAAGAAGGAAGAAAGAGGAAGGAAGAGGAAAGGGAGGAAGGTGGGAGGGAGGGAAGGAAGAGAGGGAGGAAAGAAGAAGAGAGGAAGGAAAGAGGAAACAGAAGAAAGTAGGAGGGAGGGAAGTAGGGAAGGAGGGAGAGAGGGAGGAAGAAGGAGGGAAGGAAAGGAAGGAAGGAAAAGGAAGGAAGGGAGGGGAGGGAGGGAGGAAGGAAGCAAGGAAGAAGGGTAGGAGAGAGGGAGGAAGAAAGGAAAGAAGGAAGAAATGAAGGAAGGAAAGAAGGAGGAAAGGGAAGAAGAAAGAAGGGAGGGAGGTAGGAAAGGAAGGGAGGGATGGAGATAGGGAAGGAAGGAAAAGAGGGAGGGAAAGCTGGAAGAAAGGAAGGAAGGTAGGCAAGGAGACAAGAAGGCAAGAAGGCAGGCAGAAAGAAAAATTATTATCCTTGCTCAGGATGACTACTGGCTCATACTCCTTGGCTTCCTGAGTTAACTCCATCTAAGATTTGTCTACGAGGCCTACCTGGACTCATCTCATGCAGCCCTCTTGGATTCTTAAGTGTCAAGTCTTGTGAATTTACTCCATGGGTTGTTTGCCATCCCCCAATCTCTGTAGAAGCACTACTTCATGATTCTCTTTTTAAAAAGTTTACCTTTTTATACTGTTTATACTATTTCTCCTTCAATTCAACCATTCCAGAAGTTTCTACACTAGGTTGGGCTTGGGAGGAAAGATAAGAATAAAAATATCTAAATACCTATTGAGTATTCATTATGGGGCAAGCACTGATTTCAGCATTTTGCAAATATTAACTCATTTAATTGGCTCTATCAAATACTGTTATATTCGTATTACTTGTGAATAACCTGAGGTCCAGAGAGGTTGGGTAAGTTTCCCCAATCATTCAGCAAGAATTTGAACATGGATAGTGGAGCTGTAAGACTCATGTTCTTATCTTAACTCTTACTCATTCTGATATAACACAAACAACACTGAGCTGGATTTTGGAGACACTGATGCTTGGCTTGCTCTGCCACTAGCTCTGTGACCTTAGACAAGTTTCTTAACTTTTCGAGTTAAGAAGTCAAAATTAAGGTGTATTCTTCTCCTTACCAGCAAAACAAAAGATTGAACTACATAACCTACAAAAGCTCTCTAACTCTGACTTTCCATATAGTAGTCCTCTCTTATCCACAAGGGTTGTGTTTTAAGACCCGCATCCCCACCCAGTGGATGCCTGAAACTGTGGTTAGTACCAAACCCTATATGTACTGTTTTTTCATATATATACCGATGTATCTATAGATACATACCTGTGATATGTATCTATACATATCGCATATAGATACATATCGCAGGTACGTATCTATAGATATATCTGTGATAGATATAGATAGATATCTATAATAAAGTTTAATTTATCAGCTAAGCACAGTAAGAGATTACCAACAATAACTTATATTAAAATAGAAACTATAACAATAGACTGTAATAATAGTAAAACACAGGTTACTTAGACACAAGCACGGTAATACCTTGTGTCCATTGTACCAATCAATCTGACAACCAAGAAGGCTGACTAAGGGCAGACAGCATGGATACACTAGACAAAGGGATGACTCACATCCCTGGAGGGATGGAGCAGGATGGCATGAGATTTCATCACACAACTCAGAAGGACATCCATTTTAAAACGTAATAAACTGTTTATTTCTGGAATTTTTCATTTAATATTTTTAGACCATGGTTGACTGCAGGTAACTGAAACTTCAGAAAGCAAAACCTCAGATAAAGGAGGACCTGTAACTGGTTTATAGTGAGTTTCATTTACCTGCCCCAAGAAAGATACAGGTGGAAATACCTTAAAACATAATGTTTATGGGTATTCTATACTGCTTGTATCATCTGCTATGTGGCAGCATCATAGAATGAAATTTAATTTTGTTATGTCTCAAGTATGCAACTTTACCTTGTGAGTCTATTTTCTTTATTATTTTTTTTTTTTGCATTTCGTTTAGTCTAAACTGAATGTAATAATACCCAACTTACAAGATCTTTGTAAAGGATTTAGAGAAAAAGTATTTGAACATGGCTAGTGATGATTATATACCCAATAAAAATTAATTTCCCACTCACTTTTGCTCTATGAAGGTCTTGGGTATTTTATACAGATGTCCATGTTACCAACCACAAAGAGTGGGTGCCAAGAAATTTTGAGGTTTGTTTTAAACTTATATTTGTAATCAGGCATTAGCTTTATAAAGTAAAGCAAGAAAATCCAGTTTATCCCATAAGTCTGCAATAGTATTGAACACACAGCACTCTTACTCTGTTCTCTGTAGATGCTAAAAATGACCCAAACTTCATTAGTATCACCTGAGCAGGTCACAAGAGGTGTCTAGACTGCATTTTAGGAGCAGATGATATTGAAACACCCATATCAAGCAAAATACCAGTCTTCCTATTATATAGAACTGAAGACATTTCTTGGTGAGTCCAGATTTCCATTTCTAATAATATTGTCTTTAGTACTTGATTTGATATCCTTCTGGCAGCTGGAATGCCACTTTAAAAATATCATGCTTTTACACGAATGCACAGCATAGTAAAGTGTAATAGAAAGTGGCGTCGGAAGCCCTGATTTGTGTCTCAGCTTCACCACTCACTAGCTGTGTGCAGCTGGGCAATGATCTCAACTTGGTGACTTCTCTGAATCTTTGTTTCCTTATCTGATAAATGGAGATTATGATACAGTCAACCTTACCATGGTGTTAAGAGAGTTAAACGAGATAATGTATAGGCCTGACACTGAGTAGCTACTTGAAAACTGATCAAATCCGACTAATACAGATAAATCCTTCATTCTCCAGCCCAGTGAATAAACCTATCTCAAAACCATAAAAGGTTTAAGTTAAAAGCAACAAGTGAGATTTTTCTTCCAACATTAGCAAACCTAATTCCTGTCACTTGTCAAAACAATGCAATGAAATGGCTAATACCTGAGCATATTATCTGTTCATAACGACTGTGAAATTTTTTGTTTGTTAGTTTGAGACAGAGTCTCGCTGTGTTGCCCAGGCTGGAGTGCAGTGGCACAATCTTGGCTCACTGCAACCTCTGCCTCCTGGGTTCAAGCAATTCTCTTGCCTCAGCCTCCCTAGTAGCTGGGCTTACAAGTGCACGCCACCACGCCCGGCTAATTTTTGTATTTTTAGTAGAGACGGGGTTTGACCATGTTGGCCAGGCTAGTCTTGAACTCCTGACCTCAAGTGATCCACCTGCCTCAGCCTCCCAGAGTGCCAGAATTACAGGTATGAGCCACCGCACCTGGCCTCACTACTGTGAAATTTCCAAAGAGAACCAGGCAAGGGTCCTCTCTGTTAAGCCACTATTCACTCCTCTTCTGGAAATGGACAACAGCTGGATCTCCCACACTCCATGATGGCTTGTTCTTCAGCCTTTTGTGCAGGCAGAGGGACATCTGTAACATAGGACCCTCATTCCCTCTGGATCCTAGCAGAATGGGAGCCCTCTATATTTAAAAGCAGATGATCTGCCACCTCTGTCTACAAAGTATAGAAGACACACAGCCCTTCATTTGAATGTTAGGTGAGTCTAGTTATCCGTACCATGTCATAAGATCACTCTAGACAAAGGGTATTCCAAAGAATCCCCTTAGTCTGTATATATCCAAACTAACAGATTATGCCGTCTTCACCCAAGTTTTGGGGTTGGATTTTTAATCATAATGACAAACATATTTTGAACTTGAACATTCTTTAATAGGTCAAAGAGGAATTTCTAAAGTGGCCTTTTCTTTGTGGTTATCTGTCTCTTTTGTTGTTACTTTAAAAAATACTTTGTTACTTTGACAAATGACATTTTTTGTTGTTGCTTTAACAAATATTTACATCAGGCATTTTCACATCAGTTATCTCATTTAATTAATGTAGGATGATAGATGTTAAGAGCCTGGGCTTTAGAGCCAGAAAAATTTGGGTTCAAGTTGAAGTTTAACCACTATGTCTAGAGACTTGTCATTAACATCACCATGTCATAATAAGGAAACTGAAGATAAGAAAGAGTTTAAAACTTGGCCAAGGTCACCCAGCCAGCAAGGGGCAGAGTTAGGATTTCAACTCAAGTCTCCTGACTAAATTCCCTGTTTTTCAGGACTTCCTAATTGCTCTTACAGCATAGAAACTTTCATTATCCACTGTGGTTCTGAAATTTGGGGTGGGGGGAGGTCATATTCCCCTTCAAGAGTATTAATAATTTTGTAAACTTTCTCCCCATAAATCACATGTAATTTCAGAGGATTAACAGATCCTTTTCAAACTCAACCTGTGGAGGCCCATAGACTTTAAAAAGTACTTTTGCTGCTGAGCTGTGCCATTTGTCACAGCATCTAGAAGTGGTATATCAATAATGGCTAACCTTTCAGGAAGTAGTAACAGATCATTAGTCGCATGGAGAAGGTAGTCCATTCTAAGCCATTTCATATAAACTTATTGGGCATCTCCTCTGTGCCAGGCACCATTAGAGTCACTGAGGATGAGATGTTAAAATCCAGGCATGCCTTTGCCCTACGTAGCATATAGACTCAATTTTGATCCACATGAACTAGATGTTTTTCCAATTAGTACAGAAAAGTTGACACACATTTAAAGGAGTGGAAGTTATTAGTTTATAATTTTGCTTAAGATTATTGCAAAAAACTACTGATATCATTTCTATTTTCATTCAGGCAGTCACTGAACAGATATTGATTGAATGCCTGCTGTGTGCCAGGTACTATGCTAGGCCAAACCAGCCTAATATTGGCAAGTCTGCATGGCCCTTTGTGTGCTACCATTGCCCAGGTAAATTTTGAAAGAGACAGGTAGCAAATTTAACAGCATTCTAGAGAACAACATCAAGTATAAGAAGAGGTGTCATGGAGGAAAATAAGGACCAGGATAAAAAACATGAAAATATAACAAATGAAACAAATGAATAAACAGGTTAAAGAAAACTATCATAAAGAAAAAATGATGGAACTTGTATAAGGAAATGAAAAATGTAAATACATATTGAGAAGAGTTGTGCCCAGTCTTGAAAGCAAAACTCCATTAGAGAAACAGGGGGCAGTAACTGAACATAGCAGTAGGTGAATAGAACAGAGTAATAAACAGGCCCTTGGAAAATTTCAGAGACTGGAATGAGATTGAACAAAGGAGGAAATGTGAAGATTAGATGGTCTGAACACCAATTTCAAATCTCTACTTATGTGTCTGTGAATGACTCATTGTTTCTCATGTTCTTTCCCAAAATCTCATCTTTCACAAATCCAGAAAAGCTGGCTATGTAGTTAGATAGAATGAGCCTGGGTCGTGGAGTAGCCTCAGTTTAGTAACAGGTATACTGAATAGGATTCCATTTCTCTGTTCAAGCCCACTGAAGTATTAGGAGGATGTTCTCTGTGCACAATAATTCCCAGAAATGCATTTTACAGCCTTTAGTCAAACAAAATTAGCAGCTAATTTACAGCCCCAGAAGGTTTACTAGACACTTTCTCTTAAATGCAGCTTGTGTTTAAAATAATAATCCCATGTGGTATTTGTTTTCTGATAAAAAGAACTTAAGAGTAAGCAAAAAAAAGATATTTCTTTTTCACAAAATCAGTTGAGATTTGGTTGGGGTTCTTTACTTATATAATTCATATTTTTTATATAATTATATAATTTTTGCACAGCATGTGAGTATGAGGAGGAAAAGACCATTAAAATAAGCAACAACAAAAATGCCCATAGAATGTTTGGCCCACATTTGATCACTAAACTTCTCAGTTTTTCAGCTTAGTTAAATTTCATCATGCCCATTTACCAGAATGTGACACCATGAGCCTGTGCGATTTTCTGCTATCCTGTTTGGCTATGGCACCTGGCCCTCTTCCTGGGCCTGTGGAGATCACTTTGACATTTCAGTTCATTTGGGTGGTTTCTGTCATTTCCTACTTGAGAAAATTGAGGGCCAGAGAAACTAATGACTTTCCTGTACTCCCATCTAAGTCAGCAACAGAGCCAAGCTACATTTCACAAGCATATCCTTCCCCATCCAGGCGGCAGCTCCTCAGATTTTCAGCTTTGTTCCAGGTTTATTCACTAGGACAGGAGAGTGTGGGTGCTGCCAGAGAATGTTCTGGGGGCTGGATGTTACTGTGAGAAAACCAACGCATCATTAGAACATGTTCTTATGCAGTTTTCATCTTGTACTGAAAACTTAGTGCAAGAGACATTATTCAATTTTATTAACATATCTCTACTGTGCCCAAACACTGCTTTCATGAAATAAAAGGGAAAAGTAAAGCAAAGTTCAGTTTTAATCATTTGGTTTTCTTTTTATTCTTAGTTTATTTTTTCCTGGTCTGGAAAGCGGTTACCCTCCCTCCCTCCCTCCTAGGCACAAGGGCCATCTGCTGTCCTTTCTGATGGTCCAACAAATTTCATTATTAGTCTCTGCATTTTATTTAAAAATCCTAAAACCCACTTGGAACCAAGAGGCCTCTGTCATTTAATGGCTCCTAGGAAGGAGCTTTAGGAGAGAGAAAGGTGAAGGGTTAGATACCTTCCCCTCTCCAAAGTTGTATGGAAGTGAGCAATGTGCGTTTTTCATTCTTCTCTAAAGTACAAAAGGAAACCACAGTGGACTTCCACCCTGATCCATTTTACCCTGCCTGCCTTCCTGACCTTCCTAATTTTTTTGTTTGTTTGTTTTTTTGGTCTGGTATGACTTATCTAGAGCAGTAGTTCTCCAACTTGAGCAAGCATCAGAATCACTGGAGAGCTTGTTAAGACACAGATTCCTGAGTCCCACCCTCAGAGTTTCTGTTTCAGTAGATCTGGGGTGGTGGGGGGTCCTGTTAATTTGCACTTCTACAAATACCCACGTGTGCTGGTCTGCGAATTACACTTTGAGAACTACTAGTCTGGAGCAGTAGTGGGGTTTTTTGTTGTTGTTTTTACCTCTGGCTATGTTAGAATTATCTAGGGGAGTTTTTCTTATGAAAGATCACTGCCAGATCCCAGCCCCAGAGATACTCATTTAGTTGGCCTATGTCAGGTTCCCATTTTTAATTAGCTTCTCTCCTTGTGGAATGTTGTCAGAATGCGGCTTCTACTGGTACTTTCCCTGTCTTCCACCATGAGCTCTCTTCCTATTTTCCCAAAAATGCCCTCTTGAATAGTCTCCAGTGCCCACCCCAATCCCAGTCCATAGGGCATAGAGTGTGATGATGCCCTTCTCTCTGCCTTTCAGATGAGGCCTAACTTCTAACATAGGAAAATAAATCAGTACTCCCCGGGTCAGCTGAGTGTATGCTGTTAGCCAACCTCCAGCCTAGACAGGCTTCCAGGCATTTTGATAAAGGACTGTATGATTTAGGTGATCAATTTGGAACCTTCATTTCTTTTTTTTTTTTTTTTTTTTAGATTTGTCTGTCTCCAAAATCTACCTTTTTATTGGCTGATCTCTTTTTAAAAAGGCACAGTAAATTGTTCCCTCCCCTCCCCTCCCCTCCTCTCCCCTCCTCTTCCCTCCCCTCCCCTCTTCTACCCTCTCTTCCCTTCATCTCTTCCCTTGCCAGAGCAGGGACTCTCTCCATATAAACAAAAGGAAAACCACTGGCCAGGGTATGGTCAATACCTCAACATATCCAGACATCACAGCACCAGAACACCAGTATGTATATTCCACAAGAAATTAAGATACCAGCCAAAGCCTCAGAAAGGCCTTCCCAGGAAGATACATGGAGGCAATGGGTACCTCATCGAGGGCCTTAGATCATAACAGAAGATAGTGGAGGTCTTTTCCCATCTTCATTGCAAAGAGCTGCTCAATGATAAGAGCCATATAGAGTCTTCCAGGAAGAAAGTGGTCCAAAGTAATTAGGAGAGCATCAGATATCAACGTCGGAAACAAAGTTATCAGAAAGAGCATCTGGGAGAAATCATATTAGGAGTCATTTGGGATCCATTTTTTTGATATTTGACTCAGAAGGAGCCTTTAGGTAGTTTCAAGGCTTGGGATTGTCAAAGCACCCTGAACAGCTGGTCACGTTGAGCCTTGACTGGCATCTGTGGTGATTCCACACTTGGCATCCCTCCTATGACTCACCACAATTGACTACATTTTTTTTTATTCTTATACTTTAAGTTCTAGGGTACATGTGCACAACGTGCAGGTTTGTTACATATGTATACATGTGCCATGTTGGTGTGCTACACCCATTTACTCGTCATTTACATTAGGTATATCTCCTACTGTTATCCCTCCCCCCTCCCCCCACCCCACGACAGGCCCCGGTGTGTGATGTTCCCCTTCCTGTGTCCAAGTGTTTTCATTGTTCAATTCCCACCTGTGAGTGAGAACATGCGGTGTTTGGTTTTTTATCCTTGCGATAGTTTGCTGAGAATGATGGTTTCCAGCTTCATCTATGTCCCTACAAAGGACATGAACTCATGGCTGCATAGTATTCCATGGTGTATAAGTGCCACATTTTCTTAATCCAATCTATCATTGTTGGACATTTTGGTTGGTTCCAAGTCTTTGCTATTGTGAATAGTGCCACAATACACATATGTGTGCATGTGTCTTTATAGCAGCATGATTTATAATCCTTTGGGTATATACCCAGTAATGTGATGGCTGGGTCAAATGGTATTTCTAGTTCTAGATCCTTGAGGAATCGCCACACTGTCTTCCACAATGGTTGAACTAGTTTACAGTCCCACCAACAGTGTAAAAGTGTTCCTATTTCTCCACAGCCTCTCCGGCACCTGTTGTTTCCTGATTTTTTAATGATTGCCATTCTAACTGGTGTGAGATGGTATCTCATTATGGTTTTGATTTGCATTTCTCTGATGGCCAGTGATGATGAGCATTTTTTCATGTGTCTGTGGGCTGCATAAATGTCTTCTTTTGAGGATTGTCTGTTCAGATCCTTTGCCCACTTTTTGATGGGGTTGTTTGTTTTTTTCTTGTAAGTTTGTTTGAGTTCTTTGTAGATTCTGGATATTAGCCCTTTGTCAGATGAGTAGATTGCAAAAATTTTCTCCCATTCTGTAGGTTGCCTGTTCACTCTGATGGTAGTTTCTTTTGCCATGCAGAAGCTCTTTAGTCTAATTAGATCCTATTTGTCAATTTTGGCTTTTGTTGCCATTGCTTTTGGTGTTTTAGACATGAAGTCCTTGCCCATGCCTGTGTCCTGAATAGTATTGCCTAGGTTTTCTTCTAGGGTTTTTATGGTATTAGGTCTAACATTTAAGTCTTTAATCCATCTTGAATTAATTTTCGTATGAGGTGTAAGGAAGGGATCCAGTTTCAGCTTTCTACATATGGCTAGCCAGTTTTCCCAGCACCATTTATTAAATAAGGAATCCTTTCCCCATTTCTTGTTTTTGTCAGGTTTGTCAAAGATCAGATGGTTGTAGATATGTGGTATTATTTCTGAGGGCTCTGTTCTGTTCCATTGGTCTCTATCTCTGTTTTGGTACCAGCACCATGCTGTTTTGGTTACTGTAGCCTTGTAGTATAGTTAGAAGTCAGGTAGCGTGATGCCTCCAGCTTTGTTCTTTTGGCTTAGGATTGTCTTATTAAGATAAATAATAGTGTTTTCATTGTCTTTTGGCCATTACTGTATCATAAATGCTGCTCAGACTAGATTAAAAAGCATAGAAATCAGAGTCATTTCAACTAGTAGATCATATTCACATCCAATTAAATTTATGGCATAAATATGGCTTGCATCAGACTTTCACCCAAAAATAAAAATAAGTGACACTTGCAATGAGCTAGGCATGATATTGGATGCTTTATATACATTGCCTCTGTAAATTCTTGCAACAAACATGAATCTGGTACAAATTAAGAGATAAGTTCAGACAGTAAAACATATTTCCTGAGGTTATGAGGTAGAGTTAGGATTTGAACCTAGGCAATCATGAGAATGGAAGTCCATGAAGCCAGGATCACGATTCTGTTCCTAGCACCTGGAACAATGTCTGCTATTTGGCTCTCAATAAATATTATTTGAATTGAATGAATCTGACTCCAGAGTCCAGGGGTTTTTTTTTTATTTTTGTAGGTATGTAGTAGGTGTATATATTTATGGGGTACATGAGATGTTTTGATACAGGCATGATACAGGCATTATTGCATGGGCAAATGGGTATGCATCACCTCAAGTATTTATCCTTTCTTTGTGTTACAAATGATTATTTTTAAATGTACAATAAATTATTGTTGACTATAGTTAACCTGTTGTGCTATCAAATACTAGATCTTATTAATTCTAAATATCTAACTATATTTTTATACGTATTTACCATCCCCACTGTCTCACCGTCCCTTCCCCGCACCCTCAATACCCTTCCCAACCTCTGGTAACCATCATTCTACTCTCTATCTTCATGTGTTCAATTGTTTTAATTTTTAGCTTTCACAAATAAGTGAGGACATGTGAAGTTTGTCTTTTTGTGCCTGGTTTATTTCACTTAACATAATGACCTCGTGTTCCATCCACGTTGTTGACAATGACAAGAGCTAATTCCTTTTTATGGCTGGATAGCACTCCATTGCATATATGTACCATATTTTCTTTATCCATTCATCTGTTGATGAACATTTGGGTTGCTTCCAAATCTTGGCCATTGTGAATAGTGCTGCAACAAATATGGGAGTACAGAGATAAGACATATCTTCAATATACTGATTTCCTTTCTTTTGGGTATATACCTAGCAGTGGGATTACTGGATTACATGATAGTTCCATTTTAATTTTTTAAGGAACCTCCAAACTGTTCTCCATAGTGGTTGTACCAACTTACATTCCCACCAACAGTGTACGAGAGTTCCCTTTTCTCCACATCCTCACCAGCATTTGTTATTGCCTGTCTTTTGAATAAAAGCCTTTTTAACTGGGATGAAATGATATCTCATTGCAGTTTTGATTTGCATTTCTCTGATGATCAGTGATGTTGAGCACCTTTTCATATGCCTGTTGGTCATTTGTATGTCTTTTGAGAAATGTCTATTCAGACATTTCACCCAGTTTTTAATGGGATTATTAGATTTTTTTTTTTGAGGCGGAGTTTTGCTTTTGTTGCCCAGGCTGGAGTGCAATGGCACGATCTCGACTCACCGCAACCTCCACCTCCCAGGTTCAAGCAATTCTCTTGCCTCAGCCTCCCGAAGATCTGGATTACAGGCATGGGCCACCATACCCAGCTAATTTTGTATTTTTAGTAGAGACAGGGTTTCTCCATGTTGGTCAGGCTGGTCTCCATCTCCTGACCTCAGGTGATTCACCTGCTTCGGCCTCCCAAAGTGCTAGGATTACAGGCATGAGCCACCACGCCTGGCCTAGATTTTTTTCCTATAGAGTTTCTTGGGTTCCTTATACGTTCTGGTTATTAATCCTTTGTCAGGTGGATCGTTGGCAAATATTTTCTCCCATTAAATGGGCTGTCTCTTCACTTTATTGATTGTTTCTTTTACTATGCAGAAGCTTTTTAACTTGATGTGATCCCATCTGTCCATTTTTGCTTTGGTTGCCTGTGCTTGTAAGGTATTACTCAAGAAATCACTTGCCTGGAGAGTTTTCCCAATGTTTGCTTTTAATAGTTTCATAGCTTGAAGTCTTAGATTTAAGTCTTGTCAACTGACAAAAATTTTGTTTATCTTTTTAAGAAAATCATTTTTTTGGCCGGGCACAGTAGCTCATCCCTGTAATCCCAGCACTTTGGGAGGCCATAGCAGGTGGCTCACTTGAGACCAGGAGTTTGGGACCAGCCTAGCCTACATGGTGAAACCCCATCTCTACAAAAAATACAAAAATTAGCCAGGCATGTTGGCACACCTGTAATCCCAGTTACCCAGGAGGCTGAGACATGAGAATTGCTTGAACCCAGGAGGTTCAGGTTGTAGTGAGCTGAGATCATGCCACTGCACTCCAGCCTGGGTGACAGAGCCAAACTCTGTCTCAGAAAAAAAAAAAGAAAGGAAAAAAAGAAAAAGAAAAACCCAACTTTTTGTTTCATTGATCTTTCATATTGTTTTCTCCATTTTAATTTTATTTATTTCTTCTCTGATCTTTATTTATTTTCTTCCACTAATTTTGGGTTTGGTTTGCTCTTGCTTCTCTAGTTCTTTAAGATGCATTGTTACATTGTTTATTTGAAATTTTTCTTCTATTTTGATGTAGGCACTTATAGCTATAAACTTCTCTTTAGTACTGGCTTCGCTGTATCCCGTAGGTTTTGGTATGTTGTGTTTCCATTATTACCTGCTTCAAGAAATTTTTTTATTTCCTTTTTAATCTCTTCATTGACCCACTGGTCATTCAGGAGCATACTATTTAATTTCCGTGTGTTTTTATATTTTCCAAAATTCCTCTTGATACTGATTTATTATAGTTTTATTCCATTGTGGTCAGAGAAGATACTGATATAATTTCAATTTTGTTGAATTTTTTAGACTTGTTTTGTGGCCTAACATACAGTCTATCCTTGAGAATAATCCATGTGCCGAGAAGAATGCGTACTCTGAGGCTGTTGGATGAAATGTTCTGTAAATATCTATTAAGGGCATTTGGTCTGTATTGCAGATTACATCTGATATTTCTTTGTTGATTTTCTGTCTGGATCATTTGTTCAATGCTGAAACTGTTGAAGTCTCCAGCTATTATTGTATTCAGGTCTATCTTTCTCTTTAGCTCTAGTAATTTTTGCTTTATATACCTGAGTGCTCTAGCACTGGGTGAAAATATATATTATATATTATATATATATATAATTGTTATATCCTCTTGCTGAAGTAACCCCTTTATCATCATATATGGACCTTCTTTGTCTCTTCTTATAGTTTTTGTCTTGAAATCTATTTTGTCTGATATATGTATAGCTATTCTTGCTCTTTTTCAGTTTACATTTGCATAGTATATTTTTTCCATCCCTTTATTTTCAGTCTATGTGTGTCTTTATAGGTGAAGCGGGTTTCTTGTAGGCAACAGATTGTTGAATCTTGTTTTTTTTTTTTATCCATTCAGCCACTCTCTGTCTTTTGATTGGAGAGTTTAGTTCATTTACATTCAATGTTATTACTGATAAGTAAGGACTTACTCCTGCCATTTTGATATTTGTTTCCTGGTTGTTTTGCGGTCTTCTCTTCCTTCCTTCCTTCTTTCTTTTCTTTCTTTCTTCCTTTTAGTAAAGGTGATTTTCTCTGGTGGTATGTTTTAATGTCTTGCTTTTTATTTTTTGCATATTTTTTCTCTGTTGTATGATTTTTGATTTGAAGTTACCATGAGGTTTGAAAATACTATCTTATAACCCATTATTTTAAATGGATGACAACTTAATACTGATTGCATAGACTAACAAACAAGCAAAGAGAAAACTAATAAAAACTGTACACTTTAACTTCATTCCCCCCCACTGCATACTTTTTAACTTTTTGTTGTTTCTATTTCTATCTTATTGTACTGTCTATTTCTTGAGAAGTGGCTGTAGTTATTATTTTTGATTGGTTGATCTTTTAGTCTTTCTACTTGAGATATGAATAGTTTATACCCTACAATTACAGTGTTATAATATTCTGTGATTTTCTCTGTGCTATTACCTGTGAGTTTTTTGCACCTTCAGATGTTTTCTTATTTCTCATTAATGTCCTTTTCTTTCAGATTGAAAACTCCCTTTAGCATTTTTTTGTAGGACAGGTCTGGTGTTGATGAAATCCCTCAACCTTTGTTTGTCCAGGAAAGTTATTATTTCTCCTTCATATTTAAAGGATATTTTTGTTGGATATACTATTCTAAGATAAAAGGTTTTTTTCCTTCAGCACATTAAATATGTCATGCCAGTTTCTCCTGGCCTGTAAGGTTTCCGCTGAAAAGTCTGCTACCAGGCATATTGGAACTCTATTTATATTATTTCTTCCGAACCTTTCTTTATCCTTGATCTTTGGGAGTTTGATTATTAAACGTCTTGAGGTAGTCTTATTTGGGTTAAATCTGCTTGGTGTTTTTACACTTGAATATTTACACCTTTCTCTAGGTTTGTTAAGTTCTCTGTTATTATCTTTTTGAATAAACTTCCTGCACCTATTTCTCTTTGTACTTCCTCTTTAGGGCCAATAACACTTACACTTGCCCTTTTGAGGATATTTTCCACATCTTGGAGGCATCCTTCATTCTTATTCATTCTTTTTTTCTTTTGTCTCCTCCGACTGTGTATTTTCAAATAGCCTGTCATCAAGCTCACTAATTCTTTCTTCTACTTGATCAATTCTGCTAAGAGACTCTGATGCATTCTTCAGTATGTTAATTGCATTTTTCAACTCCAGAATTTCTGCTTGATTCTTTTTAATTATTCCAATCTCTTTGTTAAATGTATCTGATAGAATTCTGAATTCCTTCTCTATGTTATCTTGAATTTCATTGCATTTCCTCAAAACAGTTATTTTGAATTCTCTGTCTGAAAGGTTACATATCTCTGTCTCTCTGGGATTGGTCCCTGGTGATTTATTTAGTTTGTTTGGTAAGATTATTTTTCCTGGATGGTCTTGATGCTTATGGATGTTTGTCAGTATCTGGGCATTGAAGAGCTAGATATTTATTGTAGTCTTCTAAGTCTGGGCTCGTTTGTACCCATTCTTCTTGGGAAGGGCCTTCCAGGTATTCAAAGGGACTTGAGTGTTGTGATCTAAGTTTTTGGTCACTGTAGCCATAACTGCATTAGGGGGCACCTCGAGTCTAGTAACACTGTGACTCTTGCGGTCTCTTAGAGGTACTTGGTGGTCTTGGATAAGATCTGGAAGAATTCTTTGGATTTCCAGACATAGGCTCTTGTTCTCTTCCCTTACTTTCTCCCAAACAAATGGCATCTCTCTCTCTCTCTCTCTGTGCTGAGCTGCCTAGAACTGTGGGTGGGATCACACAAGCACCCTTGTGGCCATTGCCCTTGGGACTGTGCTAGGTCAGACCTGAAGTCAGCACAGCATTGGGTCTCACCCAACACCTGTGGTAACCACTGCCTGGCTATTGCTTATCTTTGCTCATAGCCCTAGGGTTCTACAATCAGCAGGTGGCAAAGCCAGCCAGGCTTGTGTCCTTCCCTTCAGGGCAGTGAATTCCCCAAACCCTGGGTGGGTCCAGAGGTGCCATCCAGGAGCCAGGTCCTACAGTCAGAAACCTTAGGAATATACCTGGTGCCTTACTCGATTGTGGCTGAGCTGGAACACATACCTCAACACAAAGTTCTTCTACTCTTCCCTCCCCTTTCCACAAACAGAGGAGTCTCTCCCTGTGATCACCACTACCCTAGGTCCATGGTGAGTACTTCCTGGGTACCACCAGTGTTCACTCAAGGCACAAGAGCTCTTCAGTCAGCTTGTGATGAATGCTGGCAGGACTGGGACTCTCCCAGAAGGGCAATGGGCTCCGTTCTGGCCCAGGGCAAGTCCAGAAATGCCATCTAAGAGCTAGGCCTGGAATCAGGGACCCCAAGAGCCTGCTTGGTGCTCTACTCCACTGTGGCCAAGCTGGTACCTAAGCTGATTTTTGGTTCTTATGAAGGTGCTTTTTTGTGTGCATAGTTGTTCAGTTTGGTGTTCCTGTGGGGAGGACAATTGGTTGAAGCTTTTGTTCAGCCATCTTGCTCTACCTAATCCCAGAGCCCCTGTTATTATCCATTAGGTACTCGGGCCCAAATGACTGGCCTTGGAGCAAATGTGTAAGTCTTAGCTAAGGGGCTGTGGGCCTTAGCAGGAAGAGACACATGCCCACCCAGCCTCTACCAGATAACAAGCCAGACCACCCATCACTGGCTTGTCATGTATCTGAGGCATGTACAGAAGAAGTCTGTGGCTCACCTTCCAGAACAGAGATGGGACAGAGAAAGGGAAGGCCCTAGTAGTGTATAGTGATAAGTGAATCAAAATAATCAGTGTGGGGTGCTGGATATGCCCATATCCTGGCATTTAATTTGTCCATTATACATAGCCAGTAAAATTGCTAACATGCAGTAATAGAAACTGGCAACCCTGAAAACATTTACACCAATAAAATATTCATACATCAGATCAATAGGAATCCAATTTAAAGGTTCAGAATCAATACTTTTTTGTCAGTTCACTGTGTACCATCCCTTTCCATATTATTAAATGTGAAATTTTTATTATAAAGTATAACTACAGGAGCCATTAAGCTGTTATAATTATTAAACAAGGCACTTATAATCATCACCTAATAAAGCTTCATAATCAAGATAGTCTCCCTACGTGATACAATTTTAATTTATGAAATGTCTCATTGATACATCTAAATGTTGTAGCAAATTAAAATCACTTACATGTAGATATAACTATATTTGAAGTAATAACAGAACAGGCATCTCTTTAAATAAATTAAACACATAAGCAGTGGCTGTACTGGCTCTTTTGTGCAGCATATTTTATCCTTTAAAATTAAAATGTTTATAGCTTATTAATATATTCAAATGATTTTATAACTCTGACAATCACTGATGAAACATTATTTTAAAGTATTCAGTACAATGCAAAAGGAATATACTAATCTGGTTATAATGTTTAGGTATGTGTATTGTGTGTACATGTATGTATACATATGTGTAATCAAACACATGCTACCAGTCGTCATGGAAGGTTCATCCTACTGTACCAATTTGGAGACTATGGTTTTTATCATAGCCAGAGTGACATGGAAGTAGTCCTTAAAATGCTTCAACAGTGATAACTGGGTTGTTGACTGCCTATCACATTCGAGTGAGTATCAGATATCCATTTAGCCTCACTCTAAGATATATTGCTGTGTGCTGACTGTAAGTAAGTAGGAAGGAAGAGAACCAGGAGGTTTATTTCAGGATTTTTGACTATAATAGTTGGTTTTAGTGCTGTTGCATATTCATAATTTATAGTTATTCCCCAATGGAGCTTTCTAAAATCATCTGAATGTAAATATGTGTGCATATCCAGAAAGTGGTGAGGGAGAGGTGTAGAGACACAGAGAGAGAAAGAAAAAGAGAGAAGAAATAGAGATTGCAATTAAAGTGACTGTAACAAGGATTTCTCAACCTGAGCGTAAAGCTCACTGGTTTTCTGAAGAACCCCTTAGGTGGTGAGAACAGACAAATATAGAAGGTTTTTTCTTCTGTCGCTCATCCTCATTACCCACCTCCCATCTATTTACAAGTACTGAATTTTCATGTATTTTCCACCCTAAGCTGTGTGCCTACTCTCTAGGAGTTGCAACTGAGGGCAGATTAGGAAGTGTGGGCAGGTGTCTATAAAGGCAGTCACTCTGCCATCTTTCTGTACAGTGGTAGCATTAAGGGATGGCTTTAAAAGGAATCTTTAACCCACATCTTTATCAGTCCCCCACAAGCTACTATAAATCTATGTATATTAATCTAAGTGAAAATTGTAAGCTAGCTATGCAAACTTAGCTTTAAGACAAGTTTCCTAGCACCCCTACCAATCAGCTCACCACCCCTAACGCTTTACTATTTAAAAATCCTGAAGGCCGGGCATGGCAGCTCACGCCTGTAATCCCAGCACTTTGGGAGGCTCAGGCAGGTGGATCACAAGGTCAGGAGTTTGAGACCATCCTGGCCAATATGGTGAAAACCCGTCTCTACTAAAAATACAAAAATTAACTGGATGTGGTGGTGGGCACCTGTAGTCCCAGCTACTCAGAAGGCTAAGGCAGGAGCATGGCGTGAACCCAGGAGGCGGAGCTTGCAGTGAACCGAGATCACGCCACTGCACTCCAGCCTGGGCAACAGAGAGAGACTCCGTCTCAAAATAAATAAATAAATAAATAAATAAATAAATAAATAAATAAATAAATAAATATTTAAAAAAAATCCTGGAGCATCCACTGTGTGTGAATCCAATGCAATTGGGTTCACTCACTCTGCAGCAAGTTAACAATTGCTTATCCCACTTGTGGAGCCCAAGGAGCATGGGAAAAATCCAGGAAAAGGAGGCTTTTTTCCCTTTTGGGATAAAGAAGGAAATCCCATTCCTTGAGCTATGATCTTCTAGTATAAGATAAAACAATATTCTGAACTGAACCTGGAATGTATTTAGAGATATCCTCACTTCTAGAGCTATTAAGTTTTTCAATGATACCTTTTGAGGGAGGAAACATTTTTAGAAGAGAAAAGGAGATAGAGTAAAGAGCTTAATACAAGGGAATGATGTAAGCTGATTCTTAAAAGTTGAGATGGTATTCTTTAAGTAGCTGGTAGGAGAAGGAGGACATGGCAGTGAGATGGAGGGAGGAGCAGATGGTGGTAAATTCAAGGCAGGGGGTTCAGAGAGCAAAGGCATGGAAATTGAGAAAGTATACTTTCATGAGGGCAGGAACCAAGTCTGCGTACAATGCAGCATTGTATCCCCACAGCTTACTGTATGACGACTGTAAGTAAGTAGGAAGGAAGACAACCAGGTTTATTTCAGGCTTTTTCAATGTCTAGCTTTGTATCCCCCACAGCTTAGCATAGTGCTTGTAACATATGAAGCATCCTATTTATATCTGAAAATTGAATGAATAAGTTAACTAACTACAGGTAGTATAATCTGGCCAATGGATAGGAGTGACGGGGGGGATGGGGGGGATAATAAATCTAAGAGATAAGCAGGAGCCAGATCTTGATGATCCTTGCAGGCCAAACTCAAGTTTTGGGTTTTATGGACAGAAGAAAGCCTTTGGAAATGTTTTAAGCAGAAGAGTAACATGGCCACATTTACATTTTAGAAAATCACTCTGGGAGCTATGTGAAGGATCGATTGGAGACTGGGAAACCAGGTAGGAGAAGATTTACATATAATCCAGGTGAGAGACAATGAGAGCATAAATCCAAAAAAGCAGCAGTGAAGACGGAGGGGGGAGATGGGTTCTAGAGATGGTTTGGAAGTGGGGTTGGTAAGATTTGGTGACCAATTAGATATGGAGATGAGGAAATGGAAGGAATGAAGTGTGACTGCCAGCTTACATGCCTAGTGGTGCCCACTCACCACAGTCACAAAGAGGGAGACCAGGCTTGGGATAAAGAGAGTGCGTTCCATTTTAGACATGGTGTGGCTCTAGAGAACATTTAAGGGAAGATGGCCAGCACATTGTCAGATCTCTAGGCCTGGAATTCAGGCAGACCTGGGCCTTGGTCAGAAGAGTCTGATTTCCAATGTCACATCCCAAAGTGCTTCACATTATGAGGAAGTAGACAAAAAGTTGATTTATGTTTAAGGGAGTTAAACACTTGATTAAGATCCTGGTTATTCGTTCATTCCACCAATATTCAACTGCCTCCTCAATATCTCCACTTGTCTAAAAGATATGTCAAACTCAACATTGCCAAAGCTAAGTTCCTAATCTTCCCTAAAAAAGACTTCTCCACCGCAGCCTTCCCCCATCTCACTTGATGGCAGCTGCATCTTTCTAGTTGCTTAGGCCAAAAATCTTAAATGCCTGGATCCTGGATGCCTCTCTGTCTCTCATATGCCAAATTCAATCTTTCAGCAAATCCTGTTGGCTGTACTCTCGGAATATATGCAGAATGTAACTGCCTCTCACCTCTTCCACGGCTGCCTCCCTGGTCTAAGCCACCACCATCTCCTGTCTGTATTATTGCAGTGGCCTTCTAATTCGTCTTCCCACCTCCACCTTGTCCCCCTTCTGGCTTTTCTCAATATTGCAGCCAGAGAGATCCTATTGAGATGTAATATCTGACCTCATCTCTCCTGTCATTCTCCTGCAAGCTCCTTCTACTTCAAACCCAAAAGACCGTTCTTACTCTTCCCTGTTCATGCCCACCTCAGCCCTGTACCTGCTGTTCCACTCTCTGGGAAGGTCTTCCCTCAGATAGCTACATAATTTACCTCCTTCAAGTCTTTTCTTAAATTATGTTCTCAAAGGTGGTCTTCTCTGGCTTTTTATTTTAAAGTATACCTCCCCAATTCCAAGCCCTCTTCTCTAATCTTTTTCTGCAGTACTTATCGTCCTCTAAGTATAAATTCCTCTTATGATTTTGTTTATCTTTTTGCTCCACTGGAATGCAAGTTCCATAAAGAGAAGGACATTCATTTTAATGCGTGATTTATCCCCAGCATATATAATAGCACTAGAATAGAATATTCTATTCTATAGATACAATATATCAATATTTGATCTCAATCACTCAACAAACACTTAAAGGATGAAAGGCAGGAATAAAGAAATGGAGGGTGGGCAGGAGGGAGGGAGGGAGGGAAGGAACTGAAGCTCTATGTCCTGAGCATTATCGAGTATATACAAAATTATATAATATATGTCCTTGCCCCTCTTTTAGTCTGTTGACAGAATAAGACACATTTCCATGAAGAAAGTTAAGTAGCAGTATGAGTGCATGCTGGAGTCATCTATAACACTTGTAGTCTTAGAGCTTTTAAGAACCTAGGCTAGTGGAAGAATATAGTGACATCATCTGTTCTCATATTTCTCTCTGGTTAACTAATGGACAACATTGCCACAAAGCAGGCATTTCTCTACTAAGCTTAGCAAAACCTCATATGTTTTTCAGACACAAAATGCAATTGTGAAATTACATGTACCATCAAGCTACATAAACACCATTTTGTTCTACAGTCATTTACCTTAGCACTCCTATTGGTTTGCTGACCTTGTTCCATTTGCAAGGGAGGAGCCCTAATGGCTCAATCGCATCCTAAAGGCTTCACTTCTTAACAGTATCTCATTGGCAATACCTGAATTTTGAAGAGGTTACATTCAAACTATAGCAGCTCATGCTCACTTTCTAGGAGTCTTGGGAGTTTTTTCCTCCTTTAAATAGAAAAAGAAAGAGAAGGACACTAAAATCTATTTAGTAAGCACCTACTTTACCATGAAATTGTGTTTCAGAGATACTAAAGAAAAATAAAACAGGTTCGCAGATTTCAAGGATCTTGAGGAGTGCAGATAAGTACATAAGTTGGTGTTTGGATTGAGTATTATCTAAGTATCTAAATGGGACAGACAAGTGTTTCATGCATCACTTCAAGGATCATGCTAAAATGCAGATTTGAATTCAGCAGGTCTGAGGCAGAGCCCCAAGATTCATTTCTAACCATCTTCCAGGTGGTGACAATGCTGCTGCTCATTTAATGACACTTTGAGCAGCAAAGATGTAGACAACAAGGGCCAAGAACTTCAGAATATGGATTTAAATAATTAGGAATGGTCATATCAAAAAGATGAGACATGAGCTGGACCTTGAAGATGAGAAGTATCCAAAGGAGTAAACTGGAAAATAAAAGAACTAAACTGAGGACCAAAGCAAGGCCATGTAAGATGCATTCCAGGACAGTCAACAGAAGAATTGGAAAAAAAATTACCAGAGGCAAGTATTAGACTAGAAAGTTGGAAAGATCAACTGGAGTCAGCTTGTGGGAGGTTTTGTATGCCAGGTTGAAGACTATGGATTTCATCCTGTAACAAAATGAACACCAGTGAAATTTAAGGAAGAGGAAGAGAAGACCTAGATCACAATGTGGTAATGAAAATAGAAAGAAAGGAATGTGCATGAGGTGGAGGGCTCTAGAGAAAGAGGTAATCCTTGGCAAAAAAAAAAAAAAAAAAAAAAAAAAAAACCACTCTAGATTCTCAAATGGACATGATAAACATTTTGAAGGAAGTATCAATAAGACAAAGCCAATTAAAAAGCTGAAAATAACAGGCCAGGCATAGTGGCTCATTTCTGTAATTTCAGCATTTTGGGAGGCCAAGACAGGAGGATCACTTGAAGCTAGGAGTTCAAGACCAGCCTGGTCAACATAAGACCCCATTTCTACAAAAATTTAAAAATTAGGCCTAGCGCAGTGGCTCACACCTGTAGTCCCAGCACTTTGGGAGGCCAAGGTGGGTGGATCACTTGAGATCAGGAGTTCAAGACCAGCCTGGCCAACATGGTGAAACCCCATCTCTACTACAAATACAAAAATTAGTTGTGTGTGGTAGCAGGTACCTCTAATCCCAGCTACTCAGGAGGCTGAGGCAGGAGAATCGTTTGAACTCAGGAGGCAGAGGTTGCAGTGAGCCAAGATCACAGCACTGCACTCCAGCCTGGGCAACAGAGTGAGATTCTGTCTCAAAAAAAAAAAAAATAGCTGAGTGCAGAGATGTGTGCTTGTAGTCCTAGCTACTTGGGAGGCTGAGGCAGGAGGATCACTTGAGCCCCGGAGTTTGAAACTATAGTGAGCCATGATCGCACCACTTCACTCCAGCATGGGCAGTGGGATGAGAAGCTGTCTCTTAAAAAAATAAAGGAAGTTAAAGATAACAATGATTTTGAACTTGGATGACTAGGAGAATTATGGTAGAAAAATGTAGATTGAGAAAGGAGTAAGTTTGTTCAGAGAGCAGATGATGAGTTTGGATTTAGATATCTGGATTTTGAAGTGATGGCAGAATTCTAAGTGGAAACTTCTGGTAAACCACAAGAGATGTGAGGTGGAGAGCAGGCAGGGGTCATCACCATAGGCAAAGACGTTAGGTAAGTCAGCAGAGTGATGATCATTGAAACCACGAGGCAGGTATTGATCGCCGAGGGTCCTGGATACTGGAGAAGGTCACAGACAGACAGGGCTGAGGATCAGACCTACAGACGTGTCCTTATTTAGGGAACAGAGAGAGAGGAGCCTGCATGCCAAAAGGTGAAAAGAGAAAATTTCAAATACTTCATTATCTGTGATGCTTTCACTAAAACAAACTTTTTGACCCACAGGATTTGACAATGTGTAAGCACATTTGTATTCCATCCTTAGTGCAGTCAATGCTACGCTCTGCTAACGTGGCCCCAGGAGGCCAAGGTTCCAGTGCCAGTTTTGTTACCTGCCTGCTCTGTGGCCTTGAATGACCCACTTTAACCTCTCACCTCAGTGAAATCACCATCCAAAAGACGGGGGGAATACTACACTACTACAAGTCTCACAAAGATGTTATGAAAAATGAAATCATAAATAATTTTAAAGCCCACATTTTAATGAAGCCATCAGATGACTTTTCTAATTTATCAAGAGTTGAATGCAGTTTATATGCAGTTCTCGTGCAACTGCCCAACTTAGATTACCAGGAAAAAAGGCAAACAGATTTATTTTTCTGAATTAAAATAGCCCTATCTAGGTTTTTAAATACATTCACCAGATTTTATTGAGGGCTTTTTGTATGCTAGGTACTGTGACAGGCAATTGACCAGATACACAGTTAAATCAACAAAGGCCCTGTGATGAAAGGTCTTGGAATCTAATAAGAAAAAAGAGAAACACAAATCATGCATAATCAAACAAAAATCAATATGTAACAAATGCCATAAGACCCGTATGAACCAAGTACAATTGATGTTCACAGAAGAGGAAATTTCTGGCTGACGGAGAGATGGGATGAAGGCCTTGAACAAGGGTACACGGTGACAGATGGAGAGGAGAGGGAGGGCATCCCCTGTAGGCCCAGAGGGAAGAGGGCACAGACAGGGCTTGGGCAATGGCGAGGAGCACAGTTAGCTTGGAACATGGAACAATTAGGAGAGCAGCAGGAGGTAGTCAGATTGCAAAGGGCACAGATGCCAGGCTACCGAGTCAGGGCTATATTCTGTGGACAGCAGAACACCGGGAGGGCAACAAAGGACCCAGACAAGCAAAGGACTTCAACTGGAGCTGTGCTGAAGATGGTTTAGCAAAGAGATCGGCTTCTGGGAGAAAAGAGACACAATAGAATATTGGTGACGTGGATGAATTTTTTTGTTTCTCATTAAAATGGGGACAGCAGTGTTCTATGAAAACTGTCACAGGCATATTCTTCCAAAGGAAATTAATTTTAATAGAAACATAGAAGTGATCCCCTCTCTTTCCAAAGTTTCACGCTATGTCTCATAGTTAATGTAAAGTTTCAAAGTCAAAGACAAATGTACTGTCCACTAAAGCCAGGAAGACTGGCCAGGATAAAAAGCTGTGAACCAGCTCCAGGGGTCAGGGCAGAAAGGAGATAAATAGAACAGTTGGAGCAATTGTTCTAAACCCTTTGGAAACCACAGATTCCTTTGAGACTCTTCACATAGCTCATATATATGTGAAATTCTGCATGTAATTTCAGGGGGGTTGTAGATCCCCTGGGCCCTATTCATTGAGCCCCAGAAACTCAAATTAAGAATCTCCGAGCTGGAAAAGAAAAAAATAAGAGATGTTCTAGAAGTACTATTAGAAGGAACACACAGAGAGCCTGACACAGTGGCTCACATCTGTAATCCCAGCAATGCAGGAGGATTCCTTGAACCCAGGAGTTTAAGGCTGAAGTGAGCTATAATTGCACCACTGCACCGTAGCTTGGGCAAGAGAGCAACACCCTGTTTATTAAAAACAAAAACCAAAAAAGAAAGGTAGCACACAGAAACTCACAATGACAGAAGTTGGGGTCACCTACCCCAGATGTTTCCAGTGAGGCTGCTTGCAGGAATTACCTGGGGGTTATTTTCATTGGTAAAATCAGACTTTTGGGGGGCAGGACTAAAAAATCTGGATTTGTAATTAATCAAGTTCATTTTGATGAGAAATAAACTTTTGAAGCCATTAATCAGTTTCCTTAGGACTCGCAGGACAGATGGGACACTCTGCTGTTTCTTTTCTTCTTTCTTTTCTTTGAGACAGAGTCTCACTCTGTTACCCAGGCTGGAGTGCAGTGACACAATCTCAACTCACTGCAACATCCGCCTCCCAGGTTCAAGTTATTCTCCTGCCTCAGCCTCCTAAGTAGCTGGGATTACAGGCGGGCACCACCATGCCCTGCTAGTTTTTGTATTTTTGGTAGAGATGGGGTTTCACCATGTTGGCCAGGCTGGTCTCGAACTCCTGACCTCAAGTGATCTGCCCACCTTGGCCTCCCAAAGTGCTGGGATTACAGGCATGAGCCACTATACTCAACCACTTTGCTGTTTCTTATGATTGTAATAGACATCCTTCAATGCGTCATTATGTGGTTGAACCCTTGGGAGTTACTACTTGAACCTGACCTACGGTCTTAATGCATCTTCACTGACTTCTTTCACTTCATTCTTCATTCAGCATGACCATCATACCCTCTTGGAAGACAACCACTCCCTCCTTCAGCCTTTCAATTCAAACCTTTCCCACAATGCATGTAACTATAGGTTCTAGTCTCATCATCATCATCATTATAGCACCTCATTTTCATGGATTAATGCTAATCCCAGTGTTCTAGAGGCTATCTCTTGAGATTGTTGCATACTGGGTTTCCTATTGGATGCCCTCCTGCAATTCAAGGGAGACTCACTCAGAAAGCTCCGCAGATCAGAAAATCAGTAGATCCTCTTAGCTGACCCTTGACCTCCATACTATTTCCTGAGGTTGATTCTTTCACCATCTCTCTGCCTCTGCAGCAACAGCAGAAATAGCTAAAGACTAAAGAATTAACAAAAAGAAGGCAGCCATTTAATTGATGCTTCTGATGTGAAGCATTCTTGATTATTTCAGGAAGAGAGTTTTTATAGAGTCAAACCTTTATTTACCTACAGACAACCTAAGGCAGTATCCTTTTCCCACCGATCTTTCATTTTTACATTCCTTCCTCCTCCAACCCCTTCCTCAGTCAGATTGAGCCACTTTGGACCAATGAGGCTCAAAACAAGCTCAAAGAGTCAAGATTTTAAAGATCAAAAATTTAAACAAATTATCTGGCATCCTACCTCCTAGTTTTGAGCTTCCTTTTTTAACAGTTGGGCAACATTGCTTAACTAGGTCCAGTTTTGCTCAGAGCAAAAGGATGGAGGCAGCTGCATAGGCCTGAGAAAACTGCAGTTGTGAGGCCTAGTCTTCATGGTTTCCCAAGCTCTTTGGGCTTCCAACTGCCTTAAAAGTAGCTCATACCTGGCCGTGTGCGGTGGCTCGTGCCTGTAATCCCAGCACTTTGGGAGGCCAAGGCGGGCAGATCACGAGGTCAGGAGATCGAGACCGTCCTGGCTAACACAGTGAAACCCTGACTCTACTAAAAATACAAAAAATTAGCTGGGTGTGTTGGCACGTGCCTGTAGTCCCAGCTACTTGGGAGGCTGAGGCAGGAGAATCCCTTGAACCCAGGAGAGGGAGGTTGCAGTGAGCCGAGATCACGCCACTGCACTCCAGCCTGGGCGACAGAGCAAGACTCCATCTCAAAAAAAAAAAAAAAAAAAAAAAGTAGCTCATGCTCATATCTCACCCCTTTGGAAGATATCCATTATTCTGTTCCTGATTTGGTAGAAAGAGAAAGGGTGGAAAGTCAAGCAGTTCTTACTATTTGAGAGTTACTACCCGTGTGCTCTTGAGCCTGTTGCTTAATCTCCCAAAAATCCCAGCATGTGTGTGTGTGGGGGGGGGTGTGGGTGTGTGAGAGACAGAGAGAGAGAGAGAGAGAGAGAAATTGGCATAATTATTCCTACCTCATCAGATTATTGTGCATATCAATGTGGTCCATGATACAAAGCACCTAGCAGTATCTGGCTCAAAAAAAGGATTTAGTGTCGCTTCCCTTCCCATCTTGAGCTCTGTTTGGCAGGTCGTTGGTTAATCAGCATAAATTGCAAAGTGCTAGGACTTAAAAGATCCTATCTCTGAATATATATCCATACTTGCTACTCCAGAGTACAGCATAACAATAAGAATGTAAATGATCATGAGCAACTTAGTTAATCACTCAAAAGCTTCAGTTTCTTCATTCTTAAAATGATGGTTTTATGTGAATGACCTCCGAAGGTCCCCCCACTGTTTGCTTCACTGGTTTTAAACTAGAGATAAACCAGCCCTCTGAAGTTTTTACAATGCAACAAGGGTTGCTGCAGCTGTTTCTTAGGTTATAATCATAGAAAATAGCCCAGTAATTCAGAAAGACAAGAAAGTATTTAAGAATAAATGGCAGGAGTCCTAACAATTACAATCAGGTAGAAAGATACAGAGAAGACAGATAATGTTAAATTACAACTGAAATGCAGGTGGCAATTACAGCAACAAAAGTAATACCAGCACAAGAGGCTAACAGCAGGTTCTGCGTTATACAACAAAATGTCCTTTCCAAGGGTTTTTTTTTTAATAATTGCACTTCTGCTAGATTTGTAATTACAAACATGAATAATCCTCAGCATATATCATTTCTAAAGATAGAGGCTGTAATTCTGTTCCTGATGAAGAGCTGAAGAATATCTCACACCGGTTGGTAAGTGACAGTCAGTAACTACCAGACAATTAGGATGATGCATCAGGAAAATTGGAGTCAAAATATCCCATGTACAGATGCTGAGTCCATCAACAAAGGAGGGATATCGTCATCACATCTAGCAGCAGAAGACACAGGAAAACCACATCACAACAAGGATAAAGGGCAATGGCGTTGCTGCAGAGGACAGAACGGTCATCACTTCGGTCCTACCTGAGTTAACTCTCAAAGACTATGGAAAATAACTTTATTCTTAAAAGGCAGCCAAGGAAAATATTTTAAGTAGGGGGATGTGATTAATGGAACATGTAGAGCCCTCAATATCAAATTACTGGTTTGCGTGTGAACCCTGTGTTTGGGTTGGACTTCTCCATGGTATGTAACATTCATGAGTTGTAAATAGCTGATAATCAAGTCAGGTAAATTTGAGAGTTAATGATTTAGGTTGCTTTCAGCTGGAGTCATCCTTGACTCCTTGCTTTTCTCCCACATTCCCCTATACTCAGGAAATCCTGTTGGCTCTGCCTTCAGAACATATCCAGAATCCAAACCACTGCTCACCACCTTCATCACTACAACCCTGGACCACTGCTGCAGCATCTCCAGCCTGGCATGGGACTGTGGCCTTCTAAGTCAGCTCCCTGCACCTTCCTTTACTGCTCCAAAATCCTTTCCCAACACAGTAGCTAGAGTGATCTTTTTCACTCTACTCAAAAGCCTTCTGTGGTTCCCCATTTGAATCAGAGTCAAAGCCAAACAAAATGCTTCTGCACTGGGCTAAAAGACCCACAGGGCTCCCTGTTAACCCCTGCCCTCCCTCACTTCACTCCCACCACTCCTTTCTCCTCTCACATTCCCAAGCAAGCTTCCAACTTAGGGAATTTGTGTTGGCAGTATCCTCTGCCTAGAAAACTCTTCTCCAAATATCCACAAATGCTCATTCACTCAAAAGTCTACTCAAAACACACTTTTTTTTTTTTTTTTTTTTTTTTTTTTGAGAAAAGATCTTGCTTTGTCACCCAGGCTGGAGTGCAGTGGCTCAATCATAGCTCACTGCCGTCTCGAACTCCTGGGCTCAAGTGGTCCTCCTGCCTCAGCCTCCTGAGTAGCTAGGACTACAGGTGTGTGCCACCATGCCTGTACTTTCTTTTTTGCTTTTTTCAGTAGAGATAAGGTATCGCTATGTTTCCCAGGCTGGTCTTGAACTCCTAGGCTCAAGCAATCCTCCTGCCTCAGCCTCCCAAAGTGCTGGGATTCCAAGTGTGAGCCAAATCACATTTTTCAATGAGGTGAAACCTGACCACCCTATTTAAAATTAGTCAGCTGCTCTCATCTTTCCCCCAATAGCTCCTGTCACTCTCTAGTTCTTTATCTTGTTCTTGTTGAGTTTCCTGATTTATTAGATTTATTATTTGCTTTTTAAACTCTTCCTACTGGAAGGCAGGAACCCTTTTTGTTCTTTTAATCCACATTGCTTAAAGCAGTGCCTGTACACAGCAGACAGTTGTAATTATTTGTTGAATGAATGAGGAAATATAACAAAAAACTCCAACTCAAACAGGATTAAACAAACAAAAGAATAATGCATATATTCCTGCATAACTGGAGAGGTGAGTGCAGGGATAGGGAAGGAGCTCCACCTCCCTGTGATTCTTCTAGGACAGTTACTTCATCAGATCTATAATAAGATGCCTGCAGAAGTTCTAGAATCAGTTTGGGATGGGGAAAGATGACTCTTTGAGACTTTCACTTAAGGATGAGGACGCTTTACCTAGAAGCCCCAAAAAACTTCTGCTAGCATCGAATCAACCCAAACTGAACCAGTCTTGGTTGCCAGGGGAATGACATGCAACAAGTTGCCTCACTGGGAATAGGGATGGAAAAACCACAATTGGCTTGACTACAAGATCGACCTCAACCACGTGGTCATTTCTCAAAAGGGGATGGAGAAGGTGGATGGAGAGGAGGCAAACCCAGTGTCCATGCCTCAACCTTAGCCAGACAGACAAAGAGAGGGACTAGGGGAAAAGATTTGTTCAAGAAGCTGTAAAACTGAAAATTCTGGAAGCATCTCCATTGATTTTGCCGATGGTGAAGTGCTGAATTCAGTAGCACATGAGCTTTATGATTTATTGGCCTTGCTTGAGAGTATTGGAAGTGTTGATGTGGATTGCACAAACGCCCAGCTTGAGTGTGGCAGTCTCACACCATCCCTGCTGATCCATATTCACGCAGTAAATATATTGAGGAATGAATGCAAAACAAATTTGTTATTGATTCTGGTTTCACTCAAAACCAAATATAACAAATGTTTCAGACTCAGGAGTTTGTAAATGGGGAAAAGGTAGCTGGAATATGAAATGCTGCTAGTTCTGTTACTTATTTCCTCTCTCTCTCTCCCTTTTTTTTTTTTTTTTTTTTTTTTTTTTTGTTTGTTTGTTGAGACAGGGTCTGGCTCTGCTGCCCAGGCTGGTGTGCATTGACACAATCTCAGCTCACTGCAAACTCCACCTTCCGGGCTCAGGCAATCCTTCTACCTCAGCCTCCCAAGTAGCTGGGGCAACAGGTGCACACCACTACGCCCGCCTAATTTTTGTATTTTTGTAGAGATGGGGTTTCACCATGTTGCCGAGGCTGGTCTCGAACTCCTGAGCTCAAGTGATCTGCCCATCTCGATCTCCCAAAGTACTGGGATTATAGGCAGAAGCCAACATGCTGGGCCCTTCTGTTACTTTTTATTTGTTTAATGCATGATACAGGGTTGGATGGGGACATATGGGACATGAAATCTGGAATCTGATATTTCTCATTCTGCTGTGTTTTGCCTTCTACATAAATATACAGAAAAGCTTATCACCCCTGTGGATCTCCAGTCACTGATCAATCCTCCTGCTATCTCTGTGCTGTTAAAAAAGCAGTGGGGGATAGGAGAGCCTTGTCTAATCAAATTAGAAAGATAAACAAAATTTCTGAAAGAAGAATGATTAAGAAGAAAAGGGTTTAGACATAATTTATATGCACAACTGCAAGGCAAACAGTAAGCAGATTATAACAGGATCCCATCTATTCATACTGTGAGCGGGACTTCATGGAGATAACTCATGAGCAGTTAGATTCCTACACATAAACTCCCACACAACTGATACTGTGGAGATGTTTCTCTTAAATCCGCATAGCAAGAGAAGTATTTGACTTTTTTATCTCCAAGAGTATTTCATTCCATGGTTTGAGTGTTTGCATCTTAGGATATTTTTCTTTTTTTCAGGGGCAGTGAGGGGACAGACAGTAGACAGTTGGGATAGGGACATGATATTTTGAATCCTGATAAATATAAATGACTATATTTCCTAGTTTGTATGCATATATAATAGTGTGTACATTTATTTTGGTAGGCAGAGCAATTGCCCCTGTGTTCTTCCATTTGCATTGCTCTAAAGGAATGCCTGAGGCTGAGTAACTTATTAAGAAAAGAGATTTATTTTGGCTTATGGTTCTAAAGCTATACAGGAAGCATGGCGCCAGCATCTGCTTCTGGTGAGGGCCTCAGGAAGCTTTCAATCATGGCAGAAGGTGAAAAGGAGCCAGCGTGTCATGTGGCAAGAGAGATGCTAGGCTTTTTTTTTTTTTTTTTTTGTGAGGTGGAGTTTCGCTCTTGTCACCCAGGCTGGAGTGCAATGGTGTGATCTCAGCTCACTGCAACCTCTGCCTCCCGGGTTCAAGCGATTCTCCTGCCTCAGCCTCCCCAGTAGCTGGGATTACAGGCACGTGCCCCCACACCCAGCTAGTTTTTGTATTTGTAGTAGAGATGGAGTTTCACCATGTTGGCCAGGCTGGTCTCAAATTCCTGACCTCAGTTGTTCCAACCGCCTCGGCCTCCCAGAGTGCTGGAATTACAGGCATGAGCCACCGTGCCCAGCCCAGGCTCTTTTAAACAACCCCCATTTGTGTGAACTAATAGACTGAGAACTCATTCATCACCAAGGGGATGGCGCTAAGCCATTCACGAGGGATCCACCCCAATAACCCAACACCTCCCAGGAGGTCCTACCTGCAACGCTGGAGATTACATTTCAACATGAGATTTGGAGTAGTCAAACATCCAAACTATATCAACTCCCAAAGATGTCTACATCCCACTCCCCAGAATTTGTGAATATATTAGGGTAGACGGCAAAGGTGGGTTAAAGTTGCAGATGGAATTAAGGTTGCCAAACGGTTGGCCTTAAAATAAGATTTTTTATTCTGGATTATTTTGCTGGGCTTAATCACACAAAGGTCTTTGAAAGTGGAAGGGGGAATGAAAAGAGGGAACCAGAGAGATGGTAGCATGGGAAGAACTCAGCCTGATGGTCTTGAAGATGGAGGAAGGTGGGCACAAGACAATGAAAGCAGCCCCCCTTCTACAGATGAAACATGCAAGGAAATGGACTCTCTCCTAGAGCCTCCAGAAGAGAATGTACCCTGCCAACACCTTAATCTTTGTCCAGTAAGATCTGGGCAAATATCTGATAAATAGAACTATAAGATAATAAATTTACAATGTTTTAAGCCATTAGGTTTGCAGCAATTTGTTATAAAGGCCATAGAAAGTTAATACAGTTATCATTTTAAAGCATCATACATTGCAAATACAAAGGTACTGAAATAGCCTTGAGTTTGGAACATCCTCAGATGCTTAAGGAAGTAGATTAAAGGCTGAACAAGATCCAGTCCAATCCACCTTATCAAACAGGAGCACATTTCAGGAATTGAGCTCTGCTATCTGTGTTTATGGACACTTCAAGAAATAGCAGTGTACTACCCAGTAATCACAAGCCCAAAGATGGTTGAACAGGGTGTACAATCGTAAGAAGATAAAGGAAACAGGAATTGTATTTGCCTTTCACACGTAGGCAGATTCTTATTTCTATCTCTTTTTGCCTGAGTATATGAAATCTTGTCTATTTTTTAAGACTGAAATTTTCTCATTTGAACTCCTCACTATTCTTGTATTTGGTGTTGTTTCCGACACTGAGCTTCGTATTTAAAGAGGACGATTCTGACAGGAGGCACTGTCTGTTGGGGTGTTTGAATTTTCTCATTTGAACTCTTCAATATTCTTTTTTGAGGTTTGGCGTTGTTTCTGACACCGACTTATATTTAAAGAGGACGATTCTCACAGGAGTCGCTATCAGTTGGGGTGTTTGATGCATAATCATTCCGTTATATATTGAACAAATATTTACTTCACCCTCACTGCGTGCAAAGCAATGTGTCAGGCAATGTAATTCAATAGTGAGCAAGCTACATTCAGCCCTTGCCCTCATAGAGCTTAAAGTCTAGTTGGGAACACAGACATATACAGGTAATGACAACACAGTGTGGGGAGTGCTAGAACAGAGAAGGACATTCTGCTGAGGGGAACCTAACCTAGACTTGGCAGGAGGTGGAGGATGAGTAGCTGAAGCGAGGGATTTCCGGAGAAAGCCATCCCCTTTGCACTGCCTTTGTCAAGTGGCTGACCTCTGCTTGCAGAGATAGGTCTTGTTCATGCTTATGTCTCTTTCTCCTGTTCAGCTTGAAGCCCTGGCTCAAAAAGTCAGCCTGTTCCTGACTACAGAATGATACTTTGGCCATTCACAAAAGTCATATAAGAGAGAATTCAAAATATCTTTCTTTTTTTCTTCCCCCTCCCCCCGCTCCCCCACCTCCCACCAAGACAGGGTCTCACTCTGTCACCCAGGCTGGAGTACAGTGGCGCGATCTCAGCTCACTGCAACCTCTGCCTCCTGGGTTCAAGTGATTCTCCTGTCTCAGCCTTCCGAGTAGCTGGGATTACAGGCACATACCACCATGCCCGGCTAATTTTTGTATTTTTGATAGAGGTGAGGTTTCACCATGTTGGCCAGGCTAGTCTCAAACTCTTGACCTTGCAATCTACCCGCCTCAGCCTCCCAAAGTTCTGGGATTACAGGCGTGAGCCACTGTGCCCGGCTCAAAATATATTTCAAAGTTATGGCTCAATATGTTTTTGAAACTACTCTACTGACAGTTTTGGCTGTTTACGTTTAAACTTACTGTGCCACAGCTGGCCAAAGAAATTTTTGCTACCCTTTCTCTATATATATTCTGCCCATCACATTTTGCCATTTCCTAATAAAAGAAAAATAATATTTATTTTCCTACTTATACAATAATACAAGTTAATTTTAGAAATTTGAGGAATTAAAGAAAAGGATACATCTTTAAATGTTTATGTCACCATAGTCCCGCTACCACGAGGGGCAGATTTGCCCTGAGATTTTTTTTGTTTTAAGGACATACAGTCAATCTTCATTAGTCACAGATTTTGTATTTGCAAATTCCCCTACTTGCTAAAATTGAATTGTAACCGCAAATCAATACTCACAGTGCATTTCAGTTATTTGTGGGCATGCACATGCTCAGAGCAGCAAAAAGGTTGAGTTGGCTGATGCATACATGCCCAGGCGAAGTCAAACAAGGTGATGCCTCTCCTTCTTGTTTCAGCTCTCATACTGTAAACAAGTATCTTTTCTAAGATCTACTTAGTGCTATATTTTTCATATTTATATGCTTTTTGTTAGTGGTCTTGTGGTTTAAAATCGCCTGCAGCATGGAGCTGAAGCACTGTCTGGTGTCCAAAGCATAGCAAGACTGTGATGTGTCTTGAGAAAATACGTGTGTTATTAGATAAGCTTCTTTCAGGCATAAGTGACAGTGCTGTTGGTCATGATTTCAATGTTAAGTAATCAATAATATATATTAAAAGAAGGTGTCTTTAAACAGAAACACATATAAAACAAGGTTATAAATTGATCAGTTGACAAAAATATTGTGACCAGAGGCTTGCAGGAGCCTAACTCTGTATTTCCCCTAGGTGCAATCATTCAGTATTTGCAATTCAGTGTTTGTAGTGACCTTATAGAATATAACTACCATGAATAGTAAGAATTCTCTGTATTTTCTTTATGTCAAAAAAAGAAAAAGGAATCATACCATATGTCAATTTTTGTGTCCCTACTTTTTTCTCTTAACCTTACATTCTGAGAATTTTTCAATGTTAGTAAATATTTTTTGAGATATGCCTTTCAATGACATATTCAAACAAATGGATCTCCATGATTTGTTTCCCTCTTGCTAGACTCTAGGTTATTTCCAAAGAACATTCTTATACATATGTTCTTGTGTATCTCATTGATTCATTTGTTGCCTCACTCACTCATTCAACAAATATTTATTTAGCACTTTGTCTCAGGCCTCCTGCATAAGAATACAAAAATAAATAGTACAGACACCAATCTCTGCTCTCATGAAGCTTATCATCCACTGACACAGATAATAAATATTTACACAAGTAATTCATGGTAATAATAATAAGTGCTGGTAGAGACAAGCACAGGAAGCTACAAAAAGCCCGTGGAAGGCCTGACCTTGATCAGGGAAGGGTTCTGAAGTAACAGTTTCAGCTGAGCCCTGAAAGAATTCAGGACTGAAATGCACTAGATGCCTAGGTTAGAGATAGAAGAAAGGAGTTTTCTTCTCTCTTCCTCTCTCCCTCTGCACCCCCCTCCTCACAGCACAGGCCAAATAGTGCATCAGTAGGCTGTGCCTTTCGTGTGCCTGTGACCCAAGGTCAGGCTCCCATCTGGCTGCCTGCACACAAGCCACTACTGCCCTTTGCTCCCCTCTTGCCCCCGCCACATAGAGAGCAAAGACATGGAGGAGAAAGAGGTGGTTAGGAGAGGCTCAGGGACACCTGCCTGGAGTGGGTCCTGCCAGTGGACCCCATGGGACCCAACTGACAGAAGAGAGGAGTGAGATGTAACTGCAGGCCCGTTCACAGTGGGGCCTGAACTCAGCTGCAGTGTTTGCTTTATCACTGGCTGTGGCCACCACAAATACCTGTCAAAACTCCCTCCCTGTGCCCTTTTCCCCAGTAGAACAGCTCTCTTCTCACTCTCAAAATCATCTCTCACCCTTGTTTGAAAGACCAAATTCAGAGGACAAATGGGTATTTAGGGGCATCAGTGTGCCATGTGAGAAAAAGTCAGTAGTACTGAAGTCAAGAACCAATTAAAACATTTGTTGGCCTCTTTCCACATCTTAGGGGCAGCGTTCCTTTTACAGGTCCAGGTGTCCACTTTGCCTGGGAATCTTTGAAGCCATTTTCTTTAAAAGTGTTCCTCCAAGAAATATGTACACAGCAAGAACTTGTGACAATTTGAACACCAGGGAATTAGAATGTGCAAAGCTTAAATTATTGGGGGGAATATCAACCTGAAGTCTATCAACCAGAATTTAAAAGAAGTGCAGTTTGTACTTTCTAAAACATTAGCACTAAATCTAACTGCTAACTAGCCATTGCCACTAGAGGTCCTGCCTGCCCGACTTCAAGGAAAAAAGAAGCCTCAACTAGTCCCTGAGTGGTGTGATTTGTAACACATGGCACTTAAGTGCTTGGAAATATTTATTCTCTTAAAAAAATTAACCGCAATGGCCAATGGCACATTATGCATCTGCTTAGCAAATTCTTTCTTAGCACAAAAGGAACTTCAGCCAATTTATAGGCTAAACTTTTATCAATTCCAGAGCAGCAATGCCCAAATTAGTATGCAGTGCAAATAGGTAATTTCTATCAAGAAGGCTTTGATATCCATGATGCAAATTAACAATGCTTATGTACCAGCTATATTCACTCTGATTCTCTAGAAAATCCAATGTTGACAACATACGCACTAATCCTAATAAGGTTTCTCAAAAACATCTTCATAGAAACTTGTAATTCCATACACTTTAGGATAACATTAGCTGATGCTCACTCACAGTTTTCACCCTGAGATGCAGTTCGAGTCTAATTTGGCACCTTACTCAGCTATCTGTAACAGTCTCAAGGTGAAAAAGAGAGGGAGGAAAAAAGGTGTTAGTTGCAAAATCAGGATCTGACTTAATAAACTTTTGCCTTTTTGTTATCCTGTATGTTATCTTGTTAAAACTCAACATGACTTATTATCATTAATCTCCACTGCCTTCTCACCAAGGCCTTTTCCATTTCATTGCAAATGGTAAGCACATTTTCACGTTGCCCAACCCCCATAGTTGATGGGTGACTTCCCAATTTCATCCTCTGCTCAGCCTTTGTCAATGTCTTCAGCCATTCCTTCCAAGAAACTGTTCTGGTTTCTGCAATGTGATCTATTCTTAGCCCATGCTGGCGAGTCTTAAGCTCTCAAGTTTTCATCGAAGTGACTTAGTAGTCTGGTCTCAATAAATAACTGCAATTTGTGTGTGTGTGTCTTCCCCCAAGGACACATCTTAACCTTACAAAGACAGAAGCTTTCACAACTGCAGTTGCATTTTCAGGAAGAGCACTCTGCCTTAGGTTTTCCCAAGCACCTTTCTTTTCCTATCCATGACATTTGAAACAATGGTTCTCAGCCCTGCCTGCACATGAAAATCATCTGGGGAGCTTTTAAAAACCACAGATGCCTGACCCATATCCCATACCAATTGAATCAAAACCCCTATGAGCAGAGCCTGGGCACTGATATTTTTGAAAGCTCCCGGGGTTGAAAACCAGTGTCTACAGGTGTCAATTAGGATTGTTTTGCTCACGTCACTTGATTAAGATTTTTAATAAAGATATTCCACTGAAACCTATGAGAATTTAACGTAGGTTAATAATAATAACTATTAACATTTGCCTGGAGATTTTAACATGCTATAGTACTCTCAGAGCTTATTTGCTATTTGCATAGCTAATCAATATTTATGAAATACATACCAGGGACCATTTTAGGTTCTAAAACAAAAAAGATTTAAGAAGCCATGGCAGTTGCCCTTAATATGGTTTGGCTCTGTGTCCCCACCCAAATATCATCTCGAATTGTAATCCCCACATGTCAAGGGAAGAACCTGGTAAGAGGTGATTGGATCATGGGGGCAGTTTCCCCCATGCTGCTCTAGTGATCGTGAGGGAGTTCTCACAAGATCTGATGGTTTAAAATTGCCAGTTTCCCCTGCACTCTCTCTCTCTCTCTCTCCTGCTGCCATGTAAGATGTGCCTTGCTTCTGCTTCACCTTCCACTGTGATTGTACATTTCCTGAGGCCTCCCCAGCCATTTGGAACTTTGAGTCAATTAAACCTCTTTTCTTCATAAATTGCCCAGTTTCAGATAGTATCTTTATAGCAGTGTAGAGTAATACAGAGATCTACAGACTAGTAAATGAAATCAAACAAGCACACTTCCACACAGCTTATAGGTGGCATGTGTACAGTACAGTGGAAGCCCAAGGAAGGAGTGATCTGGCATACCTGAGAGGTTCAGGAAAGGGCTTATTCAGGAGATAACTCCTTTGCTGAGTCTTGAGAAATTAGTCTTTCAAGTGGAAGGTGGGAGGCTGAGAGAGGTTTCAGGAGTCTCTGGCAAAAAGAGTAGTATAAGCAAAGACAGTGAAGCTACAAAACATACTAGTATGTTCAGTTCATTAAGTAGAAGGAGAAGCAATGGGGGAGGAAATGAAGCTGGAGGGTCCCCAGAGGACATAAATGCCATACTAAAGAATTTGGACTTTATCCTGGAGGCCACCAGGCCCTCGACATTTTTATCACCTACCCCTATTAATTAAAAAAAAAGCACATATCTCCAATATATGTTTGTGTGTTTATGGTTTTCATAAATGTAATGCTATGTCCATACATTATAAAACATATGCTAAAAACGTAAATTTTAAAAGAACAAATTTTAAAGCACCTATAAGTGTTCCTTGATGTCATCCTCCTCTACCCGAATGAACCATCCTGCTCATCCCTGGAGTATGCATTCTCCACTTTGAGACAACTACAGATAGGGAGAGTTGGAAAAGTGAGTTAATCTACTCTTCACAGAACTCCCATGAGGTAGATAGAGCAAATAGTAAGAAAACTAAGACCTAAAGATACAGAGTAACTCACTGGGTCACACAGGGACTTAAAGCAGGGGAAGGACTAAGATCACTACTAAGGCCACGGCCAGCATTCCACCTACCATCCCACATCATCTCCACTGAGTTATACTCCTTATCACAATTCCCTGTGAAGTCAGAAGTACTTAGACAAGATAAAATTTTGTGTTCAATTATGTAATCCTTACCTGAACATGAGAGAAATTCTGAGAAAATGACTATAAAACATTACTGGGATTAAATTGACTTAAGACCACTGTATTGAGATCTAGTAGGGGAGATATTTATTTGAAACAAGTGAAGAATAGAATAGCCTTAGTTAACAGAGAGCTATTATGTACACACAAGAATTAATTGTTCTTTTTTTTTTTAACAGAGTCTCACTCTGTCACCAGGCTGGAGTGCAGTGGTGCGATCTCGGCTCACTGCAACCTCCACCTCCTGGGTTCAAGTGATTCTCCTGCCTCAGCCTCCTGAGTAGCTGGGATTACAGGCAACTGCCACCACGCCCGGCTAATTTTTGTATTTTTAGTAGAGACGAGGTTTCAACATGTTGGCCAGGATGGTCTCAACCTCTTGACCTCATGATCCGCCCACCTCAGCCTCCCAAAGTGCTGGGATTACAGGCATGAGCCACCATGCCCAGCCAAATTGTTCATTTTTAAAGAAGGTGGTATGGCAGTATGGAGACAGCATTGGCTTTGGAGTCAGGGGACCTGGGTTTGAATTCTAACATTGCCACAGAATATGCTTTCCATGAACTTTAGCAATTTACTGAAGCATACTCATCAGTGAAGTGGGGTTAGATAATTTTTACTCCCTAAGACTGGTATGAGTACTAAATAAACTCTCAATAGATGTTCTTTACTCTCCCTTTCCTAAACAATAAAATACCATAAATTGTGCTAACCACTAAAATCGAACTGAACATTGCATATAATTTCATCATTCTTGCATCATGCAGAAGGCATTTTAGGAAATTTTATTAAATTATTATTATAAACGAAAGAAATTCTTGCTTCTTGCTGGAAAAGGTGTTGACTAAACTAACTTTTTTATACACAATAATAGCTACCATTTATTTAAGGCCACCTAAGTGCCTGGGGTTTTGTTTGTTAGTATACATATATTTCACTAAATTTTCACAACTCGATTTGTAGCAAGTATTACTATGCTAATTCTGTAAATGAAGTTAATTGGTAGAGACCCACAAATAGAATCCAGTACTTTTTGTCCAAAGTCTCCTCTCTTAATTATTACATTAGGTTAAAGGGTATGAATCTAAAACTTCATTCACAAACTTTCACAGAACACTAGCTTCTTGAGATATAAATATTCATTCAAGAGGCAAGACTGTCTATCATAAAAACCTCCTAACAAAGAAAATCCCAGGACCAAATTACTTCACTGGTGAGTTCTACCAAACATTTAAAGAAGAATTAATGTCGATCTTTCTCAAACTCTTCCAAAAACTTGAAGAGGGAAGAATACTTCCAAATTTATTTTATGAGACCAGCATTATGCTGATACCAAAGCCAGATAAAGACAGTACAAAAGAAGAGAAAACTGCAGCCAATATCCCTGATATGCATAGATGCAGAAATCTTCAACAAAATACTAGAAAGCTGAATCTAAAAGCACATTAAAAGGATCATACACCATAACCAAGTGGGATTTATCTGTAGAATTCAAGGATGGCTCAACATATGAAAACCAATTAGCACCACATTAACAGAATAAAAGATAAAAATCATATGATCATCTCAATAGATGCTGAAAAATCAATTGACAAAATTCAACATCCTTTGATGATAAAAACTCTCAACAAACTAGAAACAGAAAGAAATTACTTCAACATATTATAATTAAGGTGATATGTGGTTAGCCCACAGCCAACCTCATACTCAATGATGAAAAACTGAAAGCTTTTTCTCTAAGATTAGAGTCAAGGCAAGAATGCCTACTCTTGCCACTTCTATTCAACATAATACTGGGAGTCCTAGCCAGAGCAGTCAGGCAAGGAAAAAAGGTGCCCAAATTGAAAGGGAAGAAGTGAAATTGTCCACATTGTTTGCAGATGACATGATCTTATATATTTGAAAATTCTAAAGACTCCATTTAAAAAAAAAACTGTTAGAACTAAAAAATGAATTCAGTAAAGTTGGTATATATTGATATATACCAAATCAATATATAAAAATTACTTGCATTTCTATACACTAACAATGAACTATCTGAAAAAAGAAATTAGGAAAAAAATTCTATTTACAATAGCACCAAAAAAATAAAATATCTAGAAATAAACTCAACTAAGAAGTTGAAAGCAGACTGAAAACTACAAAATATAGTAAAAAGAAATAAAACAAGAAACAAACAAATGAAAAGATATCAAATGTTCATGGATTGGAAGATCTAATATTATTGAAATGTTCATACTTCTCAAAGCAATCTACAGATTAAATGCAATTCCTATCAAAGTTCCAATGGCATTTTTTTACATAAATAGACAAAATGCTAAAATTCTTAGCCAAGTCAATCTTGAGAAAGAAGAAAAAAGCTGGAGGCCTCACACGTCCTATTTCAATATATATCACAAAGCCACAGTAATCAAAATAGTATGATACTGGCATAAAAACAGACATATAGGCTAATGGAGTAGAATAAAGAGCCCAGAAATAAATCCATGCATACATGGTCAACTGGTCATCACAAACGGTGCCAAGAATACACAATGGGAAAGGATAGTCTCTTCAACTAATGATATTGAGAAGACTGGACGTGACATACAAAGCAATGAAACTGGACCTTATGGCATACACAAAATATCAATTCAATATTATTATTTTACATTTAAAGATCTGAAACTGTAAACCTGCTAGAAGAAAACATACATGAAAAACCACTTGACAGTCGTCTTGGCCATGATTTCATGGGTATGACACAAAAGGCACAGGGAACAAAAACAAAAATAAGTAGGACTACATCAAAATAAAAAGTTCATGCACAACAAAAGAAACAGTCAACTGAGTGAAAAGGCAACTTACTGAATGGGACAAAATATTTGCAAACCATATATCAGATACGAGGTTATTCTCCAACCTATACAAGGAATTCCTACTACTCAATAGTAAAAAAGAAAAAAAAACCTAGTAACATGATTTTTTTTAATGGGCTAAGGACTTGAATAGACATTTCTCCAAAGAGGACATGCAAATGACAACAGGTATATGAGAAAATACTTAACATCACTAATCATCAGGGAAATGCAAGTCAAAAGCACTATGAGAGCTCACCTCACACCTGTCTGGATGAGTATTATTTTTTTAAAAAGACACCAAATGTCAAGAATGTGGAGAAATTGAGACCGCTCCACACTGTTGGTGGGAACGTAAAATGGTATAGCTGCTATGAAAAGCAGTATAGATGTTTCTTAAAAAAAACAAACATATGTCTACCACATGATCCAGCAATCTACTTCTGGGTATGTATCCCCCACCAAAATTGAAATCAGGATCTAAAGAGGTATTAGCACTCTTATATTCACAGCAGCACTATTCACTACAGCCAAGACATAGAAACAACCTAAATATCCATCAACAAATGGATAAAGAAAATGTGGTGTATGCATACACAGTTGCATACAATGGAATACTATTCAGTCTTTAAAAAGAAGGAAACTCTGCAATATGTGACAACACAGATGAACCTTGAGGACATTATGCTAAGTGAAGTAAGTTAGTCGCAGAAATTCAAATACTACATAATGCTACTTGTGTAAGGCATCTGAAATTGTCAAACTCATAGAATCAAAGAGTGCAATTGTGGTTTCCAGGGCTAGGGAGAGTTACTAATTGGGGAGTTACTAAATGGGGAGTTACTAATCAACAGCCATAAAGTTTCAGTCAACCAAGATAAATATGCTCTAGAGGTCTACTGTGCCACATTGTCCTTACAGTCAACAATAATGTACACTTAAAAATGGTTTACAGAGGTAGATCGCATGTTAAGTGCTATTAACACAATAGAATGGAATTTTTAAAAAGTCAAATAGTTCAGGTGTTTATACAAATAATTTTTAAATAAAAACTAACTTTAAGGAGATTGGCAGTAAATAAAATAATCACACACACACAGAAAGTCAGCCTACCAGAGCTGCATTAAGAGGTTCAAAAAAGCACATTGGTATTAAAGATTCTGTGAAACCCTGAAGGAGAAAAAAATCAATTTATTCTTATTTAATGCAAGTTTCAAATTTATTTGACCATGTAGACCTTTCTGGTTCCAGGAATATATATTAACATCACACAGGAACAAGTATGTAATAACAATTAGTTTAGCAATGAAGAAACCATGAGACTGCTTCCATTTGATGTTATTTGGTATTATCAAAAACCCAAAGACAGATGAAATACTATTTTTCTAACCCTTTGTAAGATTTAGTAGGTACAGAACAGGGAGGATTATATTGTTCTTGTCTACAGCAGCAATTCCACACAGATAAGCTTTTGGTCTTCGCCGCTTGCCACTCCTCAGATTTGTTCCCTTCCACAAACACAAAACTTGTTTTGCAAAGACAAAACCAAAGGTATTATTAAGTATTCTGAGCATCCTGGAATTAAATGATGTCATTTAGTGGGAGCTTTTCAGAACACAAGGAATGACTGTACTGCATTTCAAACAACTCATGAAGGAAAACATCTCTTCTTATACAAGTGACTATGACTAAAGAAAGCTTGTTCCTCATGAAGAATTCTCAGAGGTGGAGCTGCAGGGCTGATTGGAAAGTGCTGCCTACCAGAGCAGGGAAATTGCAAAGAGCTACACACAGAACCAGAAGGAGCTTGTTGTGTTAGTTTGTGTTTCCCCCTGGTCTCTTCCCTGGTCTGGAGAACCACATCATAATGGGGAGAATGCAGAGAGAGGCCAGAGGCAGGTGTCGCCTTTGAAAGCTGAGAAGACCGAGGTTGGTAGGTTTCTTCCACCATGGGACTGAGCTCTGTCAGGCAACCCCTGAGCAACACAATATAGATTTAGAGCTTGTTAAGATCAAATGCACAGGTGTGTTCCTTCCCAGTAATCCAGAGAAGGCTCTGAGTAAGTATAATCAGGGACACCAATCTCTTTCAGGAAAAAGTGCCTCCTTAGGCTTTCCATTAAAAAATAGAGTTTTGGTTCAGAATGTTGACAAACCAATCAGATAACAGGGAGGATAAGCTCGAGGGGGTAAACACAGGGATGAAGGGCAGTATTAACTAAAAAAGCAGTATTACCTGAGACAGCAGTATTAACAAGTTTCCTTCCTGTCACACACAAAAGTGTCTAGGAAATATTTGACAACATAAGTTTGAGTCCTCTTTTTTCTCTAGTACAAAACGAAACAAAACATGGTTGTAACAGGACATCAATATAAAAAGAGTAATACAGAGTGTTCTGTCTCTGGTTTAAATAGTTAGCCTACCTTTGAAGTGTACAGAAACACTATTGGATGGAGATAGAATCCCCAATTATAATCCTAATAGAAAACAGGAGAAAGGAGTGTCTATTCAGTTGCCTTATTGTATTTACCTAGAACTTCAAATTTGGTTATTTCCCCCCTTTCTTATTCTCATCTTAAGAAGTCATTTTCTTTTCATACTAAATACATTTTCAGGTCATAAAAAACAATTTTTCCCCTCTGGCCAGTGATCAGAAGGCCTCAAGTTTCTCTAATTTGAAGTTCTACTTCAGTTATGTTTGAAATAGCCTGAGTTTGAAAGATATGGTGGATTGGGCTCTGTATTTAAAGTGTAGCAGGGGATATTAAACTTTACAGAACATTCGTCAACAACTCAAGTCACCAGTGTCCATGATGGACAGAATCAGGTTGATTTCACTTTCCAGGACAGGAGAGTAGCCTAACAACTCTGATTATCCTCAGGCTATTGCTCCTCGTGCCTTAAAAGCCATTCCTGAAATGTCATTTTCTGTCACCATCATTTTCTGCCAGAGCTGCCAGCAGCATGGTAACTTATGAATTGTCCCAATAGGGGAGAAAAAAAAAAGGGAGGTGAAAACCATGAGTGGCCAGATTTACACCACATTATTTTTTATTGAGATATAATTCACACACCATTAAATTTGCTCCTTTAATATGTACAATTCAGTGGTTTTCGTGTACTCACAGAGTTGTGTGACCATCACAACTGTCTTAACTTTAGAACATTCTCACCATCCCCAAAAGACACCCCATAACCATGAGCAGTCACTACCCCGCCCCCACTTTCCCCAGCCCCTACACTGGACATTTCATATAAACAGAATCGTACAATATGTGGTCTTTTTTTCATTAGTTTTTTTCAATTAGAGTGTTTTCAAGGTTCACCAGATTATAGTATGTATAAGTACTTCATTTTATTGACAAATTTTTATCCCATCATATAGATACACCACAGTTATGTATCCATTCATCATTTCATGGACATTTGAATTGTTTAGACTTTGGGGCTATTTTTAATAATGCTGCTAGAAACATTTATGTACAAATTTTGTATCCACATATGTTTTCAATTCTCTTGGGTGTATACCTAGGAGTGGAATTGCTGGATCATATGGTAACTCTAAATTTAACTTTCTGAGGAACTGCTGAACTGTTTTCCAAAGTGGCTTCACCATTTTATAATCCCACCAGTAACATATGAGAGTTACAATTTCTCCACACCTTTGTCAGCATTTGTTATGGTCTTTTTTATTTTAGCCATCTTAGTAGGAATGAAGTGGTATTTCATTGTGGTTTTTATTTGCATTTCCCTGATGACTAGTGAGGCTGTGTAACTTTTCATGTGTTTATTGGTTATTTGCATATATTTTTTGGAGAAATGTCTATTCAAATCTTTTGCCCATTTTAAAATTGGGTCACTTATCTTTTATTGTTGAGCTATAACAATTAATTATATACCTGGAATAGAAAACCCTTATCAGATATTTGATTTACAAATATTTTCTCCATTTTTGTGGATTGTATTTTTACTTTCTTCATAATATCATTTGAATCACAAAAAGTTTTTAATTTTGATGATGTCCATTATATATTTTTTCTTGTGTCACTTGTGCTTTCAGTGTCATTGCTAAGAAGTCATGCCTGATCCAAGATTCTGAAGATTTTCTTCTATGTTTTCTTCTGAGTTTTATAGTGTTAGCATTTTCATTTAGGCCTATGATTCATTTTGAGTTAATTTTTGTGAATCATGTGAGCTGGTACAACTTCATTCCTTTGAATGTGGATATTCAGTTGTCCAGAACTTTTGTTGAAGAGCCTGTTTCCCCTCCATTGGATTACCTTGGCACTCTTACTGAAAATCAGTTAACCCTGTAAAAGCCTGCTACTGAACTACTGAAAATATAAATTATTTTCATTGATTTATATGTCTCTCCTTATACCAATACTGTTCTTATGCTTTATACTGTCTTGATAACTGTAGCTTTGTATCAGGTTTTGAAATCAGGAAGTATGAGTTCTTCATCTTTGTTCTTCTTACTCAAGATTTTTGTGGCTATCTTGGGTCCTTTGCATTTCCATGTGAATTTTAGGATCAGCTCATTAATTTCTACAAATAAGGCAGCTGAGATACTAATAGGTATTGGATTGAATCTGTAGATCAATTTGGGGGAGTATTACCATCTTCACGTATTCAGTCTTCTGATACATGAACATGAGTTTTCTTTCCATTTATTTAGTTTTTCTTTAACTTCTTGCAATGATATTTTAGTTTTCAGTGTGAAAGTATTGCATTTCTTTTTTAAATCTATTACTAGGCATTTTCTTTTTGATACTATTCTATAAGGAATTTTTGTCTTAATTTCACTTCCAAATTGTTCATTGTCAATACACAGAAATACAACTAATGCTTGTGTATTGATCTTGTATCAGGAAACCTCGCTGAACTTGTGTGTGTGTGTGTGTGTGTGTGTGTGTGTATTAGGGTTTTCTATATAACGATCACGTAATCTGCAAATAGAGATAGTTTCACTTCTTCCTTTTCAAGCTAGATGCATTGATTTCTTTTTCTTGCCTAATTAGCCTGGCTAGCACCCCCAATACTATATTGAATAGAAGTGACCAGAGTAGCTAGCTTTGTCTTGGGAAAGGGAAAAACATCTGGTCTTTCGCCATTAAGTATTATTTTAGCCGTATGGGTTCTATATATGGCTGGGCTTTATCAGATTGAGGAAGTTCTGTGTTTTTTTCCTGGTTTGTTGAATGATTTTTATCATAAAAGAGTATTGGGCTGTGTTAAAGGAGATTCCTGCATCTATTGTGCTCATAACGTAATTTTTGTCATTTTATATATTAATTTAAAGTATTGCATTGATTTATGATTTATGTTTGTATGTTAAATACATCTTGCATTCCCAGGATGCATCCCACTTGATCATGGTTATAATTCTTTTAATATGTTTCTGGATTCAGATTGCTGATATTTTCTAGAGAATTGTTGCATCAATATGCATAAGATATATTGATCTTTAATTTTATTTTCTTGTGATGTCATTGTCTCATTATGGTGTCAGTGTATACTGGCCTCATAGAATCAGTTCAGAAGTATTCCTTCCCTTTCTATTTTTTGGTAGAACTTATGAAATTGGTGTTAATTCTTTAAGTATTTGGTAGAATTCATTAATAAGGCCATTTTGGCCTAGACTTCTCTTTGTGGGAAGTTTTTTTTTTTTAATTACGAATCCAATCTCTATCCTTGTTATATTAAGATTTTTGAATTTTTCTTGAGTTGGTTTCAACAGTTTGTGGTTTTTTAGGTATTTGTTCAGTTCACCAAGATTATTTAATTTGTTGGCATACAGTTGTTCATGGCATTCCCTTATAATCTTTTGTTTTATTTCTGCACAGCCAATATCCCCTCTTACAGTCCTAATTTTAATAATTTGAAATTCGAGTCTTTTTTTTTTCTTGGTCAGTCTAGGTAAAGATTTGTTAATTTAACTTTCTTGATCTTTTCAAAGAATACACTTTTGGTTTTGTTGATTTCCTCTATTGTTTTACTGTTCTCTAAATTATTTATTTCTACTCTTATTTTTATTATTTCCTTTCTTCTTCTTGCTTTAGGTTTAATTTGCTCTTCTTTTTCCAGTGCCTTGAGGTGTGTTTTAGTTATTGACTTGAGGTTTTCTTCTTTTTAACATATAAATTTTCTAGTATACTATTTTAATTTTCTTGTTTCTCTTACTATATCTTTATTTTCTTAGTGGTTGCCTTAGAGATTACAATTAACATCTTAACTTAAAATAATCTAGTTTGGATTAATACCAATTTACCGTCAATTATATGTAAAACTGCTTCAATATAGCTTCATTCCCTTTCTCCTCCTTTGTGTTATTATTGTCATAGAAATTATATCTTTATGACATTTTGGGCTGGATGATAAAAGAAAAAAATTTCAATTAAAAAAGTATATATTTATAAATTATAAGCCTATCAAACAGCTTGTCATCATTGCTTTGCATTCGTCTTTTAAATTAGAAAGAGTTACAAGCAAAAATGTGTTTATATTGTCTTTTATATTTACAAATGCAGTTACTTGTACTGGTACTCTTTATTTTTTCATGTGGATTTGAGTTACTGTCCAGCATCCTTTCATTTCCCCCGGAAGGTTTCCCCTTACTATCTGCTGTGGAGCAAGATCTGCTAGTGATAAGATTCCCTCAGTTTATCTGAGGATGTCTTAATTTCTCCTTTGTTTTTAACTGGTGGTTTTGCTGGATGTAAAATTCTTGGCACTTTGAATAGGTCATTCCTTTTTCTTCTGGATTTCATGGTTTTTGTTGAGAAGCTGGCTGTTAATGTTATTTAGGATCCCTTGAACTCAATGAGTCACTTTTCTCTTGGCATTCTCAAGATTCTCTTTTTGTCTTTAGCTGTAGAAAGTTTGGCTGTAATGTAGTAAAGTAAGGATCTCTTTGAGTTTGCCCTACTTGGAGTTCACTGGGCTTCTTGCATGTGTGGATTAATAGTTTTCATCAAGTTTGGAGAGTTCCCAGCTGTTATTTCTTCAAATATTCTTCATCCCCTTTTTTTCTCTTATCTGTCTGGGACTCTCACTATGCATGTGTTGTTACATTTGATGGCACTGCACAGGTCTTTGATACTGTTTTTCTTCATTCTTTTTTCCTCTGTTCTTCTATTTATTCATCTCAATTGGCCTTTATTCAAGTTTGCTTATTCTTTCTTCTGTTGAGCCCCACTATATTTTTATCACAGCTATTACACTGCTCAGCTCCACAATTCCGATTTTGTACGTTTAAATCATTTATATCCTTTGTTAACATTCTCTATTTGCCAAAACGTTATTTTCATACTTTCCCTTAATTCTTTAGACATGTCTCCTATAGTAACTTGAACATATTTATGATAGATGGTTTAAAGTCTTCGTCTAGGAAGTCCAACATCCATGGACAGTTTCTATTGACTTCCTTTTTTCCTGTGTATGGGCCATACTTTGCTTTTTATTTACATGTCTCCTAACTTCTTGTTGAATGCTATACATTTTAAGGAATATAGTGTGGCAATTCTGGAATTCATATTCCTCCCTCCTCTCTAAGGTCTGTTGTTGATGCCCTTTATTATTGCAGCTGCTGTTTGTTTAGTGACTTTCCTGGACTAATTCTGTAAATTCTGTGTTATCTCTCACTGCATCCACAGAAGTCTGTGCTCAGTTAGCTTACCAATTACCTAATGATTGAACAGATTTCCTTAAATGCCTTGAGCCAGTAAGTCTCCCAGCCACTGCCAAAGGACTATGTGTGTGTATTAAGGTGTGTCTTCAATGCTCTACCAGGCAGTTTACAACTCTGCCTTAGCCTTCACATCCAGCTTGCACAGAACCTCAAAGTCAACTAGAGATGAGAGAATAGGGGCTTCTCAGGTCTTTTCTGGGAACGTGCACAGCCCTGTATATGTGCATGGCCTTCTAGATTACCAGAAATCTATCAGAGCTTTTCAAACCCCCCTAAACACATCTCATTATCCAGTCTTTCCTGTGAAATTTTTGGTCATTCTTTTTTTAGTTTCAATTAGTGTCACTATTCTGAAAGCTTTTTTGCTGATTATTTCAAAAAATTAGCTGGGGTCAGGGCTATTCCCACCAAATGAGCTTTAAGTCAAGGCAAATAAAGACAAACTATAAGAATGGAGCTTTCTTAAGGAACTTTCAGACAGGTTAAATAGTGACCATTCTCTGGGAATGGGAATTTTGGGGGAGCTTCATACCTGACCTGTCCCCTCCAGTGGCTGCTAGGCTGCTAGTTTTCATAGCTATCATGGCTGCAAAGCTGTTGATTTTCAAGGATACTGTGAAGCTGTGGAGAGGCAGATGGTTATAAGTGCAAGTTAAAATGCCACAAAGCTCACTGTTTTTACTGGGATTCAGCCATTTTTTAAAAAAGTAAATGCTTTTTGTATTATTGCAAACTTTGGGTTAATTTCCAAATTCTTAAGAAGTTGATTTTGACAAATTTTGCCAGTGAAAACAGTCAGAACTAGCTACAAAATTTTGAGATTCATAAACCTAGAGATGGGATTTGATGAGTCACCTAGGGAATCAGTGTAGTGAGCAGATTTGTCATTTATGAATAAAATATCAAGATTAAGTTACATTTTAAGCATCATTTTTGTGTAGCCGGAGTATAGATTTTTCATTCTTCCTTCATATACCCCAGTCTCATCATCAGCATTTCCTGCTGCTTCATTTTAAACCAATTAGCTTCATATTGTTACTATTAACAGTAATTCCATTCACTGCCTCCTCAAGGTAAGCAATGAACACAGAACTCTTTAAGAAATGTCCTCTTCCTGTTCTTATGCAGAAAGCTTATCAGCTGTGGAGTTCTACATTATGCCATTCTGCTGTAGCTCATTATTCTCAACAAAGAAAATATCAGTTGCACATAATAGAACCATATTTTGTGTGTTATAGGTCACTTTGGTTTGGAAAATTGTTAAGCAATCTTTTTTTGTCTCCTTATCCCGTCTGGACTTTGAATATTAAATTTTTTGGAGAAGGCTCAGCATTTGCATTAGCAAATAATGTACTTTGCCTTCTACTCATTGAGCTATGGAAATTAGTCTGCACTATTATTTGATAATCTATTTCAAAATAATGTCTTAGTTTGGAGTGGAGTAGAAGGAATAATTTCTCTGTATGATGAAGACTATTTAGTGAATTGATTAAAAAACAGAAGAAGACAGCCTTGATTCTGAATTATTTTCCAAACGTACTTAAGGCTTTCTGACAGAAGGAAATTTTCTTCTGACACCATAAGACCATCTAAGAATTAGCAGAGGGATTGCATCACCCCGAAATAAAACTAACGGTATCAGTTCCACACTTACGTCCCTAGTATGCTGTGTCTTTGGGTTGATGGTATACAAAAAGAAGGTAAAATCGACCAATGGGCAAAAAAACAAAAAAGAGAGACAGAGGGTGGCTTGGGGGAAGCTACTTTGGTTTCCTAAAGTCAAATCCACAAAGGACACTTAGAGTTAGAATGTATTTTCAAGAGTAGATACAGCCATTTAGCATAGAAGAAAATAGAGGGGAAAAGAAATAGAGTCTCATGAGGAAAAAAAAGAAGACTCTTAAAACCTGTACTATCTACCTTACTGAACAGAGAAATAAATGACAATGAAAACATTGCCATTCCTTTAGGCCCGGGAAGTCTATTCTCTGGTAATGTGCAAAAAGTAGTAACTTAGCAAGAATATTGGCACATTTAATCTTGCAATGATGTTGCAGGCCTTTCTGTGAAGCTGGGGGCTTCACCCAATCTCAGCACTGCAGTGGTGGCTCAGTTGCTCATCCCTGCTTTAATCAGACCTCTGCCACCTCCTTTTTCTCCTATCCTGAGGGAAGAATGGGAGAAATAGGAAGAATCTAGGCATAAATAGAGGCATCTAAGTCTGGCGCCCACATGCCCAACCCTTCCCTTGCTTTAGTTACTTGCTTACAGCCCAAGTGGGAATTGAACAGGAAGGCAAAACATAAACCTATTTTTAATGAATGCAGAAAGAAATCACTTCTTTGGTGTCCCTCCAGAGATATTAAGAGCAAAAAAGAATGAAGAGAAGGGAGGCATTAGAGGACAATAAATGGCCCTGAGAAAAGTAGGGAAGATGAAAAATGAGAAATGGCTATGACTGAGGGAACTAAATGATAATTCTACGTGGCTCTACTTCCTTTTGATGCTGAAACAAAGTCCTACCTTTCCCCAGTTGTCAAAGTTAGGTGGAGAATTCTTTATTTTTTTTAAACATTGACTGGTGGTGGGAAGCAGCAATGAAGTGATTAGCAACTAGCTGGTTTATCAGTTATCTAAAAAGTGGTTTCTACAGATTCACTCTACATTTGTAGTGTAGGTACTCCATTCAACTAGGATGGATTTTTTTCCATTTGTGCAAGAATTGCAGAATGAAAGTCACCAGAAACTAAACCTTCAGGGAACTTCGGGTTCATCAACTAAAATTATTTTATAGCAGGCAAACCAAAGCCTCCCTTCACACATCAAGTAGACTATCTTTTGGTATTGAAGACCTCTGTCTTAGTCTGTTTTATGTTGCTAGAACAGACTACCTGAGACGGGTAGTTTATAAAGAAAAGAGGTTTATTTGGCTCATGATCCTGGAAACCCCAAGCTTAGGCAGCTGTGTCTGGTGAGGGCCTCATGCTGCTTCTACTGATGGTGGAAAGTGACAGAGAGCCAAAGTGTGCAGAGATCACAGGCTGAGAAAGGAAGCAAAAGAGCAAAACCAAGGAAGCCAGACTCCTTTTAACAACCCATTCTCACTTTCAAGGGAACTAACCCATTCCCCTGAGAGCTAGAACTCACTCACCCTAGCAGGAAGGCATTAATCTATTCATGAGGGATATACCTCTATGACCCAGACACCTCTCACTAGGCCCTATCTCCCCACACTGCCACACTGAGGATTGAATTTCACCATGGGCTTTGGTGGGAAAAAAACACATCCAAACCACAGCACCTCCCCTCCCCAGACTCCAAAGAACAGAACCCTCAGGAAATTGACTGTGATGCATGGTAAGAACTGCCATGTTTTTCTATGAATTTCTAAGAAAATTTTATTTTTACGCAAAGGTCCACAAATGAATCAGAAATTACATGTGTATGCAACATTCACATTAAGCCCTTAAGAGCCAGGCACAGTGGCTCATGCCTGTCATCCCAGCACTTTGGGAGGCTGAGGTGGGTGGATCGCCTGAGGTCGGGAGTTCAAGACCAGCCTGGCCAACATGGTGAAACCCCATCTCTACTAAAAATAGAAAAATTAGCCAGGCGTGGTGGTGCATGCCTATAATTCCAGCTACTCGGGAGGCTGAGGCAGGAGAATCGCTTGAACCCAGGAGGCAGAGGTTGCAGTGAGCCGAGATTGTGCCACTGCACTCCAGCCTGGGCCACACAGCAAGACTCTGTCTCAAAAAAATAAAAATAAAATAATAATAAGACCTTAAGAAACAGTTACATTAACTTAATTCCTTTTCTTACACAATGACAGGTTTACCTTTTCTGGTGAAGTAATTAGAGTCAACGTAAAGAGAGCAGGAATTTTTGTTGTCAAAGGAAAGCCTACAATGAGTGACACTTATGAAGCAGGGATCAAAAAATCCTCACTAAAAAGCGTGTAGACTCTCTTATATTCAGAGTACTAGAGGAATGAAAGAATAAAAGGTTAGAGTCATAAAAAGAAACAAAGTACGTATATTCTAAAGTTGCACAAAGATACCTCTGGGGGTATGATATTGTTAAATATTAATATTACCAGTAAAAATTACAGAAAACTCTAAATAATGAAAAATACAGTTCTCAAACAGAAATGCCACTTGAGGATAGATACACTAGCACTCAGCAATTGCAGAGTAACTCTGAATGTGTGAAAGGAAAGAACTAACTGAATCATAGTTTCCTTGTTGTTATCTTGAAGTAATGAAAATTGCAAGGGCAGATCGCCCTCACATTTGTTTGAGGTTATAGGAGGAAACTATTTTTGTGCTGTAGACTTTTTTTCTTTTATGATCCATTCTGAAAGGTACAGAATTTTGGTTCAGACTGTGGACTTTGTTCAAATTTAGAACTTTATGCTTTCTGGAAGGACAATTCTATGCTATTAATAAATATGAAAAACCTCTTCAAATTAGTTCCTGTGGTTACCATCTTTATAGATGGATTTCCATCTTCTTTTACAATCACTTTCCTCAAAATGCTCCCCTCAGAGAAGATATTTATTATAATCAAAGCATGCCAAAGCAGGCAAACAGATCACAACAATGAGCCACCCAGGAACCCTTCTAGTCCATTCTTCACACCCTCTGCTCTTTATACAGAGGATGGAAGACAGGCATGGAAGTGGGGTGATGTTCTAAAGGGTCACATATTTTCTTTAAAACCTTATTAGAACATGGCAATAATTGGTGGGCCTATAGAAAACACACGGAGCTGCTTGAAGGAGTAGTATAAGATTATAGTATTAAGATTAATATCAGGTAGAAAAACAGTGGCAAAAGTAAAGAGAAAAATCATGGAATGCATGCATGAGATCTGAGATTATTCCTCTTACTACAATATTATAGAGAATGTACTGTAGGGCCTTCACCCTTACATAACTCAGATTCTATTAGGCTATGAACTTGCTGAGGGCAGGAACTGCTGCTTTATCACCTGTACATTTTGGGTGCATCCTTGGCATATGGTGTATACTCTAACTTGTGGTAATTGCTCCCTAAATGTTTTCTGAGTAAATGGAAAACATCAAGGGAGGGAAGAAGAAAAGAAAGGAGGAAGGAATGAGGAAGAGGGGAAGGGAATTTAAAAATGAAAGAAGAAAGGGAAGAAAGGATGACAGGGAAAAGAAGAAAGACATACTTTTAATAAGACCTAGTAATTATGTTTTCTCTCCCTGTAATAGCCAAATAAATTATATACATGTATTGAATCTAGCCAAATAAATTATATACATGTATTGAATCTTGTTTGAAAATTGAAATTTGTATTAACTTGCTTTCATCCTTAGCTTTTGCCAGCTGATTAAATTATTTTCTAACTCTTGTGGAATTTAATTTACTTCACCCTTAGTAAAACAGCAAATTTTCAGGTATAAGATATCCATTGAGATCAATGATTTAAAGATAAAACTCTAAGGAGATTTCATTGCAAGTCAGCCAGCTGCTTCTTGCTAGAAGAAGTTGATGAGGTACATGGACCAAGACTTATAAATTTTTCTGTGTACTTAGTAATTGATATGGTTTGGCTGTGTCCCCACCCAAATCTCATCTTGAATTCCCACATGTTGTGGGAGGGACCAGGTGGGAGGTAACTGAATCATGGGTGCAGGTCCTTCCCGTGCTGTTCTCGTGATAGTGAATAAATGTCACAAGATCTGATGGCTTTATAAGGTGGAGTTTTCCTGCACAAGCTCTCTCTTTGCCTGCTGCTATCCACATAAGATGTGACTTGCTCCTCCTTTCCTTCCACCATGATTGTGAGGCCTCCCAGCCACGTGGAACTGTAAGTCCGTTAAACCCTTTTTCCTGTATAAATTACCCAGTCTCAGGTATGTCTTTATCAGCAGCATGAAAACGGACTAATACAGTAATATTTTGGCTTTGGAAGTAGATACATTTCTACACTCACCTTCAACCAACAATTGGCAGCGTTTGATCCAGATCAAGGTGCCCAGCCTCTGGAACACATCTGAAAGTGCCTTCTTCAAACAATCTAAGCAAATAGTGTGGCTTTACAGAGAATGCCATGTGAAGAGTAAGACAGATATTGTGGTCATGTTTCTGCAAGCAAAGAAATGTCAAAGATTGCCTGCAAACCACCAGAAGCTAGATTTTCTCCCCAGTGCTGCCATCTTGAATATCTGGCCTCCAGAGTTCTGAGAAAACAAATGTCTGTTGTTTAAGCCACCCAATTTGCTGTACTTTGTTATGGTAGACCTAGCAAACTAATACACCATCACTTTCAGAGAACTCAGTGTTGAATTAGTGAGTTTTCCCCAATTCCTGAAGTTGCTGAAATGGAAAGTCTCGAGTGTAGTCACTCTTGAGAGTATCCCCCTGCCTTTTGCTAGTCTCTGGAACTGGCTGTTGCATTGCAGCCCCTAACAATTGCATATTTTTGGAAATATAGCCGAAGTACTTCACCAACCACACAGCTTCCATTCAGTCATAACACTTGGAAAGGGACCCTATGAAAAGATAAAGTTGAAGTTGCCTTGGTTTTTCAGTAAGAGCAAACTAAAAAAGAAAAGAAAAATTCCTCACAAATGACAAAAATGTTCTTTTTAAAGAAATCTAATTAGATAGTTTTGAAAGACAGGCAATTGGAAAGTGGGTGTTAGGGTTAAGGAGGTACAGTGTGTTTGTGTCCCATTGTAAATCAGTACAGACCCAGCTTAAGAACTGAGGGCTTCTGATTCCTTGTAAGAGTTTAGGTAGATTGAGTTATTCAGTGACCATAATTTCCATTTAATAAAAGTAGGTTGTATACAGAGCACAAATGATGGCATCTCCGCCCTTGATCATATGTTCTCCCTCATTATGTATTTAAATGGGTCTGTGTGTGCTCAAGTCATTGCACTGGTCATTGGAAGTAATCCATGGTTGATTCTGCTGGGGAACAAACATTAACACAGATTAGATTTTTCTGAAACAGGATCACACCATCCTCTTTTTTAATTTAGTACAAAATCTTCCTTCATAAAGGTTCAAATACACCAAAATAAATTGTAAGTGAACAGAAAAGTTAAATATAAAAGCAAAAACATTTTCCAAAAGTAGGAAAAGAAACAGAGCCAAGTATTTTCCTGATCTAGAAAACAGAAAAAGATTTTTTTCCGCAAAAAGAAACCCTTTGAAACAAATTACAAAGGAAAATATCAATATATTGAAAAATATAAAACTTCCGTGCCTCAAATAAAAATGAAAAGGAAAACAACTAATTATGGGTAAGTGTTTGCTAAATATGTCAGTGAGTATTGGTCTTGTTATATAAATTTTATTGATTTCTCATACATCAATAAGAGCATTATAAATGGCCTTATAGGCAAATGGACAAAAAGACATAAACAAGCTGGAGTCACAAAAGAGGAAATACAAATGTCCCATAACATATGAAAAATATGCAAACAATTAAAAATTAAATAATTAAACAATTAAAAAGGTAGTTACTACCGTTCCCTGTTTAAGTGACAAGGACTCAGTGTGAGACAATGTGTTAAAGTAGACTCACTCATATAATACTGAAGGGCGTGGGAAATTAGTGCTATCTTCCTGGAAATAAAGATGCATACTTGTCTCAAGAGCATTAAAATGTGCATACCATTTAATCCAAGAATATATTAGAGAAACTCATCAGAAATGCTACAAATACTGATGTGCAATGATATTCATCATAGGATTCCTTGTAATACAGGAAAAAATGAGAATGATCTAACATTAGGGAAAGGATTAAATTGTGGGGCATACGTTGGTTAGAGTATCCTCTGCTTCTATTCATTTCCTGCTACGACCTAGCTTCCTCACATTCTGCTCAGCGTTTTCTGTGCCTTGTATCTTCTGTGTATTCATAGCTTCCGCTTACACATGGTCCCACCCAGCCCCATTCTACTGTACTTCATCACTCCTTTTAGATCATCTTCTCAGTTTCTGTTCCCACAACCAATTGCCTGATTCTCTTTCTGCTTCCAAGTGTAAACTCCTAAGAGAATCTCACTCCTCTAGCCAACTAACCTCCGTGAAGGGCCTGAGGGGCCATGGGGAGGTGCAGGGGTATATCACCCAGCCCAGAACACAGCTGCGTATGCAGGAAATAGTCCTTATGCAGGAACTATTGACATGGTAGGTATCATCTTGGCCTGTATAGCATAGTTCCACTGCCTGTGTATACTCATATCAAACTAATATTGCAGTGAACATAAATAGCCTCTCTACTTATTTTCTGTATCCATTCTACTTAAAAGGACAGGGGCCATGATTTATTTAATTTTGTAACCCCAACACTTATTATGGTACCTGGCACTGCCATAAGTGTTTGTATAAAGACTGAGTTCTCAAAAGAATTAAAAGAAAGAATGAGGGTTGAGTACCTTGTGTGATGCCTGGCATGAGATAGCTGCAAAACACATGTTCGTTCTTAGCCTCCCTTCCTCCTCATTCTCCCAAATCCCATTTGTCCTTTGTTCACGCAGGATTTGCTTCACTAAGTGGTCCCCAGATAAGGGCTACTCACTAATCTCAGAGCTGTCAGGCATTTTTATTATCATGAGATTCATTAACTGGGATAAATAATTTTTCATCCCGAATACTCACAGCACTTCAGCTGATACAAAATAAAAAGCAAAGCAAAAGCCTTCTCATCTTGTGGTCTTACGCTTCGTATTAATTGGACTGTTTTTCTTGTCTGTCTTCATGCAAATGGAAATTGAGTAAACCTAGAAAGAAGGGCTAGGGCACTGAAGGACCAAAGAGTGATGTCCTCTCCACTAGGCTTTAGCTGGGACTTTGAGGCAATGAGATGTTAGGTTTGCAGGGACACTGGCTCTCTGGAGCATAAAGTGGGAGGGATGGGCCCCGACATTTCCTGAGGGTAGCATAGGGTGGGGAAGGAGCCCCTGGGATTCATTCTACCTGGGTCCTAAGACCCTGTCTTGCCATTCACCAGCAGTGTGACATTGAGAAAGTTGCTTAACCGCTCTCTATATCAATTTCTCCAACGGGAAAATGCTAATAATAATTGCTTGAGCCCAGGAGTTCTTGACCAGCCTGGGTGGCATAGTGAGACCCTGTCTCTACGAAAAATTTAAAAATTAACTGGGCATGGTGGTATACATCTGTAGCACCAGCTACTTAGGAAGCTGAGACAGGAGGACCACTTGAGCCCGGGAGGTGGAGGCTGCAGTGAGCTGTGATTGTGCCACTGCACTCCAGCCAGGGTGACAGAGTGAGATCCTGTCTCAAAAAAAAAAAAAAAATAGTTGAATACTAGGGCTGCTATAAGGGTTAAGTAAATTAGCATTTGCTAATACCTTATATATAATAAAGACACATAAATGTTTGCTCTTATTATTGGGGATCTGATATGTACCAGGAATTGTGGCACAGATTTTTTTCTTAACCTTTGTAACAACACTAGGAAATAAGTGGTGGTGCCTCACTCTGCAATGAAGAAACTAAACTAAGGGTCAGAGAGGTTAATGGCATCTCTGCTATTCTAGCCAAGTGAGTTTCACCAGCACCATGTTCAACCACTCTGCATTGATAAGGCTGCATTGGCCATTGATGGCTTATGCTGTCGATATTTTGTTAAACATTTTGAATATCATCTCTGATGGCTCTCATCAGTTTCCCATGCCCAATGTCATACTGTAATTCCATTCTGAAAAGAAAACATTGTTCCTAACCTGTCTGTTAACTGTCTTAACATGTATGATCTCGTCCAGTGCATTTCCATGTGAATGATGTTCATTTACTCAGTAGCACTTTGCAATCCTTTCTTCCTGTGTGGAGGGTGTTGGATAGACTGCCGCCTCCACCACCTCCTTAAACGTGGCTGTCAGAATGGAGAGCAGCTCTTCACAGATGTGGAAGAGTGCTCAGCAGTAAGCTGATTTAATTGTGATGTTCTCTTGGATCAGCCCACTGAGGTATTTGTATATTCCGCTGTGACATCATCGTGACTGATCTTAGCCAATTGTCTGTTCTAAACCTTGGATTGCTCCCTGTAGCTCAGTAGCTCAGCAGTGAATCATTCTTTTTTCTTATATATTATGACTATAACTTTTATTACTTCCTGAATAATAGAAGAGTCAAACACAGGGTTTTCCTCTGAGAGGAGATCAGAACACTTAACAAACATACGTCAATAATTGTCTGGCCACAACATATCCAGGTTATGTGATGGTGGTGGGAGCGTTAAGCAGGAAGGCAGGATAGGCAAGACCTAGGAGATGGTGAAGGGGCTCCGGAGATCCCCCTCAACCTCAGCCCACCATTGTTAGTGCTCATGAGACAGACTGACGTGGCATCCAGATGTGGTGGCTGAGAGCTAGATGGGGCGGCAGGAAAGCTGGATTTGAGTCTTGGTTCTGCCCGTTCACCATGGTGTGTTTCTGGCAAGTTAATCAACTTCACTGGCCTTCAGTTTCTTCATTGAAAGGATTAATTCACTTGTTTATTCACCCATACATTTTTCTTGAGAATTTTTTTGAGTATTAGTTTGCTAGGGCTGTAGTGATAAAGTAACACACCCAGGTTGGTCCAAACAATAGAAATGTATTGTCTTGGCCAGGCACGATGGCTCATGCCTGTAATCCCAGCACTATGAGAGGCCAAGGCAGGTGGATCACTTGAGATCAGGAGTTCGAGATCAGCCTGGCCAGCATGGTGAAAGCCCGTCCCTACTAAATATGCAAAAAATTAGCTGGGTGTGATGATACATGCCTGTAGTCCCAGCTACTCAGGGCACTGAGGCAGGAGGATCGCTTGAACCTGGGAGGCGGAGGTTGCAGTAAGCTGAGATCACACCACTGTACTCCTGCCTGGGCAACAGAGTGAGACTCTGTCTAAAAAAAAATTCTGTCTCACAGTTCTGGAGGCTAGAAGTCTTAGAAGTCTGAAATCAAGTCTGAAAGATCTGCTCCAGATCTCTCTCCTTGGCTTGTAGATGGCCATCTTCTCCCTGTACATCTTCACATCATCTTCCCTCTATGGATATCTCCTTCTCTTCACATGCCATTCTTTCTAGAAGGACGCTAGTCATATTGGATTAGGGGTCCAGCCTGCTCCAGTGTGACCTCATCTTAACTAATTACATCTGTAATGACCTCGTTCCCAAATAAGGTCACTGGGACTTACTGGGGGTGGTGGGGGGAACATAATTCAACCCATAACAAGTTCTCAGCCTTATTCTGATGCTGAGGATGTAGCAGTAAACAAAGAAGACAAACAAGCCTGCCCTCATTTAGCTTACATTCTAGTAGGAAGAGAAACAAAATAGGTAAGTAAAATATATAGGATATTAGAGGGTAATAAAGTGCTCTAGAGAAAAGCAGAAAGGAGGGATGAAAAATCATCCTGGCTTAGGGAAGTCTATTTCAAATAGAGTGGTCAAGGAAAGCTTCAGTGAGGAGGTTCATTTGAGTAGTCATGAAGGAAATGAGGAAGCAACCCATGCAGATACATGCAGATACCTGGGGATGGGGAAGGGAAGGGTGGGGGTATTCCAGGCAGAAGGAACAGCAAATGCAAACACCCCGATGTAGAAAAATGCCTGGAGTGTTCACTCAACAGTGAAGGGAGGCCAGTGAGCTGGAGGCAGGTCAATAAGGGGGATAGTGGTGGGAATGGGGGTCTGAGAAATAAAGGTAGGGATAGGAATAAGGAAGGAAGGTAGAATATCAAGGCTCCTAGAGACCACTCTAAGGACTTTCTTTGGCTTTTACTCTTAAAGAACAAGGGAGGCACTGGAAGATTGGAGTAGACATGACTGCTGAGGACTTGTATATGGCATATGAAAGTGTGTTAGACTGTTCTTGTGTTGCTATAAAGAAATGCCTGAGGCTGGGTAATTTATAAAGAAAAGAGGTTTGTCTGGCTCATGGTTCAGCAGGCTTTATAGGAAGAATGGTGCTGGCATGTGCTTCTCCTGAGGCCTCAGGAAGCTTACAATCATGGCTGAAAAGGTGACAAGGAGCCAGCATGTCACATAGTAATAGGATCAAGAGAGAGTGGGGAGGTACCATACTTTTAATCAACCAGATCTCATGGCTCACTCATCACCAAGAGGATAGAGCTAAGCCGTCTATAAGGGATCCGCCGCCATGATCCAAACACCTCCCACCAGATTCCACCTCCAACACCGGGGATTACAATTCAGCGTGATATTTGAAGAGGAAAAATATCCAAACCATATCACATAGAAAGGAAGCAATGAGAGATAAGCCCATGGATTTTGGCCTGAGCAACTGGTGGCCCGGATATACCCCTAACTGACATAAAGAAAACTGCTAAGAAGAGCAGGTTTGGGGTAGAAATTGACAGTTTGTGGGAGGCCAAGGCGGGCAAATCACCTGAGGTCAAGAGTTCAAGACCAGCCTGGCCAACATGGCAAAACCTTGTCTCTACTAAAAATACAAAAATTAGATGGGTGTGGTAGTGGCACGCGTCTGTCATCGTAGCTACTCGGGAGGCTGAGGCAGGAGAATCACTTTAACCCAGGAGGTGGAAGTTGTAGTGAGCTGAGATTGCACCACTGCACTCCAGCCTGGGCAACAGAGCAAGACTCCATCTCAACAACAACAAAAAAAATATGAAGAAATTGGCAGTTTGTTTTTAGACATATTAAGTTTGACAGGCCCACTAGACAACCAAGTGAGCTGGAGATGTACACTGAGGAAGTGTCAACATGTGGGCAGTGTTTAAACTCATGAGCCTGTACAAGATCCCCAAGGGGATGAGAGTAGATCCAGAAGAGAAGCAGGCCACGAGCTGCACCTTGGAGGATCCAACATTTAGAGGTCGAGAGTATGAGGAGGAATCAGCAAGAAGACAGAGAAGGGGAGGCCAGAGAAGTAGGAGGAAAACCAGGAGAGTATGGTCCTGAATGTCAAGGAGGAGGGGTTGAGGTCCAAGCTAGGAACTGGATTTAGCTAGGTGGAAATCACTGGTACATGATTGGTACATTGTTACATGGAAATCAGTCTACACATCAGTAGAGGGTGGGAGAACATCTGACTGGAATGAATTAATGAGAAAATTGGAGACCCTAAGTACAGACTTGGGAGCTTTACTGTAAACAAAGACCAAAAAAAATGAGTTAGACTAATTCAGACATTTCATATTCAAATGCTTTGAATGGTCAGGTGGATAATACAAATGAGTAAAGTGGTGTATGATAGGATATGATGTAAAATGTGGAGAAATAAAAAGCACATGTCCTGTCTAAAGGTATTCTAATAAAAATAGAAACAAATAATATATGTCAAATAAAAACAACTCTAGGCCACCAGTTTGCAATACCTGGGTAAAATGATCTCCAAGGGCACTTTCCATCTAAAGTTGTGCAAATCTAGGTCACAAGGAAAAATTAAGTCCGGGTCATTTAATGTTGAGTCCCTGAGCTATAAATAGTCTTGCTTCTTTCTGAACTGAAGCTAAGCATTTGTCATGATTCTCCCAGGATTTGTGATGGAATCCCTTTTGTTCTTAATCTGCCGGTAAAAGCTAGAAACCAGAGTTGCAAAATGAAGACTTGTTAGCACCAGTCTCCATCCATCAAACAGACAAATATTTATTAAGCAACAGTTCTATATGCCAGATACTGTGTTACTGAGACCATTCGTGCCTTCAAAACTTCAGAGTTCACAGATTAATGAGGGAGGCAGACAGGTAAACAAGACACGTGGTGTGATAAGGAGTCTAGCAGAGAGAAGCATGGTGTGGGCAGTGGAGGATTCACCTCCCACAGGTTAGGGGAGCAGGATCAGGAAGACTTAAGGGGGAAAAAGTTGATGCTTTGGCTGAGTGTTGTTGGATTAACTGGAGTTAGCATGGAAAGAGAGGAAGCTTACAAACATGACTAGAGTGCAGTGCAGCTACTTCTCTGGTAGCGAGTGCTCAGGATACTAACAGCAAAGTCTAGGGATCATTATGCTCAGAGTCGTGATGAAGAACAGACACTCTGGAGCCAGGCTGCCATGGTTCATAACCTCAGCTCTACCATTTACCAGTGACCCTGAGTAAATTTCTTAACAACTCTGCCTTTAAGTTTCTTTATATCTAAAGTAGAGACTATAACAGTACCTATTTCAAAGGGTTCTGGTGAGAAGTAAGTACATTTAATAAAGCATTTAGAAGTGCGCCTGGTATGAAGCAAATCCTATGTGTTTGCTGTTATTATCAAGAAACCATTTCAGGAGGAGGTAACACATGAAAGAAGAACAGCCTTCCAGGCAGAGAACTAATTGAAAGATGCTAAGGGCAGAGAGTCCCACAGGCAAAGGCACCCAGTCAAGGTGTCCCTGAGGGATAGGAAAGGGTTTGATTGAGGAGAGACTAGATTTGAGGCTAGAGAAGTAGATAAGGTCATGATTATATGCTTATTTCTTCCTCTGCTAGTAATAAATGACTTAGGCAGGGTGAGCTTGGGGGTCAGCTCTGACCAAACCATGGGGAGATAGTTTGTAGGGGTGCATACACAGGGTTGTTACTTTGCCAGGACAATAAAAGGACCAGCACACCCGGTGGCTGTAGAACAGACTTGTGACCTTGCCTGTTTTGCACACACCAGACTGTAGGAAGCGTTATGGAGAATTATCACTTGGCATGAATCCAGTGGCCCACTGACACTGAATCATCTGCTATGGTCTGTTTAAAAGACCACAATCCCCAAATTGATTATAGTCCAAGGTAGTGCATTCATTTCTTAGAACAAAAACAATCCAACTCATGCTCCTGCTCTCCCTAATGGACCACTCACTATGTTTTTACTCAGTAAATATTTGGGGAAAGATTTGTGTTCATAATCTCAACATGGAGATTAGTTTCTCAGGGCCATACAGTTGACATTACTGCCAGTACACCCAAACCTCCTCAGGGCTGTATAATGCTTTCTTTAGGTCCCTGAAGACTCTGGAATTAGCTCAGTTTCATCATCTTGACACTATGATTCTACAAATGCAATGACAGCTGTTTCTCAGTGAGGCATAAATCCATTTTTTTAACCCCAGAGTCAATAGTACACAGTTTTATAGTAAGCAGTCCAAGGAAACTTTGGTTAGGATCTTGTCACTAATATAAAATTTATCAGTAAAATATCACAGTTTAAAAAAAAAATCTACCACAGAATTTTTATCTCCAGATGGTGGTGATGGGCTTGTCATTGAAATCCCGTAGCTCTTCCTCAATTCTCCATATGTTGACAGAGAGCCCGTGCAGACATCTCCATAAATGTTACCTCTGTGTTTTAAGACTTTTGCCAGTATCCTGCCTTGCCATTTTCTATGATTGTCAGATTTGGCTACTTTAAGGATTAGGATGCTTGTTTGTTATTTCCTATCGCTAGATCATATATTGGCACTGCTTCACTGGAGATTATTGGATCCATGATCAACAAAACCACACTAAAGTCAAAAATATAGAACCAATTGACTATAGAATGCTCCTTTTATGTCAATGAAGACATTTGGATGGTGTTGGCTTCATTGATTGTTGATTCTATTTCACATTAAAACTAATTTTAAATGCACTATTTACAACAAGTTTCTACAAATTTACTAAAATTCATGGGATTGTTTCCTCTGCTGATTTACATATTGGTTTATAAGTCTGGTAATTTGCAGTGACACTATTTCTGATGTATTCCATCTCCATCTCCTAATTAAAGTAAGTTTTGCATTTTTTCTGAACTTTCAGCATGTTCTCTGTATTTTTCATTGAAGCTAATTCTGTTTCCTCTGCTCTTTTGGGAGCCTGATAATTAAATACATTTCAGGTGCCAACAAGCTAAATATCCCCCTCCCTTGCAATCCTGTCCTATTTTCTTCCCTTGTTTATTATTTCTGTTTTAAATATCACTATATCATCCTCAACAAAAGCAAACATGTATTGAATGTCTGCTGTGGTGATGACATTACAGTCAGTAACATGAAGATACGTAGACTGAGATGCGTACAGACACATATATACATCTATATATATGTATATTTGAGAGTCAAAGTTCACTTCCTTTGTGTTGTTAGTCTCCCTTGTCTTATTTAAAGCAAAACTATATTTCCTTTTAGCTTCCCTCCTTTTGAATTCTAATACTTTTCTTTGTGGTTTGACTGATAGAACATTGCTCAAAAAGCCCAGATAGGCTTGGAGTCTGTCAGGAAAAGAGTTAAAACCCTCCACCTTCCCAGCTAACTGTGGCCCACAGGCTGCTAATTAGCCTGATGGATCAGCACCTGGTCTGCTTATGAATGCTCAGAAGCCCATTGGCTGCTGGCAGCTGATTCCCGGCCCCCTGAGGTATGGAGCTGTATCAGCCTCAGCAGAGAAAGCTGGTACTTGCTGAAAGGGGAGCTGTAGCCAATTATTCATGTGCTCCTTTGGTCTTGACTTGGCTGAATGAAGAACCACGCTTTTAGACACATTTGAGGCAGCCTTTTCTTGCACAATGAATTGCATCTACCTGGCTAGCTGGTACACTTTCCCTTTTTGGTGTCATCACAGTACAATGACTAATATCAGCATGACCCTACAGTTATCTAAGGGATAACGAGTTATGCTATATATTTTTTTCTTATGCTCCTGTTCTCCTTTTCCATTTTGACTTTTTGTTCCCCAGGAATGCTTAAAGTCAATTCATCTTATCCTTCTGCTTTCAGTGAGGTTTTAAAATATACATATGTGGATAATGCCTGGTTTATACGATGCCAGAACTCTAGATAGTCTGCTAAAGTGTCACTGACCAGGAAGGCATTGTGTATGGAACATGAATGTCTGTTTTTGCTGCTTACTAGCTGTGTGACGCCAGGCAAGTTTCTTAGCCTCTCTGAGCCTCATGTACCTCATCAGTACACTAGGTAAACTAATTTCTATATCAAAGCATCGTTGAAGTTACTATACAAAAGCATATTCATCTCCTTCATTTAGTAGTTGCTACTCACATTTATCAGCCCTCAACATTTGAGTGTTCACTCTGTGCGGAACCTGATGGTGGGGCCTGTGGAAGAATAGAAACCAAACAGAATATACATATATATACAATATAACAATATACTGCTGTTATACCCTCCAGAAATGCGTGGCCTGAACAGAGAGGGAGGTCACTCAGAGGAAGCATTCCAAGAATAGTATTAGAACCACACACCAGCTCTGCACTCATCTTCTGGCACAAGCTGTCTGTTTTCACTTGTGCCAACGTGGATGTGAATTTCAATGCCTCTTTGAGAACAGACACTGAGCCCCTCTCCCGCATTTATCTAATCACACACAAAAGCGTTAGTCAGCTACACAGCCTTTACTGAAGATTTCATGACGGTGGGTAGGTTGGGCTGTTTATAGCATAAACCCAACCAAACAATTTGTTTAGAACCCCATTCAATATTTCCACTTTCTAAAGGACATACTGTCACTCCTGTTCTCTTCCCCTGCAAATGCTTCGCCCTCACCAACTCTTTCTTTGCCACCTTCCTCTTGGGAACAATGGCAAGGAACAAACACTACTCCTTGTCATAAGTGCAAAAGTTAAGCAAGCTTATTGGGTTATTTTAGTCTGTCCATGGTGACTCTTCTCCTCAAGCAGCTTACCAAAAGATTTCTTCCTAACAAATATAGAATTAGAGGAATGCAGGTAGATAAAATTACCTCCATCTCTTAATATACATGTCATCTTATTTAATTCTCACAATATCCTTACCAAGTAGGCATTATGATACCAGTTTTCCAGATGAGGAAACTAAAACTCAGAGAAGTTAGGGAACCACCCCAGTGTATAAACCCTACCTTGTATATTGGTTGTGAAGATTAAATGGGATGATATATTGTTAAGTGCTTGCCCAAGTGCAAGTCACAGAGAAGGTAATGGTAGCCTCCCCAGCAGTAGAAATAATGGAAGCAGACATAACAGTAGCAACATTCTTGTCCTATCCAGCTTGCATGGATATTACAATAAATGTCAACTACAGGTCTGGCTATATATTTTGCAAGGCCTGGTATAAAATGAAACTGTGAGGCCTGGCCAGGGACAGGGAAGTCAATCTCCCTTTCCTACAGGCCCACCACTCCCAACCCACAGCAGACAGGTGACTACCCAACAGATTACAATCCCTAGGCCAGGATGTGCTTGGTACTTGAGTCAGAGATGGGTGAAAGACTCATGCAGAGTCACCAACTGTATTGCCCCCTGTATCAGTCTGTTCTCACACTGCTAATAAAGACATACCTGAGACCGGGTAATTTATAAAGAAAAAGAGGTTTAATGGACTCACAGTTCCATGTGGCTGGGGAGGCCTCACAATCCTGGCAGAAGGCAAAGGAGAAGCAAAGGCACATCTTACATGGCAGCAGGCAAGAGAAAGAATGAGAGCCAAGCAAAAGTGGAAACCCCTTATAAAATCATCAGATCTTGTGAGACTGATTCACTAGCATAAGAACAGTATGGGGTAAACAGTTTGGTTCAATTATCTCCCACTGGGTCCCTCCCACAGCACGTGGGAATTATGGGAGCTACAATTCAAGATGAGATTTGGGTGGGGACATAGCCAAACTATATCACCCACCAAACAAGCCATGATGTTGCAATTAGGGACAAGGATGGCTGCTGCCTTGCCTACCCCAAAAAGCCATGAGGTGGATGACCGTCCATGTCGAGACTCCCCCACCACCACCATTGGGGGAAGAGAGTGGTCAAGGACTGAATCCAAGCTGGTCTCTTTCCTCCCCCTGCCAGTGCCACCTGATTGCAGCAGTGGTTGTGGGGTAAGGGGGTGGAGTGGGCAGGGCCCTGAGCAGGACCAGCATGAGACAGGGAGCTGGCAGCCAAAAACCCATCCCAGGAAGGCAGGACGGCATCAAGCTGAGGTTCCAAGCCCAGCACATGCTCCACAGTCCCATCAGACCTTGCTTACAAAATACTAATTCCAAGTTAAAGTTATTTGGAATTACAAGACTGTGACTGCAGAGAATTAAACCAAGCATGGAGCCCATCTTCATATGTCCATCAAGATAGCCCTGACCAACAACGAATATGCAAAGGGGAGATGTTGGACAAAGGGTACAAACTTGCAGTTATGAATAAGTTCAGGAGACCTAATAATATAGCATGGTAACTATAGTTAATAATAATGTATTGTATACTTGAAATTCACTAAGAGAGCAGATCTTAAGTATTCTCACCATACATACACACACACACACACACACACACACACACACACACACACACAGAGTAACTATGTGAGGGGATGATATGTTCATTAGCTTGATTGTGGAAATCATTTCACAGTGTGTATGTATGTCAAAACAACATATCATACACCTTGAATACATACAGGTGTACATGTTTTGCTTGTTAATTCTACCTCAATGAAACTGGAAAAAAATAAAAACAAAAATTATTTAAAAAACAAATGAATATGAAAGTGCTTCAAAAACATTTAATGCTATATAATGCATTGTTGCTGTAATCACCATTATGCAATAATATTAGGCCCCAGCATCTCTACTAGGTATTTAATTAATATCCCCAGATTTGTAAGCACAAGGGAGAGCTTTGATTCTTTTGTTTTTCAATCAGGGAGAAAAATGATAGTTCCTTCAACCAACAGTGGCCATGCATCCTGAGTGACAGAGGGAAGCCAGTCGTCAGGGAACATCCTTGCCCTTCCTATGATTTTCTCTTGTAATATACATGCCAAGGCAGAGACACGGACTCCTCCTCAGATCAGAGTTGTGGATCCTCCCTTTTAGGTGGAGAAACTCCTGCCCTGCAGCTTCCAGTGGCATCTGTTCCCTCCCCAGGAACATGGGGCTCTCGGTCACACGCCCTCCATTAACCTAGAATTTAAAATCAGGGATATCCTGGTTCCTCGAGTTACTTCTAGATCCTGTGGGTACCAGATTGCAGCCCCCACCCCTCATATCATATGCATAGATTTGATTCCACACATTTCAATATAGCAGACCTGCAGGGGCACTTTTATGCAGTAGTTATAAGAGCATTCAGTGATTTGGAATAGAGCAGTTATTAAACCACTTCTTGTTCTACATCATAGTAGGAGAAAGCAGCTGAGAGAAAGGAGAGAAAAGCAAATTAGAACATTCTCACCCTCCATACCCACTAGGGACCCATTTAGAACAATGTAGTAATTTACTAAATGATAGCCTAATGGCCTGAAAGAGTTAATGTGGCTTCCCACATTATTTCTACTCAGTCATTTCCATTCTAAGGGAACACTGGTTCATTCTATCCCAGGTCCCAACAAAGTGTATAGATCTCGTGGATTGAGTGAATTTTCACAGCACTGCACCATAGACCTTATCCCAGGGTTCACTAGAAAGAGAGTGGGCTAACCATTCTTCTATTCTTTTCATTATTTTTTTTTATCCACTTGGTATTTGTGGCTGAAAAATGCCTGGCTCCTACGTCTCATGTCTTTTTTCTTTTTCTTCTCTTTTTTTGAGACAGGTTCTTGCTTTGTCACCCAGGCTGGAGTGCAATGGTACGATCTTGGCTCACTACAGCCTCAACTTCCTGGGCGCAAGTGATCCTCTTGCCTCACCCTCCCGGACAGCTGGGACTACAGGTGTGCACCACCATGCCAGGCTAATTTTTAAAAATTTTTTGTAGATATGGGGTCTCGCTATGTTGTCCAGGATGGTCTCAAACTCCTGAACTCAAGCAGTCCTCCCACCTCGGCCCCGCAAAGTGCTGGGATCACAGGCAGGAGCCTTTGCGCCCAGCCCTGAGAGAGGGTTAACCATCCTTGAAAGCACCTCCGCCCTACCCTCATCAGAAACTCTAGGGACCCTCATTCCTTTTTTCCTTGGAGTCTTTCTCTTGTGAGCCAATGTGGGTGAAAGCAGGCGCCACCACAAGCATTAGGTTGGGTGCGTTCCTTTGAAGGAAAGAACGTTTCAGAGCAAAGCTGTTATCTGTCACTGTTCTGACAAAGTCCAGCTTCATAGTAGCTTGCCCAGCGTAGTAGCTGCAGTGTCATGGGAAAATACACAGATCTTGGAGATGGGAATTTTTAGTTCCAGCTATGGTTCTACTTACTAGCTGTGTGGCCTTGAGCTAGTCAATGAACCTCTTAGGGACTCAGTTTCCTCATCTATAAAATAGAAACAATATTAGAAATACTAGCCTTCTGGGTTGTTGTTAATCCAGATACCATGTCAATGTATTTTGTCACCTTATAACTTGCGTCTTATAACTGCTAATTATTTAAGGAGACAGCATAGCATAATGAAGAAATTACAGATCTCAGAGGCATACATACATCCTGGACTTAATTCTAATGCTGCTTGATCTTGGAAAATTACTTAACTTTGCAGACCTCCACAGTTTTTACATTTGGGAAAAAAAAAAAGTGATACTGAAATAATAATAATAATCCTACATAAAAAGGACCTGGCACATAGTAGGTATACATAAAATGTTTCTTCCCTTTCTCCCTCTTTCCCATTCCTAGAAACATATTCCACTGGAATGCACTTCTCTTTGGTTCCTGGACCTCACGGTCAGACTCCCATCCCCTGTGGCTCAGGCAAACTCTGCTGCATCTTCGTGCTGAGTTCTCTGGATCCTCTCCTCTGCCTTCTGGGGCACTGGCAGGAGGAGAGAAGGGAGAAACCAGTCTTAAGGGCTGAACATAAAAGTGTTATTCTGACTTGCACTCATGTGATTAAAGGTCTGTGCAAAAATTGCAGGTCTTTCTAAAACTTTGCTTTTGATGCACATCCAATTCTGTTCATGATTATTTCTTAACACTAAACCAGATTCAGTTAAAATTTTAAAGAAATTTGTAGAGCTATCATGTGTCCTTGGAAGTAGTGACCCCTTCGACTTATGGTAACTCTTGGGATAAACAGCAGAACCTTCATCTTTCCCATCCAGGTTGTTTCTCCCTGCTTTTCAACACCTGTCTATTTTCTGGAGGCCCTCCAAGTCTCCTGTTTCACTCTTGCCCTCACCCTCCACTCAGTCACCTGTATGCTACATCTGTACATCACTGGATCCCTCCTCATCTTCTTTATCCCCACCCCCATAGCCCTTGCTTCAGCCTCTCATCATTTCTCACTTGGATTTGTGCAGCAGCTTCTAAAATAATTTTAATATCATTAGATATTAATTTTTATTAATTTAATTTATTAAATTATTTCAAAAATAAAATTTTCAAATTTTTAATTTGAGAATTAAATCACAATGTATATTTTTAAGTATAACATAGCACAGGGTCTCTGGCCTCTACTGGGTACAAAATAAGTGGTAATTACAAAGGTTTCAGAAACCTTCACTTGATATAAGAAAAAATTTTGCAGTAATATAAGTCTCAAAGATGGATGGGCTTCTTCAGTTGGTAATGAGCTCCCTATCACTGGAGGAGTCCAAGCCTTGATTGAGTGACTCTTTCATTAGAAGTTGTAGAGAAGATTCAAACATCAGAGGGGAGGTTGAGATAAATTATACTTAAGTTCCCTGCTGAAGAAATCAGGACACTTTACAGTTACAACTGCCAAAAATCCAACTCCAAGTGGCTGAAGTAAAATGAAAAATTTATTGGCTCATATAAGAGATAAAGTCCAAAGGTTTCAGGCATGACTGGATCCAGAGCCTCAAAAACTATCACTGGACTCCAATCCATATCTCTGCTCTGCTTTTCTCTGCGCTGGCTTCACTCTTGGGTAGACCCTCTCCACAAGATGGCCCTTGGCAGCTCCAGGCATTACACCTGGCACCCTGGTAATACCAAGCTCATCATCAGAAGCCCCAGTGAGAAGAGTTCCCCTTTTTCCCAGTAGTTCCAACAGTCTTGGTTCTGACCGTCTCTGAACAAACCACTGTGGCTGCATGATGGAATCTTCTGCTTGGCCAGTGGCTCATGGGTCCACTCCATGGCCAGCTCTTTTAAGGTTGATTATCTAGGATTTCATAGCTAAGTGTGGGAGAGTTGGGTCCCCAGTAACAAATCAGACTATTGGTAACAGAAATAGAGCACCGGGTGTTGAGCAGGAAAAAACAATGGCCATCAGCCATATTTTATCCTAAGATTCAATTATCCCAACCCCAAATTATGTTTTAATATTTATTATGTCATTCTTTCTTCCTTTGTCCTTCTAATATATTTCAAAATCCTTAATGTGCATTCCTAGAGAATTATCATAATAATGTACATAATCACCATCAAATGAGAGACTATTTTGTCCTCTAAAAATCCTGTAGAGAAAAAAATAAAATCATTTTTATGAGTCTACAATATAAAAAGTTACTGTCCCCTCCCAAGTTCATGGGCTCCTCCTCACTTACACAGCTGATAAGCACACTAGAAGGTGCTGTGGGAATGAGCTTTATTATTTAGTTCTGTTGATAAGCTGGAATAACTTCTTGATTCTGAATGCTTATGAATTTGTACTAGGGTGAACTTGATTCTCTGGTTGAATAATTATTGTGGTCCAGGCATTGTGCTAGATTTTTATATGAGTGTACTTATATTTAATCCTTAAACAACATCTTTAAAGAACACTTATCCTCATTTTACAGATGCAGAAACTGAGGTGCAGTCAGGTTAAGCAAGTTGCTCAGGGTCTACAACCAGTAAATATGATAGAGCTGAACTTGAACCACGGTCGGAGTCCATGGACTTTTTTTCTGTATATTATGCTACCTCCTTGAAGACTCCAAGTATGAGTCTCTAATATGATTTAACCATATTTTCCTAAGTGAAAAATCAGATTTTATGATCTGATTCATTTAAAGAAGGTTGTCCTGTGAAATTTGGGATGTATAATTACTTAGTAAAACAGGCATCCAGATGAGGTTACTGCAGCCTTCTTCTTTCATTGCTAACCTTGAAAGTTGCTGTAAGTGTTGACTGTGGCTGTTCTGTTGCTTAAAGGTGTGGGAAGGATGAGGTACTTACCAACTGTGCTGTACAGATGAAACTGACTCTCAGGGGCCAGTTCTAAGCAAAGGCTGCAAGCAAAAATCTTAGCTGTGGCTCAATGGAGCTGTATGTGGTTTGGGCCTTGAACAGAGTTAACAAAAGAAGTCCCTAGGTTTTAATTCAGAAGACTGGGGCAGATGGGTCTCAGTGTTTATATTCATTCCCCTTGGATTCCAAGCCTGCTTGCCTTCAGGAAAAAGTATAAGTCCCTTCTGCTCACTCTGGGTTGTATTAGCTCATAGTCAGATCTGTAAATATGCCCATGGTTAACAGGCAGTCTATTGTTTTAAATTTGTGATCCAAACAGGGATTTTCCCATGGCAAAGTATGAGGAGGCAATAAGAATAATAAAATTGGTAAGTGCTGGGAGTCAGTCTGTGTCTTACTTCTCATTAATGGCAAAAAAAAGCCTTGAGTATAAGGAAGAGCCACGCTGCTTCTGTGGTGGACATTCACCACCAATAGCCACACATGTCTGTTCACCACCCAGAGAGCCTTTCCCAATGCCTAACTCGTGGGACTCCTTGATTCCATTGAGAGAGAAAATCAGAGAGTCTGATTCCCACAGAGTCTGTTGAGTCCCCACAGACACTCTTTCTCTCTCTGACTTCTATTTTGTGCCCTCTATTAACATATGCTAACATTTATTCATTTATTTATTTTGCGAAATTGAAAACCCTGCTCTCTACATATTGGGAGGTAAAGTTCCACAATGTCATGATTATAAATCCATATTTATAGTGCTCCTGTCTCTACAGTAACTTAGTTCTGAAATATCTATTAGAAACTTACTCACATGGTTGAAAAGATTTATTTGGGCTTTGGGTTTCCCAAAACATTTCCATCCTAGCCATGTGGGCCATGTTTCATCCCACAGATAAAATGGAGAGTGTGGACGCTGTCCAGAGTCCTGACCTCAGACTTTCTCGTTCATAATTCTACATGTGAGCCTCATTGAAGATAATCCACCCAGGCCTTCCAACTACCAGGAATCAGCTAATACAAATTTGTATCCCTTGCACCCATCTCTGTCCTCAGCTCCAGGTTTATATATTTTCTGCTTCCTGCATATTTCTATTTGGAAAGCAATTAAAATTCAACATGTCCCAAGCTTTCTTTCACTCGTTCTGTAAATATTTACCTAATGCCTATTTGAGGACAAGAGCCGAGCAAAAATAGAGGTTCACATAAACAAGGTCCTTGACCTCATGCAGTCTTATAGGGAGATTTATAAGCAATTGACTAATTACTAAAAAAAATGATAAATGCAATATTAGTGGAAGCAAAGTTACTGTGAGAGCAAAAGAGAACTGCCTAGGCCAGTGCAGAGCAAGGGAAGTACAAAAATTTCCTAGAGAAAGTCACGTGTTAGTTGAAATCCATAAGGATAAATTAGAGTTGCCCAGAGAGAGTTCCACAAGATTAGAGTCCATCTCTAATTTACTTTCCTATCCCTTAGCAACCAGCTCGACATATGACATCACAGGTATTCAATAAATCTTTGCATAATGAGTAAAAGTATTTTTACAGCAATAGCACTGCCTTTGAGAAAATTACTATTATGGCATAAAGGATCATGGGACAGCTGTCTTTAGTGAATACACACATACACACCTGCAAACACACAATTTAAAACATTTCTATTTCTAAGATTCACTCTAAATTATCAGAGCTTTAATATAAAACCAAAAGGCATGCTCTCACTCTCTCTTACTTTCTCATCACCTTTTAATCCTATTTATATCTGAGACTACCTCCCTGAGGTTTGTTTACTCATCTGAGATATTTCCAGCCTTAAGTTTTGTAAGTTTGGCATTATAATTCTGAAGGACGGAGGCAGATTCTATTTAAGTAGGTTTGTGCTATGCCTGCTTTTTAGTGATATAAGTATTTTTTCCTTGCTTAAAAATGCACAAAACAAATTCAAAGATCTAACAATGTAGAATACTAAGATAAGCTAACATTGAAATAAGAAAGATCTTTTACTTTAATACTCTTAAATATGAGCGTATTTCTTCCTCCAAGAATCTCAAGGCAGTTATCAAGTATATAATTCCAATTGGCTTAAGACCAAGTCGTAAATAAATTTTTCTTACAGAATGGAATTCCATGGTTGATCCATGGAAACTGGTGTGTCTAGTTTCAGGTGCTACATCTATATGGATCTGTTGAGAAAACAGTAACTGCCTTTTTGTTCATTGTCTTCCTAACCCAGGAAACTGGCCTCATACTGAATTTGCATAATTCCCCTACATAGCTCCAGATGGAATAATCAACCCATTGGCACTTTTCCCTTGTTTTCCTGGAAATTTTACTAAAACATTAAATCCCTTCCTGGTTGAGGTTACTATCATTGGAGACAATAAGTATCTATCTATCCCTATTCTATTTCAGAGCTCTCAGACATTTTTATCAGAGTGTATACCTCAGTGCTATAAATGTGAGAGATGTTCAATAAGGGTTAATTTAAAAAATTAACTAATATTTTGGAGTGTTTATTATGTCACAGATACTATAGTTAATGCTTTACATGGTGTGTTAGTTGGGGTTCAGTCAGAGAAGCAGAACCAGTAGGAGACATATACAAAAAGATTTATTGCAAGGAATTGGCTTACATGATTGTGGAGACTGGCTGGACAAGACTGAGCTAAGGCAAGCCATTAGGAAGGGCAGGTGAAAACTCTTGTGGATGAGCCGAAACTGCCGTCCACAGGTGGAATTTCTTCTTCAGGGAAGCCGCTCTTAAGGACTTTCAACTAGTTGAATGACATTATCTAAGATAATCTCCTTTAGTTAAAGTCAACTGACTATAGACTTTAATTGCATCTACAAAATACCTTCACAGAAACACCTAGATTAGTCTTTGATTGAGTAAATGGAAACTTTAACCTGGCCAAATGATATTACCAATGTGTGGTACTTAGTGAAAAGTAGTGTGGTACTTAGTGAAAAGTACTACATATTGGTAATCTAATTTATTTCCAACCACAACTCTTGTGAAGTAGCTTACATTATTATCACATTCATATCACAAATTAGAACAGCATGGCTCAAAAAAGTAACTTACTCAAGATCACAAAACAATTAAGTTAAATACCCATGACTTGAATCCACAGGTCTTATTCCAAAGTCAGGAGATTAACTATTGCATTATACTACTACTAAACAAATGAATAAACTCTTAAAATCCTATTCCTCTAAATCTTACAAAGGGCCTTACATATCTCTTAGAAAAATTACCACCATCTTTGGATTTTTGAGACTGGAATATTCAACATGGTCCCCTGGATAATTTTTTAATACAAAGGGAGAATATAGGAAAGTGGGGAATTTTAATATTAGTCCTTTCTGATAGAAAATGGCTGCTCTTAAATAAGCAGTTTATGTTGACGGTTGCATTCTTGATGACCTGTAATGAAATTAATGCTTTGCTTTTCACTGGGTTACAGTGGTCAGAAATTGGTACCATAAGAGTTTTTTCTACTGTCTCACTTTGCAGGAAACAATATTACTTAATACAGCTAGAATATTATAAGATTTAGATACACTCCACATAAATGAACATGAGCTACATATTACATCAGACTATATATTATCTGTTTTTCAAATGACATAAATTGGAAATTGTTTTTAAGCAAAAAAATGAAATTACTGAAGAAAGAATGATTCTGACATTCAATATCCTGGTGCATCACAGAATCATGATAAGTGATTCTGTGGCAAGAATTCATGGTTTTACGCCTGCTTCTAATTATGGTGGTTAACCTCTATAGGTAGCTATTTTCTTTGCTGTAAGGTGAGAGGGTTTCAGGAAATGATTTATCCCCTTTATGCTGTTCTGGTACCTAAAAATATCTAAAATTTGACAATGAATAGGGGCTATTTTAGTGCCATAGAGTAAAAAGTCATTCTCCTGTGAATTATTTAATGTTTTTACTCCAACCAGTAGATTATACTGATAAGATCTTTATGTTTTAATATACAGTACTGGAGAATATCACCAAATTTCATTAGTGCCATGATGAAGTTAATTTCCAGACTGTAATATTTACTTATTTTGCAAAATTAACAGCTGTTTATTTTTTATTTTTATTTTTATAGATGCAGGTTTGTTACATGGATATGTTGTATAACGGTGAGGTTGGGTTTCTAGTGTACTCATCCCCCAAAGAGTGGACATTATACCTAATAGGTAATTTTTCAGTTTCAGTCCCCTCCCATCCTCCCTGCTTTTGGAGTTCCCAGTGTCTACTGTTTCCCTCTGTATGTCCATTTGTACCTATTGTTTAGTTCCCACTTGTAAATGAGAACATGTGGTACTGATTTTCTGGTTTTATTTCACTTAGGATAATGGCTTCAAGCTCCATCCGTGTTGCTGCAAAAGACATGATTTCATTCTTTTTTATGGCTGCATAGTATCCCATGGTGTATATTTACATTTTCTTTACCCAAGCATTCACTGATAGACACAGGTTGATTCCATATCTTTTCTACTGTGAATAGTGCTGCAATAAACATACAAGTGCAGGTGTCTTCTTGATATAACAATTTATTTTCCTTTGAGTAGATACCCAGTATTGGGATTGCTGGGTCGAATGGTAGTTCTGTTTATAGCTCTTTGAGAAATCCCTATACTATTTTCCACAGGGGTTGTGCTAATTTACATTCCCACCAATTGTGTATAAGCATTCCCTTTTCTCGGCAACCTCACCAACATCTGTTATTTTTTGACTTTTTAATAATAGTCATTCTGACTGGTGTGAGACTATCTCATTGTGCTGTTAATTTCCATTTCTCTGATGATTAGCAATGGTGAGCATTTTTCATGTGTTTGTTGGCCACTTGTATGTCTTCGTTTGAGAAATGTCTGCTCATGTCCTTTGCCCGGTTTTTAATGCTTTTTTTTTTCTTGTTGATTGGAGTTCCTTATCGATTATGGATATTAGTCCTTTTTCAGATGCATAGCTAGCAAATATTTTCTCCCATTCTGAAGGTTGTCTGTTTACTCTGTTTATTATTTTGCTGTGCAGAAGCTCCTTAGTTTAATTAAGCAGGATTCCAGTATTTAGAGTATGAACCGATTTTGCTGAATGGGGCTTCAGTAACGACCACCATGGACAGCGACTTCCCCTCCCAGCTCTCCCAAGAAGCATTTTCACTAGCCAGGTAGAAAAGCTGACAGAGAATTAGATTTCCATCATTCTCTAGAGGTAGTGCAGACACAAAACATCCCAAATGACTCTAGAGTGCAGAGGACTGGACATGATGAAAAAGTGATTTACACCTCCTTTCCAAATAGCCTGTAGTTCACTGCCAAGAAATGACAGCTCTTTGAGATTGCCCAATATTGTTATCAGAGAACAATATCCACAAGAGAATGATGACCTGGAAAATGTCATTCTTCGGTCACTCTCATGATTGGGAAACCAAGAAAACACTTACTTTACCTCAAGTCACAGGTGTCTGGATTGCAGAGTAAGACACAGAACTAAATAGCCTCACTTCCAAACCCATTGAAAGTTTGCTAATGTCATAAACAAAGATAGTCAAACATGCCTCCATCAAGTAATCAGGTCCCATTTATCAAAGAGTACACCAGTCAAGATGCAGGTCTTTTTTATTTTACATGTTACATGTATAGCAAGTGAATTAGACATCTAGTCTGAGCTTATGTCCTGGCCCTGCCGCTTGCTAAAAGGGCGGTTTCAGGTATACTATTATCCTGACCCTCACAGAAGCAGACAGTGGCACAAAGGTGGACAAAACAGAGGGCATTTAGAGTTTCCTGTTTAAGGAAAAGAATGTTCTTCCAAAACTACCAGTTGCAGATCTAAGCCTTTTTTTTAATCTGTAAAGTGAGGATAATATAATGAAACCTTCATAGAGTTGTAAGAATTAAATGAGATAATGCACAGATGCCTGGAAAATCGTAAGTGCTCAGTAAATGTTACCTATTATTTAATAATTCATTCATATTTCTATTTTAGAGCCTGAATGTTGCAGTTGGTCAAAATCTTCATTTGCTTTGCTTTCAAGGCAGTAAATGCCTAGCCTTAAAGTTTAGCAAGTGAATGTCTCCTGAACAACAGGGTTGATTATTAGTACTGCTGGAAGTTCCTCATAATGTTAACCATTTCTTTATACTTTTACTTAAAGTACCGCCATTCCAACCTATTCATAGACCATTGGGTTGGTATTACCTTGTTTTAAGACACTGATTCTTCTCTGTGGGAATCTGCGGTTGTTACCCCAGACTAAGTGAGCAACTCACACTTACGGATGGAACTTGTAAGCAACAAAGAACTGAAGCCTGTGGGTTACCTGACATGCTCATTAAAATGTTGTGGTATTAAGCAGCCTGTAAGCCACAAGTTATTTTTATTTATTTATGGCAAGGGGAAAAAAATGGGATTTTAAACATGAGAGAAAAGCCTTGTCATTTAAGGTCGGATTTAATTGGCATAATTTTTGGGGGGAAAAACAAACAAACAAAAACACAAAACCTTTGCCAAAGTAAATTTCCACAACTGTTGGTAGTAGTACAATGGTAACTTTGGTGGAAACCGGAGGCAGGAGTGAGGAGTATTTGAACCTTATCAAAATCTCACCCGTGACCCTCCAAGTCTACTGGAGGCCGATCATACCCGCTCTGAGAACAGCTGGAACGCAAGTCCCACAGGAGAGGGCCACCGGCGCACACAAGTTGAGGACTGCCGAGGCGTCTCCTGCGAGGTAAACACGAAGTCGCTTGGTTAGTGAGAAGAAACCCGAGGTGGCCTCTGGGGCAGACAGAGCAGGACCTGCTTCTGCCCCTTGCCCTCCTCGTCCTCCTCTCTCCAGCGGCGGCGACCGCAGTAACAGCGGCAGTGGCGGCTGCTGCCACTGCTCTGCCGCTGCCGAGCCGGTCACCTGGGCACCCGCGGAGCCGCGCCGCTGCTACCGCCCCGGCGGCCTCCCGGAGTGCGCGGAGGGGGCGGCGGAGGAGCGAGATATCCATAGTAACCGAGGATGCGAGGGGCGCCCAGCAGCAGCGAGTGCCTGGGAGCCAGGAGGAGGCCCCCGCGCGCCGGCAACCCCCAGTGCTAGGCGCCCTGCAGCCCCCGCGCGCCGCGCCTGGGCCCGCATCGCTCTCGCAGTGAGGGTCCGCCCGAGCGGTAAGCCCTCCCCGGCGGCCAAGCCGACACCTCCCCCCCGCCTCGCCGCCCACCCCGGGCAGCAGCCGCGGAACAATGGAGAGCGCAGCCAGCAGCCCTGGAGACGGCGTTCGGGGGAGGACGCGCCGCCGCCGCCGCCGCTGCCGCCAGGGCAGGCGCGCGCCGCGTGGAGCCGGGCGGGTGCGAGGGCGCGCGGCGGGGGGTGGGGGGCACGCGCCGCGCGGGGGGCGGGGGCAGTGGGGGGCGCGCGCGCGGGCCCGGGGAGCTCGCGGGGAGAGCCCGGCGCTCGGCGCAGCGCGGCGCGGCCAAGCTCCGCGCCTCTCCCGCCCTTCCTCGGCGCGCTCGCCCTCGCCTCGCCGCTCGCATTCGCTGGGGGCGCCCAGAAAGATGCACAGAGGCAACGGCTAGGGGAGCGGAGGTTCAAGCCACATGTCTGCGTCCTCGGGGGCCAGAGCCCGCCAGCCCTCGCGGATCCCGGCTCGCGGCCAGCCCGAGCGGCTCGGGTGAGTAGCGGCACAGCGGCCCCCTCGCTCCGCGGCCCCCGCTCGCCGAGACGTGGCTCCAAGAAGTGGTGCCGCAGCCGGGGCAGAGGCGGAGGAAGCCGAGTCGGGCAAGCCGGGAAGGCTGCGGAGACGCTTTGCCGGGGCAGGTGTTGCAGCCTCAGCTAGCGGTCTCTACGGAGGGGGCGGGAGGGGGGCTTTTTTTTTCAAACCTGTTCTGGTTATCGATTCCCCCACCACCCCCGGGTTAAGCGCATTTTCCATTTCCTTTCCTCATTCTTGGGGTTCCGAGGAGTTTGAGGAGGTAAATTGCTGGGTGTCTCTCCAAATGGTTTGACTTTAACAGTGTATATTTTCCAAAGGTCGTTTGTCTTTAATATTAAAAAGCCATGCCAAGTCCACGTAATTTCCAGGTGCGCTGTGCATCGCCTTTAAGGAATAGCAGGAAGAATAGAAGCTGGCAAGGTTGGTGTGGAGTGTGCTCCCTCTCTCTTCCCTCGTATTTCTTTCTACATTGATTAATTAGAGGGGGACGTGGGCATGGACTTTCCAATGTTAAGCCTTGGAGAGCAGGAGCAGAGCAGCAGAGACTGCGATTTGCTGCTTCGGTGAAGGTCGGGTCAGTGTTTCCAGCGAAATTCCAATTTGCGTGCTTGTAACTTGGATGTGATTTTACTCCAGGTTACAACTTGCCAAAAGCCAAACAAGGTCCTGTGTTTATCAGGATGCTGCCATCGCCCCGTATTTATTTGTTTATTTTTCCTCCAAGAAAACCAGCCGTTTATAAACAGCCCCTAAAACAAATGGACAGCTCAGGAAGGTTTCGCGTTTTCAGAGACTGGCCAGGAAGGCGAGTCCTCGCTGCATTTCTCCTCTCTGAGCAACTGAGGTGTGAGTTTGAGAAGACTTGAAATTCAGTCGCGGTGCTGCTTATGTGCGCCGGGCACGTTGGATCAGTAGATTAGAGACACGGGAACTTTGGAATTGCTTGATGATTCTTAGACACTTATAAGGATACTTGCTCTGTGGACTCCTGCATCTGGAAAGGGAAAACTACAGGAAATAGTGTTGGAATGGCAACATGAGGAATTTAGGTACAACCTAAGACTTTTCTGAAGGTTTGCACAAGTTACTAAGAGAGTCTAGTTCTCTTCTTTGGGGTGGGCTCACGTTAAAGTTAGAAGTCAGAAGGAAGAGAGGAAAGATTAGAAAACCTCTCAGAGGTTTCTTCCAAATCTGTATTCCTTGTACTCCGCAGATGAGCTCGTGCAAGGGGATGCCGCTGGTATCTGGGTTATTCGAGTCCGTAATGTTGACGGCTCTGTGATAAAATAGGCTATAATGAGTAGTGCTGGCATTATGCCACCGGAAAGGCTTCCTCAGAAGTGTTTCATTCTGTCGTTGTCTATCCTGAGTAGTGCTGGGTGTGTTAGCAGTGATTCTCTTGGACTCAGATAGAGAAGAAAGGAGTAACGAATACAAATGAAATTAAAACAGATGCATGCTGCCTGGGAGACTTGATGCCAGTGTCATACAAAAACATTGTTACAAATATTTTTTAAAAAAACCTTCAGAATGCAGGGGGAAATATGATGTTGGGGGGCAAAATAGTGAAGTATCAGTGCTCCTTGTTCAAGGATGGAAACCTTGTCCTGCAGTTGCCAAACTTAATGTTACTGCATTGGAGTTACTTTGCTTGGTGCAGTTTGGCACCTTGAGTAGAAGCAATATTTTTTTCTTAAGCCATGACAGTAGAGTGACAATAGATTCATGTGTAGAAACGGGAGACAACCATACTGTTACAGTTTCCCTAATGGGGGCCAGAAGGAGAAAACAGTGTTTTGCCTCTACCTGGAGATCAAATCTCCATTAAAATAATTTTGAAATATAGATACAGCATGGTGTATTATTTAATATGATATTTTGGGATAACTAGTTTTTAAAAATAAAACTGCATAAGTGCACTTATTTGTCAGCAGTTTAAAGTGATAATCTCTGAATAGTTACTAACAACATAAAAGTTTGCAAGTTTAGCCAAATTTCTATACATGAATCGAATTCTGATGCATTTCTTGTCTATTAATTTACTGCATATGATTACCTTTGGTCAGAAATGTTTAGGGGATCACTTCCTTTAAGATAGCGGTACTATATTTGTTTAAAGTTAGTCTACATATTCGAAATAGGGTATAAATTGACAGAGTACATTGTGGGGGAAGCCATTCCTAATAATCGTTTATGATGTTATTATTCTATTTTAAATGTTGGCAGATGTTTTCCAGTTTGTTATCAAGCCATTCTCATTGCACCATTCATTGAATAAGCATATTTGAGCACCGTGTGTTTCGAAGTAGGTTTATCCTTTCTCTAAATGAAAGGCAGACATGTTCTCAAAATCTTATATTGAAATAAATGCTGTGGCATTGACAGTGTTTATAGCATTGGCACATTCTGTAGAAACACCAAGGAGAGTTTATTGATGCCCTCATTTCTGACCAGATGCTGGCATCAACATATGTCATAGTAATATCCATCAAACCAATAAATGTCCTGAGAGGAATGAACAATTAGCAAAATTAATTAGAAGATCTGCTTGATTAAAGTCATTAACGATCATGAGTAAAACATTTGTATTTGTATAGGTGTGTTTGGTTTTTACACATTTTGGATTTTATAGCAGTAACTTAGACTTGGTTAATATTTACAAGTGCTAGTAATCAAACTATAACATCTTCCATGGACCACCAGTAATTAACAGAAGTGTGAATAGGCTCCAGTTGACTACCCATTTTTTTCCTTCTGTGGGCAATAGCCAACAACAAAGCATAAGTGTTTGCTATTTAATTTAATAGCAGTATATATCAATAAACTGAAAAAAAGTATGCATATTTGAGTGAATATGCATTGAGTGAAACATTACATTGGCTATTATATGTAATGTTTTTACTCTTGTATATGTATTTGGTTGCCTTAAAATGGTTGTTTTCAAAGTGCAGTGCTGTCAATATATTTAGTAATTTGCTTGAGAAAGAACATTTACGTGAATGCATTTATCTTCCCACATAACTGTCAATAATGCATTGTTCCAGAAATTATTTTTATGTAGATGTAATTTTTATGCAAAAATTAACCTTTCTTATAATTCCAGTGTGAAATGAAAACCATTCCTGTTCATCTGATTTTTTCTCTATCTTCATGGAATCATGAGATGATTTTTTAGAAGTCAAATATATGATTAAGCTGAGTTCTTTTTTTTTTCTTTAAAAAATTGTGAGAATATATTGGCTTGTTTAGATGAATATCAAAAATTAATTCTCTAAAAATCTTTATGTTTGGCCAATATTTCTCAGTGTTGGTATTCACACAGCAAAGATGTACTGGTGGTTTTCTCATATGGAAATAGGAAATGCAGAGAATATCAGAACAAAACTTGAACCAGCAGAAGCAAAAGTGCAAGTTCTAATCTTCTCTGTTACTAAATTCTTTATAGTGTGTTTGTTTTTTGGGTAAATCTCAAAACAATTTTTCTGTAAATGACTTGAATGGATTCATCTCTTTAGTGTTTGGAATTAATGTACTAAACTGAAACTACTAACCTCAGAGGATAAGCCACAAGAACATTCTCTGGGAAATCAGGGACTACATTGAGATTTTCCTAGATACGCAACTTTACCATATTCTATCACCTCTGTCACTACAGACAGCAGCCTCTGAGACACATGGGAAGACTGCGTTGGACTCATTAGGTGCCTCCAAGGCTGCTTGGCCATATATTTGGAGGGTGCTTGATTCTGTAGCTCTAGTAACATGGGACGGGGCTAGGTTTTGTGGCCATTTTAAGACCAACACTCTTTTCTTGGCAAGAGAACATTGTATTTTAAGAATATTTGAGCATTCAGTCATTTTCAAAGTATAGTTCAATTAGAATAATGTTTGTAACTATATGTTTTATTATCTGTTTTTGGTTTTAGTTAAGGCTTGAGAATGACTTGCACGTAGTTGTAACTGCAACAAGTGGTATGTTTTGTGTTGTGTAACGTTCATAAAAGTCTCATTTCCCTATGTTTAGACATCAAGACCATGTTGTAGTTATTTTTCTAGAAATATAAAATGTAACTGTAAAAATAAGCCAGTTCTCTTTATCTTCATGATTCATTTCTCCAGAAAAGACTTGCAGACCATATGCAGTATCTCTTGGCTCTTAATATATATATTTTTTTCTGTCTTAACTGTCAACTTAGTATGAAAATAATTGGTTCAAATTGTTTTCTTGCACTATAGCTTTACTCCAGAATGGAAGGTTGGCATTGTCTCTTCAATATCTCTTATGGGGTTGGTTGGTACTCCTGATATGAATGATGCTATTTATTTCACCCTACTGGTAGATTAGTCATAAAAACTCACTCCAAACCAAATTTGGGACAAAGCCTCAAATTAGATAATATATAGTCTCTTAAATTTCAGCGTTATTTACAAACTGGCCCTCCCTCCATTTACCCACCCAGAGCTACTCTAGACAGGAACCAAGCTGTCTTGGAAGATAACATTTCCTAGTAGCTAGCAGGAGGAAGTCGTCTTCCCTGTCTTCTTCTGATCATTCATCACTAATTTCTTCTTTCCTCTCGTTCGCTGCTCTTATCTCAGATATCTTTCCAATCACACGTCCTCTTTAATTCCTTTCCTTCTGAGCCCCTCTCTTCCTAATACCTCCCAGAAACTCGTTCCTCTTTTACATTTTTGACACAAACAGTGACTCAAGTAATGACAGGTAAGCATTCACAAAACATACCACCTGTTGCAGTTACAACTACGTGCAAGTCATTCCCAAGCTTTAACTAAAACCAAAAACAGATAATAAAACTCATAGTTACAAACATTATTCTAATTTAATGGTCTGTTATCAAAGGAGCCAAAAGCTACACATTTTTGGATGAAGTTATACACAATAAAAAACCAGAAACTTCTGCAGCTCTTAAAAATGCCCTGAAGCCAAGTGTGGTGGCTCACGCCTATAATCCCAGCACTTTAGATGCTGAGGCAGGTGGATCACTTGAGCCCCGGAGTTTGAAACCAGTCTTGGCAACATGGTGAAACCAGTCTGTACAAAAAATACAAAGATTAACCGGATGTGGTGGCGGGTGCCTGTAATCTCAGCTACTCAGGAGGCTGAGGCAGGAGAATCGCTTGAGCCCGGGAGGTGGAGGTTGCAGTGAGCCGAGATAGTGCCATTGTACTCCAGCCTGGGCAACAGGAGTGAAACACTGTCTCAAAAAAAAAAAAAATAAAAAAGGTTCTGACGTTCCCTTCAGAATATTCACAAAAGTCTTCACCAATATGAGAGAGAAATAATAGTCATAGTTTGTTCATATTTAGATCAGTTGAAATGTTTCTTTTTAATTTCCTATTTTCCCAGTGATAATTCATCATGTTGATTTTCTAGCATTTTTGTTGCAGATATACAGAAGTTTAACTCATTATGGGTCCAGTAGACTTTGTGAGCTAGGCTTGATATTGAATTTGTACTGTGACTCATTTTAAAGAACATGCATTCTGAATTCTAAACAACTGACTTAAAAGACAGCTTTGCAAACACAAGCCTTTTTAAGCTGAGAAACAATCTCTGTGTGTATCCATTGAGTGGAGAAATATTTATTAAGTGTCTGCTATCTTCTGGGCACATTCTTTGAGCAGGAGATATAATGATGAACAAGATAGACAAGGTCCTAGTTTTCTAGAGCAGATATTTAGTGGGAGAGGATTGATACAAAGGAAGTAAATAAATAAATGGAGAAGATCATTTCAGATGGTGATAAAGGCCATGAAGGCCATCCAGCAGGGTGAAGCACTGGAGAGGGAGATGGAGGGAGAAATTAGAAAATTTGGGGGTATCCCTGAGAAGGTGGCCCTCCAACAGAGACCTGAATAGAAGGAACCAGCTATACGGAGATGCTGGAGAAAGAACACCCCAGGCTAGGGGAACAGCTCATGGAATATCTGTCAGGGGGAACAAGTGCAGTGTGTGGGGGACAGAGAGCAGTCCAGCGTGACTGAATCCCGGTCAGCTCAGGTCAGCCTTGCTGGTCGTGGCAAAGAGTTTGGGTTTTATTCTAAAGACAATATGAAGCAGCTGGGGAATGTAAAGCAGAGGTGTGATCCTTTTACATTTGAGGAGCACACCCTGGCTGCTGTGTAAAGACTGGGTAATACCAGGGCTAGGATGGACACAGGTGGGACCACACAGAAGACTATGAGAGTAGTCCAGGTGAGAAATAATAGTGACTTGGCTGGAAGAAGAAAAAGGGAGAGATGTGGAATGATTCAGAATATCAAATTTTGGAAAACATTTTTGAAATTTTAAAAACACAGGAAAATACAAAGTACAAAATAACAGTTCCCTATAGTTCTCACCATCCAAAATAATATCTGTTACTATCTTGGCATTTGAAGGAAAAAAGTCATTGTATTATTTTTGAAATATTTGTTATATGATCACAATAAATAATTCAGACAATGCATGTAATACAAAGATTAAATTTTTTAATTACCCCAAATACCACTGCCCAGAAATAACCACCTTTAGCAGTAGACTTATATCATTTAAGGCATCTTTCTATAAATATGTGCAAAGGGATTGATACATGACTGTGCGGATAGAAAGAAAGACTTTATAACTGTGGAGTCATAATGCTGATGCTATTTTTAAATAAAAATTATTAAAATTTATTTTATTGGTGGATCATGCCCGTAATCCTAGCACTTTGGGAGGCTGAGGCCGGTGGAGAGCTTGAGGCCAGAAGTTCAAGACCAGTCTGGCCAACACGGCCAAATCCTGTCTCTACTAAAAATATTTTTTAAAAATTAGCTGAGTGTGGTGGCACACACCTGTAATCCCAACTACTCAGGAGGCTGAGGCATGAGAATCTCATGAACCCAGGAGACAGAGGTTGCAGTGAGCCAAGATCGCACCACTACACTCCAGCCTGGGAGACAGAGTGAGACTGTCTCAAAAAAAAAATGGTTTTATTGTATTTAACAGCAGAAAAAAAATAAAGAAAAACTAAATAATTGTTGAACTTCCAATAAGTGTCTCCTTATTATGGGAGTTATTATTTTCCCTTATGGTTAAGAAAAAATACGATGAAAAATGTTAAGAGGTTTGATCAGGAGTGGATCAAGATTTCTGTGGGAAGGTTATATAATTTGGGGGCCCTCTTTAAGAAAATGGAGTATTTTTACAAATTTTACAAAAATATGACAATATGAATGCACTGCTGTGACCCCTTCCAGGGCATGGGAAAACGCAAATCACCTGTGTAGATAAAAAACCTTGGAACTTAAGCTTCCTTAGCGTTAACAGTAAATCCACCTCAGAGTTGGAATCACATTTTTAAGCTGCATATTCCAGTTTTAAACACATCAGATTGGTTCCTTGCTTTGAAAGGTAATGCTTTTGCCCATCCTCTCCTCAGCTAACAATTTTAACTAATTTATATTGCCTGTGTTTATAATATTTACTTTCTATTCTGTAATCATAATTACTATGGTTATTTAGTATAAATTCCTATGTTCAAATGGATCCATTGCCTCCCAGCCCTTTAGTATATCTTCTTCATTCTGACTGAGTTCTTTGATTCATCACTGAATTGCCTAGATTTCATTGCCAACTGCTTTTTGTTTCTTTTTTTCGAGAAAGACCCATGGATTCTGCATTTGTGAGTTTTTTGTTTTGTTTTATTTTGTTTTGTTTTTTGGAGAACGTCTTCCTATTGCTTTTGTAGTCGAACAATATATCATGGCCGAACGTTGTATTCTTATGTCATGTATTCTTTCCATTATAATTTTGCAGCTATTACTTCATTGTTTAATAGCATTGAATATCTCTGTATAGTCTGAGGCCACCCTTTGTAGGTGATTTTTTTTCTGCCTTTATCCCAAGGAATTCTTTCTTTATCCACATAGCTTAATAACATAGCTAAGATATGTGGAGGTGTTGGATGGTCTGCTTAAGAATTTTCCACAATATGATGTGTTATTTAGATCAGATACTGTATCATATCTTTGAAAACACCTTTTATTCTACTTACATTGTTACCTACTTCAGGAACATCACTTATCCTTATTTTGGATCATCTTTCATCTCTTCCATATCTATTAGTTTATCATTTGATGAAAATCTGTTGTCATTTTCATCTCCATTCATGGTACATGAGTCCTTTCTTCTGTGTCAGTAATTCAACTATCAGAAGTGTCTCCATTCATGGTACCTGGGTCCTTTCTTCTGTGTCAGTAATTCAACTATCAGAAGTGTCTACTCTGCTTCTGATGTTCTGATTTGTTTATTGATTCTAAAATTATGATCTTTAGTCCTTAATTTGCTTCCTTAGGTCCACAATATCCTTTTTCATCTCATTCAGATTTCTTCATTATTCTGTCTTTAAACTTCAATTTTCATTGAACTCGTTATTCTACAGTAGGAAGTTTGTGTGAGGATTTCTTTCTGTTTATTTGAATAAAATTCTAGATTTAGTTCCTATATGCTGTGATACTTTCATTTTATATTTTTTCTTCACTTTGTTGCTCTCTCTCTCTCCCTCCCTCCCTCTTTCCTTCCTCTCTTTTCCCTCCTCCTGCCTCCCTCCCTTAGAATGCTTGCATATCTGCCGTGCTATTTCTTTTCATCTTGCTGGTGCCTGGGCAGCTTTCCCCAGACATAGTGTGAGTAACTTCTTAAATTTCTTCCCACCTTCTTGGAGACCAGTTTGCTTCCTCTTTGAGCTATGTTTTATTGCTTGGATCTATCCACTTTTCTGCAACCTAAAGAAATTGCAGAGGGAGGTAGACAGCTCAGCTCAACTCAAGCTGTATGCAATCTTTGTTAGATTTCCTGGGCCGTGCTTCCTTAACTTGTGTTAAATGTCTCCATTATCAGCCTTTATTTCACCAAATTGACGGGGCGGGCAAGGGGGGTGGTGGAGGGAGAGATACCAAGGATAGCCTTTTTATAATTAACTAAAGGGTTCCATAAGAGCTAGTAGCTATCCTCGAGATAATCTGGGGCTTGATGGGTTTCCCCAAAATAGTGGGCAGCCCTGGAGTGTTCACTTCTGTTGAATCAGCCCTTTGATCTTCTTCTTTCATTGCACATGTTCCTATTACTCCTTAGTAGTAAAAGGAAACATAAGGATGTTCACTGAATGTGTTTTTCTCTAAATTTAGAATTATTAGCAAAAAGTCTCAGAATTTTGTTTACCTCTCTAGGGTTGAACACAGGGTTAAGAACCAAGGAACACTGTGTCTCTTTAGCCTGTTCCAGAATCTTCTCTTTCCTTGGCTGCCAGTTTTGAAGTTTATTATAGTTGTTAATGTTCCTTTCCTTGAGTGGTTACTGTTGGAACTTCTTTTTTTCATTTTACTAATGTTTACTCTTTTTTTCTCCTTTGGTTAGATATTGAGGAAGGGAAGTTCTGTGAAGCAGTTTAAATTTTCCATCTTAAATCAGATTCTGGAATGTATATTTTAGAGATGGAACCTAGAGATCTTGCTAATGAATTAATGTGAAAGATGAGAAAAAGGGAGGAGTTATGAATGACTTCTAAATTTGGGGCCTGTGCAACTGAGTGGATGATGAACAGATTAGGCTACTAGTGAAAGAAGGAAGCAAGAGTTTTTTTGTGGTATTTTAAGTTTGAGAAACTTGACATCCACATGGAATTGTCAAGCAGATCATTGGGTCTACTAGTCTGGAACTCAGGGGAAAGATCAGGATGCTAGATACACATCTGAGAGACTCCCCAAATAGATAGTTTCTTTTTTTTTTTTTTTTTTTTGAGACGGAGTCTCGCTCTGTCGCCCAGGTCGGACTGCGGACTGCAGTGGCGCAATCTCAGCTCACTGCAAGCTCCGCTTCCCGGGTTCACGCCATTCTCCTGCCTCAGCCTCCCGAGTAGCTGGGACTACAGGCGCCCGCCACCGCGCCCGGCTAATTTTTTGTATTTTTAGTAGAGACGGGGTTTCACCTTGTTAGCCAGGATGGTCTCGATCTCCTGACCTCATGATCCACCCGCCTCGGCCTCCCAAAGTGCTGGGATTACAGGCGTGAGCCACCGCGCCCGGCCCCCAAATAGATAGTTTCTAAAGCCACGTGCCTAGATGAGACCAGCTAGGGAGAGAGAATGTAAATACAGAGAAGCATATGATGAATATATACTAATCAAGATCAAGAAGTACATATGTATGAACTCTTTAGGCTCAGAGTAAACTTTTCTTAATCCAACAAATGTCTGAAATCTTTCAGTACAAACGTATCAGGTTATATGTATGTAAAGTTAATGTTATAAAAATAAAAATAACAGGTTAATGGTTGATATGAATTAGTGAAAATGTAACTCAGAGAAAATATTTAAAGATGGGAAAGTTTATACATCTTGGTCTATACACTAACACTAGTAAAGTGTTTCCTTTGGGATACCATTTTGACTTGCGTTTAGCTATTAGCCTGTAAATGATATATATTTGAAGGTGATACAGATTTGATTTTAAACAAATAACTATAAATTACTAGTTATGAAGACTCAATTTTTTCTGCTTTTAATGTGAATCTACGTATACATCTTCATTTAATACACACCTTTATCATTAAAATACAGCTTTGGCTCATAGAAGATGTACATGGTGCATCTTAAAACAGTGCTTTATTTTGAGGTAATGTGCTTAGTGAAAAGAACATTGTTCTGGAAACGAAAAAACAGATTCTAGATCCAATACTTCTAATAATAATTACACTAATAAAAAATAACAATATCAAACACATATAATCCTTCTGGTGTGGCAAGCACTGTTCTATGCACTTTATATATATTTACTTTTATAAGAAGTTATATCGTTGCACAACTTCCAACTACTCAATCTCTCTGGGCTTTCGGCTCCTAATTTGTAAAGCCAACCTTCCCTTTAACTTTTCAGCATAATTTATCTTAAATTGTAAAGTTTTATCAAGAAACTTAATTCCATGCAATAATTTGAAGAGCTTTCTTGAATTGTGTCCCTGCATTGTAAGTGACTATGAATAAAAGCATCGTACATTAAATCAACAGAGGAATGCCATGTAAGCTATGGGGTTTGGATTCCTGTGAAGCCTTCATCAAGCACAGCTCTGTCTGTTCACAAAACAGTCTCTGTTTGTTGCAATGATGAGTGGTTTCCTTACTCTCATGTGACCATCGTCATATGGGCTCTGACCAGTCAGCCTTCATCACACACCAGAAAGAATTACTTTCAGATTGAGGCCTGAAGACTGGCCATATGCTGAATTTTGGACCTCAGAAGTGAAATTTTATAATTGCCCTAATCCCCTATTGCTTTTTAAGAGAGATTTTATGCACAATCTTGGAATCCAGATTTTTAGCAAAATTGAAACAGAACTTAAGCCAGATTCCTCCAGATGTTATAAAATTAATACATTAAGCTGTTATATGAAATATAAGAAATAATTTGGGATCCCTTGCAGTGAACTAATTACTCAGAACAGTTTTATTGTATTTAAACAAGTAAGCATCACCCTTTCAATAAATAGACTCAGTACAGAAGATCTGGTTGAAATTCCTTTGTCTGTGAAAGAGTACAAATAAAAAATTAATAATAACAGTGGTCTTTTAAAAATACACTCTAAAGAACGTTGTTGTTTGTGACAAGCTGAAATAATAGATTTAAATCTTTACAGTTTTCATTACTGCATGGTATTTCAAAACCAAGGCCATAAATGCATCTAAAATCGTTAGCTGTTGTATCTTAATATACATTTTGGCTTCATTAACATCTTAATGTGGAGTTTTATGATCATTCTCTTTACCTAAATAATAAGGAATTTTTTTTTTTTTTTGCAGTATGGCAGTTACTTGCCCAGTTGCTAGGTAACAAGGCAGAGATCTCTACAGCTTTATCTGAACATGCAGCAGATGATTTTTTAGTGACAATTATTTATATCCAATATATTAAAGCATGCCACATTGATAGTGATTAAACAAACTGTTGATTTACTTACTGTGCATTCTTGAGAAAGTACACAGTAAATCACAAAGCTAGTTTTTGTCTTTTTAAAAAGCAGTTATTAATCTTTGCCACTAAGATGATCATTTTTCTAGCAAAGCAGCAATAGCTAGATTGTTTATTTGATAATCTTTGCAACTGGCTGATCATAATCAAAAGCATTGCGATACCTTTCTGACTAATTATACTGCACATCTTCTGGAAATGGATATTTTGTCCTCTTTGGTGTCTATGTAAATGTTATAAAAGTTTGATTTTTTTGAAAATTGTTTTTACTCTTTGTATCACTTATTGTTTCTAATACGGTGATTGTTCAAGCACTGTAGCCCTGTATCTGAAAGTAGCACTTGGTGTAGAAGACATTCTTGTTTAAAAACATTGGCAGAATTTATCGTTTTGTTTGTTTTTTGTTTTTTTCTTGTCTTTTGGTACAGAACTGAAAAAATCACAGTAGTATGTCACCAATGTTATGTAATCAGCAATGGTATCTCTTGTTACAGATTTTTAAACAGAAGTTATTATTAAAGAAAAGATCTGCAGCTTTAAGTATTATAACAGTGAATTTCCATAGTAAGAAAAGGCAAAAATATCTCTTTCTACTGATTCTGGAGTTTTTCCATAATATTTGCCTTACATGAGATAGATTCATTTGCTTCAGTGCTTCTTCATATATGCCAAGAAACATGTGAAGTATATACTTATTCCATATTAATTTACCTCCTGTCACTTACACTGGTAAATCTAGATCATTATTAGACTTTATGCATTAAATTAGTATTTATTTGTCACAGTCTTTTTAAAATAAAAGGTCAAATGGTGTTTTATACTGTAATAGGAAAAAGTGTTGAATATGGCATTTTTGTGGTAGAATGGCTGCGATTAGTCTACAATTAGAAATTATGGTACAATTTCCTTTATAACATAAGAAATATCACAATATATAATATTAGCATTCAGGTTAGTCTTAAAATATTGAGTTTATAGGACAATAGCATAAGAAAAATCTTGGATAATATTTGTTCAGAAACTATTTTTTGATGACAGCAGAAAGAATAACATTCTGTGGAATCAAAAAACAGGCACAAAGATGAGTTATTACCTGTCTCTACAAGAGTGAATGCAAGATAATCCTGTCATTACAAGTCAGCATACCAGGAAGCCAATTTATATAGAAAACAGTTTAATATGGAAAATTGCACTTTAATAATACCCACTAATTAAATGCCTCATTCAATAAAATATAGCTCTTGCTACCTGGAAAGCTATAAAAGCCACCTGGAATGATTGATTACTCTGAATTTCTATAGTCTTGAGTAAACCACAGGCAAGGCCTATATTTTATTGACTATGGACTGAAGGACTGAGCAATTTATAAGACAGTTTAACAATAATTTATTTATACTACAGTGTTCAGTTATCAATGTGGCATTTAAATACCAAATATAAAATGGAAATTAGCTCTTTGGGGGTTTTCTCCACTTTCCATACTATTTTCCATATTATTTGCAGTGATATACGTGTTTGCCTAATTTTTAAAAAATATACTGCTATTCAAATCATCATTCATTAAAAAATTTTTTTTAAAAAAAACTTTCCAAGCAGGGAATTAAAGCAGTGTCTGTTTGCCATTCAAAATTTTTTTTCGGTTTGTAATTTAGAATTTACTGCAAGATTTCATTAGGGTCTTTCTCTCTCTCCTTCCAGTAATTATGGGGGTTGGGGAGCAACTGTATTTATACAAAGCTTTTTAGGAACCTACCCATCTTGTTGTTGTTGTTGTTGTTGTTTTATTTTTTATTTTTATTTATTTTTATTTTTTTGAGACGGAGTCTCGCTGTGTCGCCCAGGCTGGAGTGCAGTGGCGCGATCTCGGCTCACTGCAAGCTCCGCCTTCCGGGTTCACGCCATTCTCCTGCCTCAGTCTCCTGAGTAGCTGGGACTACAGGCGCCCGCCACCACGCCCAGCTAACTTTTTTTGTATTTTTAGTAGAGATGGGGTTTCACCATGTTAGCCAGGATGGTCTCGATCTCCTGACCTTGTGATCCACCCGCCTCGGCCTCCCAAAGTGCTGGGATTACAGGCATGAGCCACCGTGCCCGGCCAGAAACCTACCCATCTTGTAAAGCTGGGTATACTTATGCATTCCAGTTAAGTTTGATTTATATTTTTATTCCTGATTGGCATATTGTTACCAAAACCCAGTTCCATATCAGTGCTACCTTCCTTTTTATCAGCACTCTTATTTTAGTCACTTGTTATTTGAACAGACTTTCATCATCACGTGTCTTTTGTTGTTGCTAAATTATTTTAATGAATATTTGTTTTCCTCTTGATACCTGAGCCTGTCTCCTGTAGAGAAACTTGGTAATCCTAAATATGAGCTGTTATTGTATCACTTTTAGTATTTACTGACTTAAAAAAGGGCTCTGTCGCCATGGGAGATAAAACTTTCAGGATTGATTTTGTAGCTTTCCGAAGGTTAGCACCCTAGTGGATATGAAGAATACATTCTTCAAAGCATTGGAGATAGTTCTGTTTTGTATCATTAATATGTGTTTTATACTTTTTTTAATCATTACTTTTCCTACTGTGCAAAGGAAGAGGAAAAACAAAGAATCTCAGTAATCAACTCCTTTTTTGTTTATTCAAGTGTCATGGAAATCTTGGCTGATGGTGAGGGTAATATTTAATCATTTCAAAAGCAAATGTCATTTCTGGTTGGAAAAAATTATTCTAATCATATGTGTGCATGTGTGTGTGTCCTATGTACATCAATATGAAGATTCCAAGAGAATTTATTTGTCCAATATTCAGGGTGACTGAAAGCCTAAATATAATTATCTGTACTATGTGGTATTTTATTTAAACATTATCTTTGTGGCACTTTGTCTCAGAAGACTTGCAGACACTGTCAAAGAATTTTCAACGAAGGTTTCTCAAATGCCACAAAAACGTAAGAGGAATAGGAATTGATATTGGAGGAGAGGGGAAAAAAAACAAGAAGCAAGAGAAATACATAAAGAAAAATGAGGAACTGCAAAACAAAAAGGTTAACTTTTTATAACATGCCAGTGTTATTAAAATACATAAGACAAGCTGCTGCTTTTCTTCAGAGGAAAGGCGAGGATGAATGACATATTGAGGTTGCTGATCAGACCTAAAATTACATCCTCACTCTATGACTTATTAGCTGTGTGTGCTTTTGGGAAAATTACTAAACTAAACCTTTCTAAGACTTATTTTGCTCATCTGTAAAATGGTGATGATATCTACCTTGCACAGTTATTCTGAAGACTAAATATTAGATAGACACATAGATGGATAGCCCTCTGACAGTTTGTAGGTGCTCAATTAATGCTGGCTGTTATTTTATGAAGTTTCCTGTACTTATTTCATGCCAGCTTTCATCCTTGGTCCACAAAGGTCAATACATCACCAAAGTTAGGCATAAGCACAATGCTTCCAAACCACATGGATCTGAAAAATTAAGTTTAACAACAAGAACTTAAAGCCTGAAGCAAGCCCAGAGTGGCTAAATATGGCCTCACAGGTTGTCTTCTGCACAACTCCAGAAGGCGCCAATCACACAGACAGTATGCAATATGATGCCCTGTTCATTAGATCTGCTTTGTTAGAGTCTCTGCATTGAAAAAAGCTTAAAAATTAAGACATTACAGTTTTTCTTTTGTTCCGAAACTACATAGGTTTTGAAACCCGCTTTGTATGCAAGGGGTGAAAGCAAATTGCTCCCTGATATGAACCATTATCTCTCAAAGGGGCACTCTGGCCAATAGTAGATTTTGTTGAAGAATAAAATTATCGGTTGTATCAATTATGTCATTTTCATGCCTCCCGTCAGTTTAATCAATGTGGTTTCCCCAAAGTGATCGCATTAAATACTTAATTTTAACAAAAGCCTCAGAAGTGTGTGTACCTTCAGCTTTCCCTGCTCTCTTCCTGCTCTCCTGTCCTCCCATCTTCCCCACACGTTTATTACCTATCTATGGTGTCCTCTGATCCCTGTTAGGAATTGAACAAACAAAATAGCAAACAAGACAGAGTCCCCGACCTCAAGAAGCTTCCTCACTGGTAGGGGAGCAGCAGATCACCAGATGGGCAGTAATAATAGATTTTGTCAACAACCCCGTATTGACTTTTTCAGAGTTTAGGCAATGGGGCATTTTGTTTGTTTGTTTGTTTGTTTGTTTGTTTTGAGACAGGGTCTCATTCTGTCACCCAGGCTGGAGTGCAGTGGAACCATCTCAGCTCATTGCAACCTCTGCCTGGTAATGGGGCCTTTTAAGTGTTCAAAAGGACAAAATATCAGGCTAACCAGAGTGAGGTGTTTTTTTTTTTTTCATCTTTCATAAAATAACTTTCTTCTCCTTTTTACACAAGTAGTACGTCCTCATTAGGGAAAAAAAAAATTAGAAAATGTAGAGAGCAAAAAGAATAATTTGCTACCCCTCTTTCAGATTACATTTTAGTATGTATCCTTTCAGATTTTTATATATTCCATTTTAATTAAACCTTTAGAGTATACTGTATATACTCAAACCATTTCGAAGAAGAAAATAAAAGAGTGGGCGACAGATTTCATTCCTCTAGTAGATTGTAAGCTATTTAAAGGCAGGTACTGAGTCTTGCACATCCTTCGTGTTTCCACTGAGGCCTAGTATATTTATATTCAGTAAATATATATATGGAATAAGTGGTGTTGGGAAATAGAGGATGAGTTTGTGATTAAATGGCTACATATTCATTTTTTCCTTACTTAAAAATTTAAGATTAGAAGAATTATTGCCACATTAGCAAGTATGACAGTTGCTAGATTCTTCTTAATAAAAATAAGGGTCACTGGGACAATTATTGAAGTATACTTTCCTGTTCATAGCTTGAATTCTTTCAGAACTGGAATTCTTCCATCTCTTAAGCAAACAAAATCAAAACTACGTTCCCAAAACCAAACACAATGAGACAGTAAACCTTGATCTTTACACAAGAGATAATATTTCTTGTTCATAACTGTGTTAATTCATGCATGCTTGCCATGTATACATCCTTGAAGGAAAAGGAAGAAAGCTAATTTGGATTTCTTCCGCCGTTAGTTTTCACTTACTGAATAGTCAATCTGTTGTATATACTACCTGAGTAATGGGTCAGGAAGTATTTCTTCAAGTTCATTCAAAATAAGCTTTAACTAATGTTTTTTGTTTATTATTTGTGGTAATGGAAGAGTCAAGCTGGTAATGTTGGCAGCAGTACGTTTGGAGAGATTTCTTATCTCATTAGAAGTTTTGGAAAATAAGAATCAAGATGATACCTTGGCTCCTTCTTAGACAGAATTTCCATTGACACTGCCCTGTCTCTGAGACCTCTCTTTGCATTACCTCTTTAGTCACAGGAGGGACTCATTAGGCTGCAGGTAGACCAAAATTCATTGTTCTTGTAGGTGCCTATCGCTTAACTACATAATGTTTTTATGAGTCACTCAGACCCCAACTGGCCCCATTAGATTGGCTGTGTTGCTACTCTGGTTAATTACATGTCATCTAATTGCATAATTTAGCTATATATGCATAGTGACCTGAAGCCAAGTGCTTTTCTTTATTATACAATTACTCTGAATAAACTCACAGTGAAAATAGATTTAAATACCTGGTATAAAATGCTGCTTCCAAAAGGATGTTTTTGGCTTTTCACAGTGCTTTGATGCATTTTTAAAGAAAGCAGTCTAAAATATCATGTGATTTCTACCTGTACCTGAAGGCCATTAAATATAATCTTCTGTAATTGCTCTTGTCTTCAATTTATGTAACTAAAAAGTTTGGTATCTCTATAGTTACTGATTATGGAGGTCCTTCTGCACATTCTTGATCATTTTAGTCCATTCTGATGATGCTTCCTATTGTCAAAAGAAACCCAAAGATAACCACTTTAGCCATTCAGGCTTTGGATAAGTATTGTCTTTCATGTGAATTCAACAAATTCAATTCAACACATAATTTGAGTCCTTGATCTGGGCCAGGTATGGTGCTAGAATCCCAGAATACAAAGACGTGTAAGGCCCATAACGTGGGACAGGAGCAAGCATGTAACAGACACCAATGCACTTTGTAATCTGTTCAATTACATTAATTGATAGATTACAAGGTGCATTGGCGACACTGAGTAGGCATGCTCAGCTCTACCTAGAAAGGTTGTGGGAGACTTCTCAGAGAAGGTCATACTTGAGATGACTTCAAGGATGATCAGGAATTCACCAGGAAACCTGAGAAAGGGTTGAGGGTAAAGGGCACTTCCAGCAGTTACAGGAAACAGCACGGATGAAGGCATGGGAGCATCCCACATGTGGTGCCTGTGGCAACCAGTGGTAATGTAATATGAGTGAGTGTGAGGAAGAGGAGAGACATGAGGCTGTTAGACATCAGCCTCCTAGCAATGGGAAGCCATTGAAGGGACTTTAAGCAGAGGTGTAGTATGACTATATTTGTAGGTGGGAAGGGTCACTTTGGTTCAATCTGCATTTGTCATGCTCTGCTAAGTTGTACTTAAAGACCAGCCTGTCCTTCAGTTTTTGTTATGGTTCCTGCAGGGTCTGATCTAAACTATGGTATTTTGTAGGCCAGATGAATGAGGAAGACTGAATTCAAGAGCCACCGGCCAACAGGTGCACACCCCAGTTACCCCCTGGCTTGTTACAGCAGTGTGTCAGTTGTGTCATCACTGTAGTCCTTTTAGAGGTTATTTCTGCCTCCACTATGCTGCCCACAAAACCAATGCACTTTTTATCACAAACCCAGGCCTGCCTTACCAGTAGACACAGTCCCTGATTATATTGGTGGTTTGGGTCCATTTATTCAGCATGTACATACGGGCCTACTGTGTGTCCCAGGCTAGCAACATAGAGGATTAAAACAGCCCCTGCCTCCCACCATTTATAGATAGAGTAGAAAAAATTGCATGATAAACAAACTAAAGAAACAAGAGTGGAAAGAAAGAAACCAGGAAGGCTTCCTTCAAAATATGGCATCTGCATGGCATCCTGAAGGAGGAAGCAAGGAGGGGTAGACAGGCAAACAGACAACAGAGCTGCCGAGAACTGGAAGGGCTTCAGGCCAGAGTGTGGAAAGGGAGGAGAGAGTTGGAAAGAGAAGGAGCTAAAGAGATCAGAAGGGACCAGATCCTCAAGGGCTTGAACACTATGCCTAGGCCTGTCTTATAGGGCATGGGGAGCCACTGGAGGTTTTTAAACAGGGAGAATTTACATGGTCAGCTTTCCAGAAAGATTGTTCTGACAGCACAGAGAGCAGATGTGATACTGCAATACTGGGCTCTGGTAATAATGCTGGTAAGAAAGAATGAGGGCTGGAACCAAATTAGCATCTATGGAACAAGGAGCAAGGATAGGTCCCAAAGAGAGGCAAGGAGGCAGAATTGTCTAAGATTTGTGATTCAGTGGAGATGAATAAGAGGGCAAAGTCTAGGATGAAGAAGGGTAGTTTCTAGTCCACAGATGGTACAGTATTTCGATGGATGCTGCTGTCATTATAGGAAGTTACACTTTTGTTTAAACTGTTTAAGTCATTTTATTGCTAAACTTGAAGGTTAAAATTTATAATGATACAATTCAAAGAGGAGTAAAATTAGCTTTTTGAACCTAAAATTTACTTTGGGGCAAGCTATGTGTGTCATTGTTATGACAGTATAAGTTATTAAGATCTCTTATTTTATATCTGTATTGCAGTTCAAGTTTATTACAAGGAGCTTCTCCTGTGTACTTTTCAGTGTTATTAATTTCTCATTTTTCTCCTTTCATGTGTGCATTTCTGCAAATATTTTTCCAAATATATTTACTTTTCTAAACATACAGATATATTTGTTAGCTTGCATTTTCCCTATATTCAGGTATTTTTAACCAGGTTCCTAGTCTTTTTGTCCAATAAATCTCCATGTTTCCTCTCTGTCACTCTTATTCTTCCTTTTTTACAGATCATTAAAATCAATGTTCTATCCACCCCAAACAACAGGAGCCTTAGTGTCACCTCTTAAACACCTTCCTCCCGATGAGATTGACTGTAACGTATTATTACCCTTCATTTATTATCTCCTCAGTTCATGTTCAAGCTAAAGTCACTTAGTTTTGTGAAGGAAATTGTGTGAGACGTTCTCCCAAATGCCCTAATAAAATTCAAATATATCACATCTGCTCCACTCCCTTAAACTAGTAATCCTGTAATTCCATCAGAAAAGCAATCAAATTTGGCGTGCCATTTTTTTTTTCCCTTCATAAAGCTCGGCTTCTTATTTCTTTTGGGTTTATTCCCTCTAGATGTTAACAGATTGTTATTGCTCTCACAATATTGCAGACTTGCCAAGTTACAATTTTCAGGGTCACTTGCATTGTTTGAAAATCTGGGCTCTTTTTTTGCCTCATTTTGTGGTACCTAAATATTTGGCTTCCTATTGATTCTGTATGTTTTAGATTAGCCAGCTACATTATTTATAGAGGACAGTAGTCAAAGTGAAAAGAGGCAGACAGATAATGGCCCATTATCTGAAGCCATCTTTTCACAGTGTTTCCAAGTCATCCTGACTCCATCATCACCACCTAACTTGCCGACAGGCCTCTGCTCCATTCCAGGGTTTTGTGACTTATAACATCCTTTCCCCCCACCCACCATATGTGAGCCATTAGCATTAACTCAGCTGCTTTTGCTGCCCTTTGGAAGAGAGCACACACATCATTTCATTTTTGCTTATTTCCCATTTGCTCATGTTTCTGTTTATTGGCAAGTAAAGTGATTTTTACCTCTAGGACGACGACTGTCTTTTTTCAGTGGGGTATCCTTTGAATCATTGGTTCTGGAACTTCATGATGAAGGCATTGTTTTTAGGTTGGATGCTCTAGGGCCGGTTTCAGAGCAGTTGCCCCTTTGATTCCTCCTCTCAGGTGAGGATTTGTCCACCACATCTGCACAAGGGTATAACCTTTTCAGGTTGTCAAGGTCTCTTCTTCCACCTTTTCCATCTTCTTATCCTCGATTACTTTCTTTCCTGTTAATAAATTCATCAATAGACACTTTTCTTTTTGCAGATTTTATTGCTTTTTTAAACCTTATATCACTTAATACTTCTCTTTCTCAACAAACAAATATGACCATGCTTAAACTGTTATTTACAGGCTTATTTGAATAGGAATGGAGATCATTTTATTTCATTCATTCATTCAACAAACACTTAACGAGTAAGTCTTAGGTGTCAAATACATGACCACAAAGGTAAGTCCCTCCTTTCAAAACAGGAGGTTGACCTGGAAACTCATCCTAATAGTGACTGGAGCAGCACAAATCATTCACAAGATCAGGAAGGAGTTGCCAATGGAAGCAATTCTAACATGGTGTGATATGTGCTGTGCCAGAGGTGGGTTTATAGGGTGTAGCAGAGGCACCACCTTGAAGAGATTAAGGTTCTGAAGAAGAATAACCCAACTGTAGGTCTAGAAGATTGAGGATGAGTTTTCCAGGCAACAAGGAGGAAACAGCATTTCATAGGAAAGTATAGTCTTACAAGATGGATCCTCTCAGCTTATCCTAAATCCTCCTTCCAGACCTTCTCATCTTTGTATTACTGGCAGATCAAGGAGAAACTAAAAGTTGGCATGAAACACAGGCACAGAGGCTGGAGGAAGAAAGTAGGTGTTAAGTTTGTTAAGTGCATTAGTTTTGCTAGGGCTTCCATAACAAAGTACCACAGTGACTAAAACAGAAGTAATTTATTGTCTCACAGTTCTGGAGGCTGGAAGTCCTGCCTCCAGAACCCTGATCAAGGTATCAGCAAGGTGTCAGCTGATCAAGGTATCAGCACGGTTGTCTCTTCTGAGACCTCTCTCCTTAGCTTGGCGATGGCCCCCTTTTCACTTTACCCTCACAAGGTCAACCCTCTGTAATGTCTGTGTTTTAATCTCAATAGGACACCAGTTTTATGGGATTAGGGCTTACCCTAATGCCCCCATGTTAACTTAATTAGCTCTCTTTTTTATTTTTTTGAGATAGGTTCTAGCTCTGTTACCCAGACTGGAGTGCAGCGGCACAATCTCAGCTCACTGCAACCTCCAACTCGTGGACTCAAGTGATTCTCCTGCCTTAGCGTCCCGAGTAGCTGAGATTACAGGCACACGCCACCATGCCCAGCTAATTTTTGTATTTTTAGTAGAGACAGGGTTTCACTGTATTGCCCAGGCTGGTCTCAAACTCCTGACCTCAAGCAATCTGCCCTCCTCGGCCTCCCAAAGTGCTGGGCTTACAAGCGTGAGCTACCATGCCCAGCCATTAATTAGCTCTTTTAAAGCCCTGTCTTCAACTACAGTCTCATTCATAGGTATTGGGAATTAGGGCTTCAACATATGAATTTGGGGAGATGCAATTCAGCCTGTAAGAGCTTGTATTTAGTCTTTGGTAGTGTTTGAACTAATGGTATAACTGGACTCCAGAGTCACTTGACTTAACTAAAAGGATATATGATGAGCTCTTATCTGCCCAGAAAACTATTACAATGTTTTACATTTATACCAAATATTCCAAATATTATTATAAACATCCTAGATTTCCTGTGTAGCTCTGTTTCGAATGAAAATATTATAGAGCTCGTCACTCATTGCATACTAAACTTTGTTCCTAAGGGCCTGGGACATGTGACAGTGTACAAGCTTTTTCAGTACTGCATTGAAAGCTACATCACATTCATTGTCATTGCTAAAGTGATGAGATTTCACGTTGCTTAAATTCCAGTAATTTGTTCCCACTGTAGAAGATAAATTCTTGATTTAGATGGATCATCAATCTACATTATCTAGATGTAGATAAAGAATATGGTTTTTTTAATTAAAAAAAAACAGCTCCTCAAATGTGTAACTGCTTCTTGAATATCTTCTATGGAAAAATAATTTTGTGTTAAATATGAAAGACTTTGAAATGTCTTTTTATTTTCACTCATTAGTAATTTTTCTAGTATCTTCTTTGGTAGTCAACCAGAAAAGTTGTGTAATCATCAGAAGATGTTGGTTCTAATTTTCAGCTGAACCACTGATTTCTTTGTGATTTGTGCAAGGTATCTAATTTTTCTGAGCTTTTGTTTCCTCACTGGTCAAATGCAGATAACTATGTCTATATCAAGCTTATTTCATATTTTGTACTCTTATGTACTTTTCTATCGTAGAAATTATGTTATTGAATTAATATGTAAGACAGTACTTAGACTAAATATCAGAATTTACTTTTAAATATCAACATAAATCATGCTTTATGAGGGAAGAGAGAAAATTATGGATGATAGTATTTATGTGAGCAGAAAGTAATAATGTCTTGCCATAATGGGATTGATTTAGAAAAAAAGGAATTTGAAATTCAAAAGGAATAAGATATAAGAAAGTTTGCAGATCACTTACATTACATGAGGAAGAGGTTAAAATGTAGACCATTAAAGTCATTCTTAAGGAAAAATGAAAAAGACTTCTTTGAGGCAAATTTAGAAAAGGGAAAAAGACCTGACCTCAATTCAAAGAGGTGGGAAGAAATTTTTATCAGATGAGAAAGGAAGAAATGAAATGGTGGCACCTTCCCTGCCCCTACTCCCAGTCTGAATAATCAGAGGAATGACACAAGCCTGCACAGAATATGTCTCCTCTTACAAAATCATCTATAAGGGACCTTTCTTGTTACTGTCGGGCAAAGGCATTTTGTAAGCACCATCAGAGCCTGGTACGGCATTGAGTGTAGCACAAAGAAGGTTTGTCGTCCTGGGCCTGCCTCCTGGATGCTGACATAGATGCAGAAGGGTGAGATGGATAACGAGGCTGTGTGCTGGACAGAAGCTGACAGCCAAGTGTTTGCATTTGTTGTACAAGCTTTGTTAGCAGGAAGTGAAATGTGGTTAGGGCGTCACCACCTCGTTACCAGTTAATTGGGGAGGATGGAGTGGATGAGGTGGAATAGCAGGGGCTCAGCTGCTTTCCTCATCATCTCCCAGCTGGACTCCCTGCTGCCCTAATATCTTCTCCCAGGCAGGCCTGAAAGTGGTGGTTTATTTAAATAGCAAAGAAAAGAAAAGGGTGAGGGAGGGAGGAAAAGGAAGTAAAGAACACATGCTCCCCAAAGCTCTTCTCTTCAATTTGATTTCTGCCTATCTGGCAAAATAACTTCTGGGACCAACCACCTTTATTGGATTGTGGGCCTGGATCTGACTACCCCTCACTGCAGTGTATTACTGAAGATAGCTGCTAGTGAACCCTTCCACTGCTCTGGGAATGCATAGCTGACCAGAATCGTCATTTGCACAGTGATCCCGAAAGCACAGTAATAATCACAGCAAACATTTGTTTAAGCATTGTTCATGTGCTGGGCTCTTCTAAGTGCTTTAGATGTGTTATATCATTGAATTCACATTGAATCTTTCAAACAATTCCAGGAGCTGGGTACATTTCCATCTCCCTGTTACAGGTAAAGCAACTGAAGCACAGGCTCTCCCAAACCTGCTAGTGGCCATGCCAGAGCTGGGCTCCAGCACATTCCCTCTTAACTACTGCACCCCAAGTGAAAAAGTCAGGCAGATCTTGGCTATTGACAAGACTACTTTCTGGTTTTCAGGACATTTTGCCATATTCCATCATGTACTCTTCATGTGAAACAGAAGGTTTTATTATCTCCATTGTACAGAACAAAGTGAGGCTCACATTCAGGGAAGTTTGTTTTTCATGTTTTCAGTATTTTTTTAAAGGGGACAATTATGTCATTAACCTTTGAGATAATTTGGGAAATACCTTGTCTACATGGCTAAACATTAACATCTAAATGTTAACGTTTATATATATACATATATATACACACATACACACACATACATATGTATGCATTCCACACACAATTTTGTGTAATTTGTACCTTTGTAGCTCAAAATGAGAATATTGCAAAAATGTAATTAGATTGATGGCTACTGAAGACAGTTGTTACAATTCTGGAAGCCTCTAGGGTTCCAGGATTTTAGTTACTTTAATTTTCACCAGAAAAAGGAATTAAGTGCTGAATGACAGGCCTCAGGCATATCTTCGGGTTGTAACTCCATCCAGGGTCTCACAGTTCCTTTGTCACCCAGGTTGGCACAAGTCTTGTCCGGACTCAGGAGTTCTTGAACTCCCCAAAAGACTTCATCCTTCCCAGGAGTGTTTTGACTCGTGCCCAGTCCTCGTAGGGGAGCAGCTCACTCTTGAATGGGTGGAAAGTGGTGGTGGAGACAGAAACTTCATCCCAGGCCTTGGGTCTATTCACTTCTTAATAAATATGTATTGAATACCAAGCATGCATCAAGCACTGTGGAAGGAACTGGGGTATAATTAATGGTGAAAATAAAAAATTCCTTCCTCATGGAGCTTATGGTTTGAGTGTCTTTGGTGACATGTCTCAAGACAAGGCGGGGGTGTGCAAGGGCTACTTGGCCAAAGAACAAGCTACCATGGGACACATGGAGTGTTTTCAGGCTCTGGCATCCATATCTTCACTCCTTCCCAATCATCTTGTGCCCTTGGATACACCTAACATCTCCAGATCCTTCGTGGTTTTTTTCTACAAAACAGTTATAAAATATATCTCTCAAAGGACTCTTGAGGAGATAGATGAGAACAGTACATCAAGCTGCTAACAGAATGCCTGAAACAGAAAAGGTACTGAGTAAAGATTAGTTATCTGGCACAAAGTCCCCCACCCTACCCTTTATTTTAGGAACAGAGGAAAGAGCTCAGCTGGTGAGAGACTGGACAAATAGTAATCAATCAGGACAGCCCCCATTTGCTGAGCAATAATCAGATGGGGTCAGGTCTCATGCTAAGTGTGTTAGCAATGTCATTCCACTTTGTGGATTGACTTTTGGTGATTTCAACTCGACCCAGATTTTCTCTTCATTCCAAAAGATAGTCAACACATTCGGGGAAGTTTGTTGTTCGTGTATTTGGTATTTTCTTTAAAGGGGGCAATTCGTCATGTCATCAACCTTTGAGATAACTTGGGAAACACCTTGTCTACACAGCTAAACATTAACATCTGAATGCTTCATGCTCATTTAAAGCCATTAGAGGATTTTTTATTTTTTAAGATCTCTTTTCTAACATGTGCATCCTGCAAAAGATTTTGAAACCGTGTCTCTGCAATATGCACCATCCATGGATTCTTCCACCTCCAGACAGCTGGATTCCTAGTCTGCAACATGAGGCAAGCTACTCCTGGGACGTTCCAAGCAGCCCACACCTAACACCAGTGTTCCCGTTCCATGCGCAGCCCACACTTGGCACCTCTCCTCCAGCCCCCTCGGGCCCAGGGTGTGTTCTGCCTTGAATTACGGGTTTTTATCTATTTGAGTCTAGACTTTTCTCCTTCTAGACTCTGAGTGTCCAGAGCTGCTGAAACCTGTTTATTAATCAATCAATGCAGAATGTGTTTTAATCAGTGGTTTGATAGACAAACAGAGGAGACAGTCAGATGGAGGTGTTTGGGACTGTGGTGTTTAGATCGCTCCTCTGCTAAGAGAGGGCAGGCTTTCATGAATGAAATGTCTAAGCAAATGCAGGCCAGCTTCGAAGTTGGGTGATGCAGAGAATGCTTTACCTCCCATAAACGGCAGAAGCTTTACGAAGTAGTATCCAGAAAGAAAACTGACTTATATTCTTTTTTTTTTTTTTTGAGATGGAGTCTTGCTCTGTTGCCAGGCTGGAGCGTAGTGGTGCGATCTCGGCTCACTGCAAGCTCCTCCTCCCGGGTCCACACCATTCTCCTGCCTCAGCCTCCCAAGTAGCTGGGACTACAGGTGCCCGCCACCACACCCCACTAATTTTCTGTATTTTTAGTAGAGACGGGGTTTCACCAGGATGAAGCCAGGATGGTCTTGATCTCCTGATCTCGTGATCTGCCCGCCTCAGCCTCCCAAAGTGCTGGGACTACAGGCGTGAGCCACTGCGCCCGACAAACTGACTTACATTCTAAAAGACATAATTTGTTCTAAGAAGTTTATGAAAGAAATGAAGATGACAGCTGCCTTTTTCCTGCTGTTAGCTGCTGATTGCATTTGGTCATATTTCATTTTGATTCAGCTCTTTCCTCTCTGTAGGATATTACCATTACATTTTTGTGCCATTTTAGATTTTCTCTTGTTGTCACGTGTAGGAAATAGATTACATTTTTCTTGTCTGTGAAGCCAAAGAGATTGTTTTATTTGAAGATGGCCTCGCACTGTCTGGACTAAAGTACAAAAGAGATTAGGTGCCAGAAGAGTCTTTCCTTGAGATGTGATTTCTTGCAATGGCTCTAAAGAGGGATCAGAGTAATCCAGTTGACCTGGAAACTCATCCTAACCCATAGTCACTGGAGCAGCACAAATCATTACTCTACTCCTCTGGGTGGCTGCCTCATGGTTACAGATTCTGCTTCCATAAGAAATTCCTTTTTAGAGGAAGCTATGTACAGTTTCTGCATATAGTTTTTCCCTATTTATGCATCTATATAATCCTCACCTTTCCACATGGGGCTTATTTGTGTATTTGTTTATTCATTTGACCAAAACTTATGTAGTATCTCCTTATGTATCAAGTAAGGCTCCAAGTGCTGGGATATTTAAAAAGCATGATCCTTGCCCATATTCAAAACCTACTAGGGGAGCCCAAAAAATAAAGAGACTGTGAAGATACAGTATGAAATTGCTGCAGTAGAGATAGCCACACTCTTGTGGAAGCATAGTGGAGGGTACCTAAGCCAGAGAGAGGAAGGGCAGGAGGAACTTTCTGCAGGAAGCAATGTTGTATAGGGAAAGGGAAATGAGACTGAGCTGACCAGGCCATGCTTTCTAGCACGAGGAGGGTTGCAATGGGTAGCAAAAGAGATAGGTGTTTTATGAGGAGGAAGCAGTGTCCCAAAGGTGAAGGGTCCAGAGGGAACTTGGTGCATTTAGAGAATCTTATGTACAGACCTCTGGATAAGCGTCAAGGATGGGCGAGGTGATATTGTGATATTGCAGCAGTGGGCTGGAGCCAGGTGGGAGAGGGCTAAGCCCTCCCAATGTGCACATGTCAGCCTGTGGGCAGTGGGGAGCCATGGAAGAATTCTGATGAGGTGACATCTGTGTTTTTGAAAGGTCATTCTAGCTCGGTGTGGGAAGTAGGTGGGCATGCAGCAAGACCAGATATAAGAAAACCACTTAGGAAATCAGTATATTAATTTAGGTGAGAAGGCCCAGAGCCTAGATTGAGGTAGTAGCAGTGAGATGGACAGTTGGAGATTCACAGGAGTGCTGTAACTGAAGATTCGCAGAAGTGCTGTGACTGCTCGAGCAACATGCCAGGGACACTCTTGCTTTAGGGCCTACTTCGCTCAAAAAGGCCCTCTTTAGGGCCTTGCTTTAGATATGAACGTTTGTGTCTCCCCAGAATTTATATATTGAAATCCTAACTCCTAAAGTGATGGTATTAGGAGGTGGGGCCTTTGGGAGGGGCTTAGTACCTTAACAAGAACAACAACAACCTAGAGACACCCTCAGGCTCCCCCAACTTTTCTAACACTTGCACGTGAGGTTACAGTGAGAAGACGGCCATCTATTAGGAAGCATGCCCTCACCAGATACCGAATCTGCCAGCATCTTGATCTTGGACTTCCCAGCCTCCAGAACTGTGAGAAATAAATTTTTGTTGTTTTGAAGCTACCCAGCCAATGGCATTTTGTTATAGCAGCCCAAATGGATTAAGACAGGCCCTCTATACCAGCTATTGCCTTGACCCAAAGTGATTTGTCCCCAGATATCTGTGTGAGTCCCTCCCTCACCTCAAGTCTTGGCTCCAGTGCCATCTTCTCATTGAAGCATATCCTGACCACCATGTTTAACACTGCACACTCCACCTCCCCACCAACACACACGTCGATTCTTATCACCCTTTTCATGCTCTATTTTTCCCTGTCTCGTTTATTCACTTTCTAATATACTCTGTAAATTTAATTATTCTTATGTTCATGATCCTTCTCCCCTGCTAGAATATAAGCTCCATGAGGGCAGGAGTGTTTTTGTTTTACTTTGTCCACTCTTATATCCCAAGCTCTAGAATAATGCCAGGAACATAATAGCCACTCAGCTAACGCTTGTTAAATAACTGGATGGGTGATGGAATTGAAGATGAAAGAAGAGGCATGGATGATGCCAAATTTTCTTCCAGCTTGGGCAGATGAATGGGGAGGGGAGGGACATAATTTATCACAACAGGGACTAAGCAAGAGGAACAAGAAGTGGGGAAGGTGATGAGTTCTGCTTGAAACATTTGTCAGGCAATAAGATCGAGAGTCTGAAGATAGAAATGGGAGACCAGAGGAATAGCAAGAAAGATTTGGGGTGGTAGAGAGTAGGGGCTGACTAAGGACCATGAAAAGGTGTTCTGAGCGGTCTGAGGGCCCAGCCACATACAGTCAACCATTATGAATATGTACTGGCTGGTGGCAGGGCTTCTCTCCAGCAGAAAACAACAGTGAGGTTAGAGAAGGCACATGATTTGATTAGATGTTGAAGATTTACAAGGCGAGCAGAGGAAAGACAAAGGAGGTAGTATGCTGAAGATGAAAACAGTATCTTCAAGTTTATCCTGCCTAAGGAAGGAGGGATATCATAAATGGGATAAATGGCAGGGATGTAACAGAGAAACTGAGGGAATGGAGATTAGGATGAGGCCAAACAGCGTGTGTTCTGAGAGTCAGGGTGAGTGTTGAAGGGATGGAAAGAGGCAGGCAATTATCTTTCCTTCATCAGACAACAGATTTTTACTGGACACAGTATTAGGGTTCTCCAGAGAAACAGAACCACTAGGATGTAAGTATACATACATAGAAAGGTATGTTTTAAGGAATTGGCCCATGCAGTTATGGAGGCTGGCAAGTCCAGAATCTGCAGTTTGATCCCAAAGGCTGCCTGCTGGCAGAGTTCCCTCCTGCTTGCGGGAGGTCAGTCCTTTGTTCTACTCAGGCCTTCACCTGATTGGATGAGGCCCACCCACATTAGGAAGAGTAATCTACTTCACTCAAAATCTACCAGTGTGAACAGCAGTCTCATCCAAAAACATCCTCACAGAAACATCTGGAATAATGTTTGATCACATATCTGGGCACTGTGATCTAGCTGAGTAGACACATTAACCATCCCTTAGCCCAGTAGGGTGACTACTGTGTAGTTAACAACAGTATATTGTATATTTCAAAATAGCTAGAGGAGAAGACTTGAAATGTTCTCAACACAGAGAAATGATAAATGTTTGAGGTGATGGATATTCTAAACTTGATTGTTACAAATTCTATACATGTATCAAAATATCACACGTACCATAAGTATGCACAAATATTATGTATCAATAAACAAAATGGACATTTAAAAATGAAAAAAAAAAAAAGCATCACAGACACCTATTGTAGGCCAGGTCTTACTAGGGGAACAGTAGATAGTTCCTTCCTTCAAGGAACAGAGTCTTGGAGAGAACGCCAGCTCTTACGGTTATTGAAGTGAATAATACTGAGGACACAACAGTCAGCATGCTTCTAGGACACCTCCAGGAATATAAACTCGTGTTTATGTCTAAGGTAAATCTGTTGCCACGTATGCGTGTGTAAGTAATACAGACTATTAAAAGGTATTTGTCTGACCCAGTTATATCATCGACATCACGGTCAACTTTCTACCAAGATGACTGTGGGAAAAAATGTATTAATATATGTGGACTATTTCCTTACCTCTAGAATTTCTCTAGTTATATCTTTAGCATTTTGTTCATTACTGGCTAATGTACAAGTTTACTTCTGTTCCAGCTGGTCATTAGTGATCTATACTCAATATGAGAAAACAACATGATTTGTTTAATATCTATCAACTGATCTGACATAAAGAGTAACAGATTTTCTCTTTATATATAAGAATACCTTCCTCCCTACCAACATTGAACATATACAACCAACACACTTTATTCAATAAAAGGAGATAAACATATAATTTTCATGCACCCCATAAAGCAATTAAAAAATTTGTTGCCATAATCAGACTAATCAGGGTCTCCACCTAACCAGGCACACAGCACAGAAGCCTCACTTGGGTCACCTTCAGGGCCATTTGGGCTTTGCAGCTGACAAGGAACATCAGTACTCTAATTTGCATAGCTGGCGTCTCCCATTCATTGCCTGTGGAGAGCCTGTTAGCAGCAGAGGTCATAGAAGCTGGGATCCAGCCGAGCTGCAGAAAAACCCCACTGTTTTGTTCTTCTCAGGTGACGGAGGCCAGAACCTCTTTATTAGTCATTATGGTTAATAAACACTTACCATTAGGAGGAAGAGGTGAACTCTACTTACTGAATGTAAAAACTTAATTATGCAGGACAAGACTGGAATAGCTTGTGTCCGTGAAAATATCTGTAAAGCATGTCTTTGTGATAAAGGTATCCCAGTCACAAATAAGTCAAGGGCCTAAGAATTGGTGAGAACCCCCAGTGATGCGAATGGGTTTTACACAGAGTGCCTGTTGTAAATGTGTCAGGAGACATGTAGAATGATCTGTTGGTTTTCATGCAGAGACTATATTGGACCATGAAATGCAACTGTCTGTGGTAGAGATTTTTCATTTTATGCTGGGGCCAAAAACATTCTTTGGAAAAATATCCCTATCAAAATGCTTACTTTGCACCTCAAATTTCAGAACTCTAAATGTGCCCTGAATGTGTATAATATATAAAGCAAGATTGTCCTGAACAGCTTTTTTATGGGGCATGTGGGTACAGAGGGGATGTGCATTATTGATTCCTACTTGAGAGTAAGAACCTATATTATTGGGATTCAATGAACCAGTTTTCAGAATGTCGCACTGGTTCATATGAATGCATTTCCCCAGTATCTAAAAGTCAGTCATTGCTAAGTTACATTATTTGAGCAAAGGGTTTTACATAAAGTGTCTATTTGAATTTATTGATGAAATTTCATATTCTCATGGTGTGTTGGGAAGCTGAGACCCCGCTACTCATGTAAGTAACAATTACATAAAATTATTTTTCAATTTTTTTCTAGTAATAATAATAATAACTGTTAGCTACATTGAGTGTTCACTATGTTCCAGTCACTGTGTAAGTACTTTGCATAGATCAGCTCATTTAATTCTCACACAAACAACCCTTTGAGAATGGGATTATTACTGTTCCCATTTTATAGATGAGAGAACTGAAATGTAGGGAACCATAAATAACTCTCCCGCAATACATGGCTGAGAAGTGGTAGGCTGGGTTCTGAACCCAGGATGACTGACCCTAGGGCCTGTACTCTTATACAATATCAAGGTCAAGTCATTAGTTTTATTTTAAGAAAAGGAAACTTTAATGTCAGCATAACCACACCAAAATCTTACTACACTGAGGGATGACAAACACAATTTAGAGAAAAAGCAAACTGACCCAAACACTTACCTTTAGAAATTGATATGGCAAATCTGTCACTCTAAAATCATGGCTGAATTTTTAAAAAGAAAGAAAATGAGGTTTGAAATACTAATAGCATTTTAAACATATGGAAACAGGAAGGTAAAAAAAAACTCATCTGTCATAAGAGAACACTCACCCCAAAATGGCAGTGTTACTTTGGATCATTCTTTTCAAAGTGTGAATCTCAAAAACTGTGATTTGTGGTGGGAAAAAGCAGCATATCAGAGCTCAGAAGCCCCAGGATTCAGCCCCAGTTTTTCTGTTAACTGTGGGTGACCTTGAGCACATCTCTGTTTTCACAAACTTAAAAATCTTTTTTTCTAGTAATCACCAGAGTTCATGCCAGCTCTAATATGTTATGAATATCTTCAGACTAGAAATTAGTCCAGAACTTTTGCATGCTATCTTAGGATCAAAACTAATTAAGTTCTTTTCTAAGATGATTATTGTGGGCTTTTTCTTGCTGATGAAATCAACAGCTGGCAAACATCATTTTTCTTCAAACATTGTTAATTGATCACATTAACTCCTCCATTCCAGGCAATCAGTGGTCATTTGCTGAGCGAAGCTAGTGAAGTCTTCTGTTTCTCCCCAAGAAGGCACTGTCAAATCTCATCCACACAGTAGGAGAGCCATCTGGAGCCATTAGAACAATAAGGGTGATCTATTAAATCAACAACACCCTTCCTTCCTTCTTTTGTTTTTTTCCAAGACACTAAATGGCTTTTCTCTTTATATCAGAAACTGGACTCCAAGAAGTGCGCCCCCTCAGCCCTAGAAAAATGATATGAGAAATGGCAAAATCAAGATTGGAGCCTGATCCATCTATATTAACAGAGTTTATGCAACTATTTCATAATTTCCAGCTCTTGGCTGGAAAATTATGAAATACTAGCATAAACTCCGAAGGGGAAGCTGTCTTAATTTTACCTTAAGAGACTCTTGTATGGAAGTTTGGGGTCCTTCCCGCCTACCTAACTCTGGAGGGGAGAAAGGGTCAGGAATTTTTGAGTCTTTCATTTTACCACGCATCTGTCAATAATCTTTTTATAGTGACTTAAAACCACTCTCTTCCCATTGTCCCCTCACCTCTCAAAAACAAATTATATCAATGAAGAGGAAATGAGAGTAATTTTTGCTTCAGGCCATTAGAGAAAAAACTGAGGAAGTCTTTTTCTTTTTTTTAATTTTAGTTTAAGTTCCAGGATACCCGTACCGGACTTGCAGATTTGTTACATAGGTAAACGTGTGCCATGTTGGTTTGCTGCACCTGTCAACCTGTCACCTAGTTATTAAGCCCAACATGCATTAGCTGTTTATCCTGATGCTCTCCCTCCCCCTGACCCCTGACAGGCCCCAGTGTGTGTTGTTCCCCTCCCTGTGTCCATGGATGGAGCTGGAAACCAGTATCCTCAGCAAACTAACACAGTAACAGAAAACCAAACACCGTGTGTTCTCATTTATACGTGGGAGGTGAACAACACAGAGTCTTTTTCAATCCACCATTAATGGTGTGGCTCTCTGCTTCCATTGACGGGCTTATAATGTCTGGCTCTTTTTTTATTTTTGCCTTCTAATTTTGTGCATATTTTGGATGAGGGCTGTAGTGTGCTTGTCTATCAAGGTTTAATGAAGATATTAATATTCACTTAGTAAGCACAAGGCCTGCTTGTGTCTCTAAGGAGCAGAGATAGACAACAAAGGGTCAAACTTACTGAACCAGAATAATAGCACTTTTTCCTAAAATTCAGAGGCCCCAGTTTGAAGAGCTGACACAGGACAGCTTCAGCATGCAATGCGAAATTTGTGGTCCCTTTCAAATTCCTTTGTTCATAGAATATATTTCAGTGTATGTGTTTGGCATCCAGGTGTGAAAGGATGTGTATCAGGATATTCAGGTCTTTGAAAACATATAGGTTTTTAAATCTTTAAGATTGCAGAATTTCATACATACATTAACAGAACAGGTTTTTTGAAATCATCTCGGAACGAGAGAAAACGTGAGTAGCCTATGTGAAACATATGGTAAGAACTGTTCATTCCATTTGCATTTGTTTCTGGGAGCTGTACTTATTGCAGCTTATAAAATCAATTCAATTTAACTTCTGTTTGTCTGTGCAATAAAGTTTTTTTCCTGTGTAATAAAGAAAATATGAGAGCCCAAAACAGGGATGTGAAAATTTTTTCGCAAGTCAAGACATCAGTGTATTGACTCAAATATGAGCAAGACTGAAAAGCCTCCCTCCCAAAAGGCCAAAAATTTAGAGAGCTTTCCCATTTTGCTTACAGTGATCTTAAGAAAAATGTGTAAATGTCAGTTAATTAGAAGACCACACAAACCTATACTTTTATATCTCCTGGGCTGTATCGATTTAAATGTTGTTTCATATATTATCTATTTGATTTTCATAAACTAAAATGCATAAAGGTAATTTATTTTTCCTGTTGTTACCACTGAGTCAACATCCAAATTATACCTTTCTGATAAAATTCTCAATCTAACAAGTCCTTTCTGTTTGTTGTTATTCATAGATTTACTTCTGATCATTATTAATCACAGCTTATGTACTCAATCACTGTAAACTGTTCATAATGGCTTATTTGTGGCTCTTAGGTTTCCTTTAATCTCCCCGCACTGAATTACAGTAAAACTCATTTGTTGGCATCATTAAATGGTTGATTAATGCCCAGGTTTAAAATTGTTAGTCTTTTCTTATTTTTATAAAGGCCTGAAAAATCAAGATTTGCTGCTCTTGCCAGAAACCAGGGAGAAGTTTCAAAATATTTCTCTTTGAAGACTTGGGCTCTGATACCATCACATATGTGAATGCTCTATTGAAGTCATTTTTTGTAACTTGAGTTCCTATTGCTGCCTATTCTTAGCTGTAGGGTCAGAAATCCTGGCGTTATATCCAAAATCTCTTCTGGAACCCAGCACTTGTGTGATTCGGGAATCAAACTGGTTCACAAGGGCAAGAATGTCTTCTACAAAGTATATTCCAACAAACTACACACAGCGTTCCTTTAGCCAATAGAAAATCCATGAAAATAAGGATTTACCCACCTGCCTGAAATCTTAGAAAGACACAACAACCCTAAGAGAATCCGGAAGTCTTCTTAATGTAAATCGATAATATAAGGTGATAATGTATGTTCCTCTCTCATTTTACAGAGAACAAATGACTCACAAGATTTGCCTTTTCAAAGAAAATTGAGAGAAGTGCTAAGGTTGTGTTTAGTTAGATCTTCCAGAGAGCATACATTGGACATCACAGCTTCCAGTAGTGCCAGAGAAGTGTTCTATCCCTGCTCCATGGCTCCTTATTGCCCATGGAGTGAGGGTCAGATTCCTTAGCAACATATACTCTAACCCCAGCCTGTTCTTCCATACCTATCTCTCAAAGCTCTGCTAAAAGAATTTCCTCTTGAGACTGGGCATGGTGGCTCACTCCTGTAGTCCCAACACTTTGGGAAGCTGAGGCGAGCGGATCACTTGAGCCCAGGAATTCAAGACCAGCCTGGGCAACATGACGAAACCCCATCTCTACAAAAAATACAAACAGCCAGGCATGGTAGCATGGGCCTGTGGTCCTAGCTACTCGGGAGGCAGAGGTGGGAGAATGGCTGAGCCCAGGAGGTCAAGGCAACAGTGAGCCATGATCTCAGCACTTCGCTGAAGCCTGGCTGACAGAGCAAGACACTGTCTCAAAATTAAATGAACAAATAAAAGAAGCCTCTCTTACATTCATCTGACCAGCTTTTCCTCTGAACATACTTACCTTTCTCTTCTACTCTAAACTATGATTTTTTCATTGACTCAAGAGCTCTCTTTTTCAGGACTATAATCTAGAGCTGTCTTTTCAGAGAAATCATCCCATTTGCTTATGGAGAGCACCAGAGTACATAGAGTAGGTCCCAACTGTGACCTGAAGACCCTGGGGATGGGGGCGGAGGAGGAGGTAGAAAGTACAATGGAATTATTAAAACCAGTACACAAACCTGTCTGTGCGACAAACATTATCGGGAACCTGAGTAAAACTAAAAGTATAACTATAGTTACATGGACCAGCTATGAAATATTTTAACATTAAGAAAGAAAAACATACCCAAAAAGATAAGACTACACCATAGTGTGTTACACAAAATATAGCTACATACTTCTTTGTCAAGCAGTTAATAAACGTACTTTTCCCTCTGAACATTCATATTTTAGGAACCATTCATTTAACTTCCTGTGCTTTGAAAAGATGTATGATGTCTTTACATCTTCAACTAGCTTATAAATACCTTGAGTTTAGAAGTTTTGAGTTTAGAAATATTATATTTACTGACCCCCATAAATAGTTCTTGAAATATTCATTTTAATGCTTCTTAATCCTCTACCCTAGCCACCTTCATTCATTTATTCATTCATTCATTTATTCATATTTATTCAACCAGTGACATTGCCTCCCACTACACCGAGAGCATGAAGGTAACAAGGCATGTTCTGTTAGAACGTACTGTCTCTTCTTCTCTAGACTTATCCAAGTAACACCCAGACTCACCTACTCAGAGAAACATGTGTCCCTTTTTATCTCCAAAGCCAATAACTCCATCTGTGCTCTGGGTCCCTTCCCACTCTCCCTCCTCAAGCTCAATCAGTTCTCTCTCTCTAGCCTCAAGGCCCCCTGCAATGTAACCACAATTCCTGGCTGCCGAGGTCATTATGTCCCAGCAGTATCCAAATAGCTGCAATTCTCCAAGCATTGCTCACACCGTATCCCACTCCTCTCATGCAGGTGCATTGGCCTAGAATGCTTTTACATCTCCTCTTCCCTGTGAACAGCGTCCTCTAAGACCTCGCTTAAAATATCCTCACCTCTTTGAAAATGTCTTTGGTCTTCTTAGAAGTAACTACTTCCTCCTCTGTGCTCCATGGCATGTTGTCCTTTCATATAGGATTAATCACAGCCCTCTTGTGTCTGTGTGTGCTTCCCCTGTGACTAAGAACTCACTGTGTGCAGGGGTTATGTCAGGAATCATTGTGTGCAGGGGTTATGTCTTAGGAATCATTGCCTCTCCATTGTATGGCTTGCTCACATAGTTGATATTTTAACAAATGTTTGTGGAGTAATACTGCTTTTTTTCCCTCTCACCAGGTATTAAGTAAACCCCAGCAGTGTTTACTTAATGAAAGTGAACACTCATGTCATACCCTGTCATTTGTGTTCTCTAGTTCTTTTGATGATGCACCTTCCTATTGATTCTTCTAGACACAGAAGATTCTGCTTTAAAAACTGTTTGGGCTCTTCCTTTTTTGTCCCCAGCTAGTGTCAAGCATCTGTCCTCCTAGGCTCCCAGAGGTTATTCAGTATCTCCCTGAGGCTGCTGTCCCCCATATCCTCATCTTATGCCACCCTAACTTCTAGAAGGAAGAGACAGACAAACACTGACCACTCTCCTCACCATCACATTAAATAGCAAAACAGAAGAGAAGGGGAACACTTATTAAGGCTGCACCCAACTCATGCACACACACATGAAATCATCTGTTTGTTAACAAATCAGTCTTCATGCATATAATCAACACATTAAATGCCTTCAATAGGCCTATGAAGTTGGTATTATCTCCATTTCACAGATGAAGAAACTAAAGCTGAGAAAGATGAATTCTTTCCCTGAGATTCAACCTGTACATATTAGAGCTAGGATTCAAACCTAGGTCTGCCTCAAATCAAAGCCAGTGAGCTCTCTATTACTGGTACCGAGAATGGGTTCAAAAATAAGGAGAATGGGTTACCATTAGTGAGTGTATGGCTTATATATGTATAGCTATAATTTCTGGCAGATTATTCATAGCTACACTGTATATACATCATAAAATGCAAATTATTCACTAAACCATGATGTAGCAGGCCTCAGATATTTTCCTAGCCACTGATATATGCACCTCACAGAAAGATATTGTTTGCTGAGGAATTATTTAATTTATATTTGCAACCTTCCGTCTAAACAATGGACACCCCATGATTCAGATAAGAAAATCAAGGACCAGAAAAGAGCAGACCAGAGAAAGTCAGAATGCTCTAGTCTCAGAGCATGACCCTAGCCTGGGCTTTAAAGCATAGGTCTGAGAAAGACAGCGCATCAACCTGTTTGTCTTGGAGACGCACAGTTGACACTCTCCGTAGTTAAGGATCCCAAACAACAGACTAATTTGGAAGAGACACAAAGTTTGTATGACAATGCCAGTAGTAAAAAAAAAGGGAGAAGGACAACAAGGACATTTTGCAGTTTACAAACATTTGAAGACCTTGTTTTTTTAAAAAAAATCACTGGCCAAGAGCCAGTTTGATTTTCGCATTCCCATTTTCCCAGCTTTTCACATTGATGATGTATTTGTATAGTCCCAGCTTTTAAGCCAGTACAATCCTAAAAATCATATATGGATAGAATTATGAAAAACAGTTTATTTTATCCTGCGTATATTTTCTTCATTTATTAATAGTGTACTTACTGAGTACCTACTGTATTCCAGGTACTCCATATAGTTCTGGTGAAGAACCAGAAGTGATCATTTTTAACATCGTAAAATTAAATATGTTTCCGAATATGCTTCTATTTTCAAAAAATAATGAATAAGCACATTAGGCAGCAATAAATGACATGTGGGTAAATTTAAGGCACTGGAGTCCTTCAAGATCAGCAGATCAGCAAAATATACCACCAGAAGAACAGGTTTTGGCCCTCTAAATATGGCCACTGCCTCCTTCAACTCTCTTGACAGGCATAGCCAGGATATAGAATTTGAGTACCTTTGTTAGAATTGTCAACGAAGATATTTACTGAAAAATAAGTATTTTGCAAGAAGGGAATTTGTAAGGAGATGGTTTCTTAAGAGATTTTTTTTTTTTTTTTTTTGAGACGGAGTCTCGCTCTGTCGCCCAGGTCGGACTGCGGACTGCAGTGGCGCAATCTCAGCTCACTGCAAGCTCCGCTTCCCGGGTTCACGCCATTCTCCTGCCTCAGCCTCCCGAGTAGCTAGGACTACAGGCGCCCGCCACCGCGCCCGGCTAATTTTTTGTATTTTTAGTAGAGACGGGGTTTCACCTTGTTAGCCAGGATGGTCTCGATCTCCTGACCTCATGATCCACCCGCCTCGGCCTCCCAAAGTGCTGGGATTACAGGCGTGAGCCACCGCGCCCGGCCAAGAGATTTTTAAAAACTTTATTCAGATTAAAATTGTCTGATGGGAAATGAGTGAAATGTTGAATGACTGCCATTTCAGTTGACACTGAGGAGGTAAAACTACCCTTCCCCTAATTCTGCTTCTCAATGGAAAATACACCCCATCTCTTGGAGGCTAGCATTTCTGCAATGCTATCCTGCCTTTAGAAATACGTTCCTGGCACCTAAAAGGTGTGTAAGAAATGCATAAGAAATGACATTGCAAAAAGCAATTTAGAATGATATTCTAAACAATTAAGTCTAGGCTTTGGCTCCATGGTGAAGGGAGTGCAAGTGTTAAAATCTAACAGACTTGCATAACCTCCCTGAACTTGTTTCCTTCTTTGTAAAACAGGGGATGGTGTTGCTTTCCATACAGGTTGTAAATTGCGCATAAAGCCTGGCTCATAAATGAGTCCTATGTGATTTTTCAGTCATATTACTAAATATCATCTACTCATTTTAAATCTCAAGGATTTATTTCAGTGGTAGATATGGAGGAGAACAAATGCATTTCCAAAACTTCCCATGCCCCAAAATATGTAAATTGTTCCATACAGTACCATTTCCTGGAGTAGTTTCTATTCCCACCCGTGGCTGGTTTCCCCTAGGAGTCGCACCACCCACTGAATGGTTCAAACACTTTCCTGGTCTACATTAAGCAACTGTGAGTCCTTCTGTCTGCACAATTATTTTTATGTGCCATGCATATTTAACTAGGAGACCAAGGAACCTACTCCAAAGTTGAGGAATAGTGATACTTGTGTTCTTCTCCTTTGGGGCTGTGTGTGGACCATTGACTCATGTGGTTTGCATGTCTTGCTGATGAGTCCAGAGGGGTGGGCCCAGTCCACATGTGAGCCAATCCACGGCTCCATCCCTGGTCCCAGATCATAATGAAGCCTGATTATGGAACAACAGCCCCCGAGTGCTGAGGGGGCCTTCTGCTTTCCTGTCGGTTGTCCCACCATCTCAGGTTTAGGTCTGTTTGTTCATTAAAACAACAGTTAGACCCTGAATGCCTACCACATGCCAGCCCCATGCTAGATGCTGGGCTGAATAGAGTTGACATGCTTTGTGCCCTCAAGCCTACAGTCTGGTTTGAGAGGGAGGCACAGATAACCAAACAAGCAAATGTGTGATTATAAATTCTGAAAGGAACCACATGAAAAATGACAGAGTGCAGTGATAGAGAGTAGCAGGGGGGATCTATTTAACTAGGGCAGTCACAGGAGGCCTCTCCCAGCGTGGCACCTAAGCTGAAAACTGAGTGGGAAGAAGAAGCCAGCCATTTAAAGAGCAAAGGGAAGAATGCAAACACCGAAAGTTCTTGTAGTTACATACAGTGAGCCCCTTCCTGCTGGACACTGTGGCTACAGTGAGGATGTGGGATAGAGCCTCTGCTCAGCATGCTTACGTTGTGATGGGCCAAGAGACACATCATCACGCTCTCCATGGGCCCTCGGTGGTGTTCAGAGGCTTTGCAGAACAAGGAGGAAGCACATATAATTCCTGCTCCCCAGTTAGGGGCCACTCTACCAAGTCCCTGATGGAACTCTGCAGACAACTGATAGGAATTTAGGTTTATTTTTGAAAGAGGAGTGAAAGCCGTCAAGTTGTAAACTCTGCCTTTGGAAGGCAAAATTCATTCTTTCCCCATACCTCAAACCCGGGTTTTCATATTTTAGGAAGACTGACCCCTAAAGACAGAAAAACCTCAACCTGCTCCCTGAACCATAGTTGGAAAGAGGCTGTTGCCAGTCAAATGGTCCTAAGACAGTATCCAGCTTCTGTCATCTTTTACAGTGTTCTAGAATTCCTTAACAAGAATCTGAACATATTTTTCTTCTCATTTTTGATATCACCTTGTTTTTATAGAACGCTTTATATTTTTCAAAAGATTTCTCACATCTTTTTGGATCCTCATAGGGACTCTGTGAATGAGGAAGACAGATTTGGAGTATCGATGAAGCAGAAAGTTAACAGAAGTTAGGCTTTGGTTCCTTTGCAAAGTACTCACCCTGCACCCCCGAGCCTTCTAAATATGGAATATATCATATTCCAAATGTTCATTTTAATGGAGGAGGCAATTTGATGGATGGAGGGGGGGAAAAAGCTCAGGCTTTGTGGCAGAAAGATACGTGTTTTTAATGTGGGCTCTGCCACCTCGCTAATGTGTCATCTTGAGCCCCAGTTTCCCCACCTGTAAACAGGGATAACAATATCAAACTCATAGTCCGTGGGGATTAAACACAGTAAAAAGGAAAACACCCAGCTCAGTGCCCATGTGAGGGTTCTTTGTCCTCCCTTGCCCACTTTTTCTCAACACTCCAAGAGGCTAAACCCAGCAGATGCATAGAAAGTAGTACTCCCAGAGCCTCATGTTCCCTGCCAACCCTGTTCTTCCTCCTTTCTACTTGATTGCAGAATTTGGCAACACCATCTTCCCAAGCCTAATTTCCAGAGTCATCCTTAAAAAAACCTCCCTCTCCTTTAACGCCTACATCTGGTACTCACCAACCCTGCTGTTTCTGCCGCCTAGAGATTTCTCAGATCTGCTCCCTCCTCCCATTGCCATTCATTTATTCATTCAGCAACTATTCATTGAGCACCCACTGCAAGTAGCCACTATGTTGGACCCTGGGAATTTAGTAATGAACAAGTTCTAATTGCTGAGCCTTATCCTCACTATTTGAATTATTTCCCTTTCCTGGCCTGTGGACAGTGCCTCCCCACTGCAGCCCATTCTCAATATTGGCATCAGAATTATTGTTATAAACCAACTCTGCCATCATCATCCTTTCCCTCCTTTTTTTTTTTTTTTTTTTTTTTTTTTTGAGATGGAGTCTCGCTCTGTCACCAGGCTGGAGTGCAATGGCACAATCTTGGCTCACTGCAACCTCCACCTCCTGGGTTCAAGCAATTCTGCTGCTTCAGCCTCCTGGGTAGGTGGGACTACAGGCGTGCACCACCATGCCCAGCTAATTTTTGTATTTTTAGTAGAGATGGGGTTTCACTGGGTTGGCCAGGATGCTCTCGATCTCTTGACCTCGTGATCCACCCACCTCAGCCTCCCAAAGTGCTGGGATTATAGTCATGAGCATCCTTTCCCTTCTTTAAAACCTTGGTTGGTTTCCTGTCTACTTCAACATAACAGAAACAGCTTGTATTTACCGAGTATACACTATATGCTGGACATCTTTCCAAGCACTTTACACGTATTTTCTAATTTGTTTAAGTTGAAGACCAAATTCCTTTTGAAGGCTCTTAACAATCTGGCTCTGACCCACCTTCATATCCCCCAGTCCTGCTACTCACACATATGGTTCCCCCTTAGCAAAATTAATAGGGAACTAAGTAAAATTTTGAAACCATAAACAGACATGTCCTGTTGTGTCCTTGCACACGTCTGAGACTGCACACGGTGTCTCCTCTGTGTAGAATCGCCTTCCTATAGCTCTTTACTTGGAAATCTCCTTCTCAGCCCTGAAGCCTGTCTTCTATTCCGTGAGGCCATCCCCAGCTCCCCAGGTAGAGATTGCCACTCCCTACTTTTCACACCACTCTGAACCTACTCCCTAAGAGCATCTGTCACTTCATCTTCCCCACTAGGCCCAGAGCTTCTCAAAGCAATAAGTATGTCCTGTGCATTTTTGTGTGCTCCTAACCAACTTAACATCAGCCATCACATTCCACCCTCAATGTGTATTTGCTGAAGGAATGAATGGATGGATGAATGTGTACTACTGTGGGCTGCATTGTTTGTAGCTCCCATCAAGGCATGACTCTCAAAATAGAAGCTGCCAGTAGGAACTTAGAACTGTAGTACTGTAGCAGTTCTGTCAAAGACTCAGTGACCAACTTTTACAAAACATGCTGCGGTTCTTTAATAAGCCCTCTTCCTTTAGTGTTTTGCATATTAGGTAGCAAAAGTAATAGAACTCTGTGCCTAGTTAAAGCATTGTTCCTTTTTCTGCATAAGGTTAGGTCTTGGCTGGCCTGGGTGCTGTGAAAATGGGAGCATTGGCAGGCTGGGCAAAGAGAGTTGGAGAGAATCTTTTTTTTTTTTTCCATCTTAAAAATTGCCTCTCTGGGCCGGGTGCGGTGGCTCACGCCTGTAATCCCAGCACTTCGGGAGGCTGAGGCGGGCGGATCACGAGGTCAGGAGATCGAGACCATCCTGGCTAACACAGTGAAACCCTGCCTCTACTAAAAATACAAAAAATTAGCTGAGCGTGGCGGCGTGTGCCAGTAGTCCCAGCTACTCAGAAGGCTGAGGCAGGAGAATGGCGTGAACCCAGGAGGCAGAGGTTGCAGTGAGCCGAGATCACGCCACTGCACTCTGGCCTGGGCGACAGAGTGAGACTCCGTCTCAAAAAAAAAAAAAAAAAAAAAAAAAATGCAATGCTTCTCTGGTCTCCATCAACTACATTTTGTGGAAAACAATGTATAAGCCTCCAAAGGAAGCCATCTGCCCAAATTTTTATCCAAGATCACACTGAACTCTTGGAAAAGCAGTATCTGCTAAAGGCACTTATAATTTCTCATATTTGATATCCAAATTACCCATCTTGCAAAAAGTCTCCAATTGTGGGATATATGACAATAGACCAGGAAGTACGGCAACAAGAAGCTCTTTTACTTCCTCAGACGTAATTTAACAAAGACATAAAGAACAAAAGGTACTTTTGAAATTGATTTTTTTTCATTTAATGAAGATAAGAGTTTTAAATAGTGTGTCATGGGGTTGTCTGTCTGTCTCTGTGTTATTTGGAAGTCACATAAATTTTCTGCAGGCAGGATTTAATCATCAGGTAAACGGAAGTAATCAGACAAAGCCCATTTATTCTGTTGTCTTCATGATCAATTTAGATCCTCCAGCTTCCTAATAAATTGCTTGGCAGTCAGTCCAAATTAACCAAAGACATACATCTATTTGACCTTGTATATAGACAAGAAATTAGCCATGAGGCCATTCCAAGGGATAAGTTGAAATTCAAAGTTTAAATACTCTTGAATTTAAGCCCTTTTGTATTGAAGTGAATATCTTATAAAATCTTTCTCCCTGCAAAAATCCTCATAAATGGGAGCAGGGTTACTCTTTTAAAATTAAGACGGTCTTTTTCTGCTTCTACTTGACTAGAGATTTTGCAAATAGCAGTGTACCTGATTTTAAAATAGAAAAAAAAAGTATTTGAAAACTTATATTTTATTAAGTTCCTAGCTAGATGCAAAACTTTTTTCTCTGAAATTCATGATTTAAATTACTCGGGTTTTGGTTTGCTCAAATGCAGTCTTTTTTTAGGAAACAAAAAACAAGCCATACTTATGTAAGATTCAAGTGCTTCATAAAACCACCATGTTAGTAATACTTGTTTTTGAAATGTTGTGTTTGGAAAGGTGGCATCTCTTTTCTCCCAGCCTCCTTAATTAGCATTCCTTATATGCAACATTTCTCTAAGAGACACTACAGCTAAGGAGCTAAGAATGCTGCAAGGATTTTTACCTCTGCTCATAATTTTCCTGCAGGGAGGCTTCAACACATTCTGTCCATGCTCATGAAATAGAAATATCATTTTTTATAAACCTTGATGCGAGTTAAGACTAAATCTAAATAAAAAAAAAAAAGAAATGCTGGGGAAAACACTTCATCTCAAAGAATTAAAATATGAGATTTCAACATTTGAGGCATTTGACCTGAAATGTTAATAAATTCTTTTAAAAGTTGAGATTAGAAGAATTCTATGGCAAACAATCATTTTTCTTATCTTGAGGATGAACTTTGGCCTTTAAAAAATTCTTCATGAAAAATCGCAAATCAGGCCAGGCGCAGTGGCTCATGCCTGTAATCCCAGCATTTGGGGAGGCCGAGGTGAGCAGATCACTTGAGGTCAGGAGTTTGAGACCAGCCTGGCCAACATGGTGAAACCCCATCTCTACTAAAAATACAAAAATTAGCCAGGGGTGGTGGCAGGCGCCTATAATCCCAGCTACTTGGGAGGCTGAGGCAGGAGAATCGTTTAAATCTGGGAGGCGGAGGTCACAGTGAGCCAAGATCACGCCATTGCACTCCAGCCTGGGCAACAGAGCGAGACTCCGTCTCAAAAAAAAAAAAACCACACATACACAGAAATTAATCCAGGTATGGTGGCATGCACCTATAATTCCAGCTACTCTGGAGACTGAGGTAGGAGAATTGCTTGAACCTGGGAGGAGGAGGTTGCAGTGAGCTGAGATCATGCCACTGTACTCCAGCCTGGGCGACAGAGCGAGACTCCGCATCAAAAAAAAAAAAAAAAATCACAAATTACTTGAATCTCATGAAATTTGAACCAGGGATTTCAGGGAGATTTAATTTAAGTGTGGGTGGAAAAAACTTCGATGTGATCAGTAAGTGTGATAGTAACACTATAGCATTTTCATCATTAATTACACATTTCATGGATATCAAGGGCCCACTATGTGAATAATATTATGTTTATTAATTAATGACATGCCACACACTATCATCATTCTAGGGCAATATAAGAATAAATTACCAATTTTTTTATTGTATGTTGTTATTCTATCCAGCTTAATTTGACAATTTTCTTGAAATGAAAAATTAATAATTCCTCACTGTGTGTGAATGACATATGTTGCTAATGAGTTCAGTGACAACTGGAGATTAAACTGTTTTCTAACAAATACTAAGTCATTGTTTGTTGCTTGGTTTTCATTAGAGACTTGTAAATTATGATGAATTAAATTAGCAAGTGGGGATATTACTTTTCCATTTGATGATTCAGTATCTATTTCTTAGAAAGCATTGCTCTACTTTTCACTTTTTCATCTTGAACTCATAATTTTGATCAACAAATTTGCAACCTGATACAAAATAAACATGTATTAAAAATTGACCCACCATATGATTCTTCAGTTCTGTTTCTGGATATTTATCCAAACAAATTTAAATTAGGATCTTGGCCAGGCGCAGTGGCTCAAGCCTGTAATCCCAGCAGTTTGAGAGGCTGAGGCGGGCAAATCACCTAAGGTCAGGAGTTTGAGACCAGCCTGACCAACATGACAAAACCCCCTCTCTACTAAAAATACGAAAATTAGCCAGGCATGGTGGCGCATGCCTGTAATCCCAGCTGCTCAGAAGGCTGAAGCAGGAGAATCGTTTGAACCCGGGAGGCAGAAGTTGCAGTGAGCCAAGATCTCTCCACTGCACTCCAGCCTGGGTGACAGAGCAAGACTCCATCTCAAAAGAAGAAAAAAAATTAAGATCTTGAGGAGATACCTGCACTCCCGTGTTCATTGCAGCATTAGTCACAATGTCCTAAGACAAGGAATCAATCTGTATTTCCATCATTAGATGAATAAAGAAAATGTAGTGTATACATACCATGGAATATTATTTGGCCATGAAAAAGAAGGAAATCCTGCCATTTGCAACAATATGGATGAACCTGAAGGACATTATGCTAAGTGAAATAAGCCAGGCACAGAAAGCAAATACTATATGATCTCACTTCAATGTGGAATCTAATATAGCTAAACCCGTAAAAGCAGGCAGTAGAATGGTGGTTACCAGGGGCTGGGGGCAGAAATGGAAAGGTGATGGTTAAATAGAAAATTTTACTTATGCAAGAGAAATAAGCTCTAGAGATCTACTGTAGCATAGTTCCAGTAACTAACAATAGTGTATTGTGTATTTAAAATTTGCCAGAAGAGGAGATCTTATGTTAAGTATTCTTACCACACACACAAAAATGATGATAATAATAATGAAAGGAGCTGGAGGAAAATTTGGGAGCTGATGGGTATGCTTATAGTCTTGATGGTGGTGATGGTTTGATGTGTATGTACTTATCCCTAAATTGATCAAGTTGTATGCATTAAATACGTACAACCTTTTACATGTCAGTCATACTGGAATAAAGTGGTTTAAGAAAATAAAAACAAAGAGACTTCATTTTTTCACACAATGTGCTAAGTAGACTTTTGTTTATGGATCAGGACTAGTTTGATAACTGTCATTCCAAAGTTCTGTTGCCGTTAATTGTTCTTTTGCTATTATTTGTTCAAAAGTAGTATTTAACTCGAAAGAGTAGAAGATGAGTAGAGGTTCACTAGATGGAGAAGAGGAAAAGGAGACATTCCAGAAAGAAAGCACAGCTTATGTGAAAGTCCACTGATGTGTTCACATTTTAGCTTAAAACCTGAAGGAAGTGACCTGCTTTATTGCAGAGTGTGTGTTCTGGCCCTCAAAGCATCCTCCACCTCCAGAATCATCAGTTGTCTCCATATCTTTACAAAACAGCTTACAAAAGAGGTTTTCGGCTCATCCACTGCACAGGTCAACCTGGTCACTCAACATACCTGTTCCTTTCCTTGCCAGGGTGGGATGACCAGCACCATCAGCAGCTAATGATTCTCCATTCTCCAGCTTTGTGAACCATGGCTGGCCTAGGCCAAGAGAAAGAGGGAGAGAAAATTACAAAGAGTTTGCACCTTCCCCCAAATGGATTCTTTTTTACAATGAAACCTTCATTAACTGGAACTTTTGGATAGCTAATGTTGTCAGGCCTTGCTTTTAGTGCAAGAGGCAATGAAAACTAACTGCTCCTAAGAATTCCTTTATTTAAAAGAGCTAAATCTTACAGGATACTGCTGGAGCCAGTGTGCATTCCTCAGCCACCTTTTGCAGCAGCACTGTGGCCCAGTGACAAATAGTCTACACAGAGCATGACTCAGATGCAATGCAGTATTCCAGATATCTAGGGAAGAATTAAAGACTGTCAATAAACCACCCTTAGGCAGGAAAGAACAAAATATACATATATATATATGTGTGTATGTGTACATATATGTGTGTGTGTGTGTGTGTGTGTGTGTATATATATATATATGAAGAATTCTAATAAGACCTCCAACAACAGAAAAAAAAGTATCTTTTTAACCATAAGCTAAACTAATTAAATAATTGAATTAATTGAAAATTTTGTACATTCTGTATGCATATCATTGTACTAAGGTTACTTAACACACCACCTCATTATCTAAAGGTAATAGAGGTTTTTGTCATGTTAATACGCAGCATTGAACCACTAATGCAGCCCTTGAAAGTTACCTTAATTAAAAAAAAAAAAAAGTTTTAATTATCTGGGAATCATTACTGACTGACAGAGATTTTTAGATTGCCCTCAAATTTTCCAGTGCCTTTTCCAGGCTGGACTTCCTCTTCTGGCATTAAGGATTTGGAAATAATGGTGAATGAGAGAATAAAAATCAACAGAATCATTTCTGCACTAGGTATATTAATGGATAAACTTGAAAAGACTTAGAATAGACTGCAGAGTTCATATTATAATAATAAAGTACTGGTTGTTCATATAAGCACCCAGCCTTACATTTAATGAGTCTCTGGGAGAAAAATAATCAGCCACTTTTGAGCAGAAGGTAGGAGCCAGGCACTGTGCTAGGTACGTCCATTAAAATTGTCTCACTTGAGCCACACAGCATCTCTGGGAGAGAAGTGGCAGCAAGATAGAATGAATCCAAAGTGCACAAATTTTGGAAGTCGGAACTGGATTCAAATCCTGATTTTGTCATCACTTTGACAAGTTCCTTAAATTCCTGAACCTCAGTTAATTCATTTCTAAAGTTAAGGTAATTACCAGCCTTGTTAGGTTGTAATAGCAAGGTAAATGAGATTATTTATTTGGTAAAATTATTCTAAATGGGTTCATTCCCTCCCCATTAGACCCATACTTTTGCATTCTTTCTGCTAAACCCCTTCCTACGTTTAACTAAAAATTCAGCTATTTCTTTGAACTGTGGCACAGCCATATCTTTCCCATCTTGAACTTGAACAATTGATTTCTTTTGGATCCTTAATGTAAGACATTATATTTATCCCTGTTAAATTGCATCTTTTTGGTGTCAGCTTGGCCTTTTCAGCCCGTTGAGAGAATGTTGAATTTTACATTAGCCTATTATTATATTAAATATTTTTCACAGTTTTATGTCATTGAAAAATCTGATAAGTATTCTTCTTATGTCTATTTTGATGCCATTAATAAAAATATTGAATAGAGCAGAATCCAGGGGCAGAGCCTGTGGCATTCAATCAGTGGTCCCCCAACAGGTTATGACAGAGCCATTCATCAAGCCTCTTGGCTATAGATGTACAACCAGCTGTGAATCCACTTAATTTTTCCCTCATAGAGCCCACCATCTTGCAGATAATGAAAGACTTCATCAAGTGCTTTATTGGAATCAAAGACACTATATCTATGACATTCTCCTGGTCTGTCAACCTCATACTAATACCTGTCAAAAAAAGAAAGTCAATAAAGTTTGGCAAAAACTGATTTTCAATGAGGCCACCAAAGTTTGAAGAGTGGCTGATGATGCAGGGATTGTTGCCAGGGAAAAGGTGCATGGCTGGCTGCTGAGCTCCTTCTGGTGGGGTTCCAGGGGAGGGCTCAGCCCTTCCATTTCAGAAACTGGGCTTAATCAAAACACTGAATGAAGTTAGAATTTTATGAAGCTCATTTTATACCAGGCACTGTGCTAAATGCATTGCATATGTCTCATTTAATCCTAACAATTACACTAAGAGGCGAATACTGTTTCTTAGCTCCATCATTTTACACAAGTTAGGTGATACTGAGAGACGTTAAGTAATTGACCAAAAGGCATATAGAGTAAATGCCAGTACCAACACTCACACTCAGGTCATCCTGACACCAAGCCCTGCTCTTAATCACTATGCCCTCCTGAGCAGGTTCTGTGCCTCGGTGGTGTGGATTTAATTTAATTAAGGAGAGATCAATGTATCAAGATGTCCATTCTGTTAATACATGATGGGAAGGATTCTCTGACCAAATGCTCCCCTCCCTGATCCCCCGTCTTCAACATTTCCTCTTCTCATATCTGGGCACTCAGAAAACTGATTCAGCAATTACTGCTTCCTGGTACATGTGGTATTGAAGGAAAGGGAATTTTGAGGGATGTTTCATTTAGATCAGTACAAAACCTGATAAAATAACCCCTTGAGTAATCAGGGAGCTTACTTATGTTAAGATTCAGTGTCTCCCCATGCTGCTGCCAAAGCTAGATAGTTTCACTGCTTCAATATGCCCTCTACCCTTGCTTCTCCACCCCACCCTGGCACACCTTCTTTATTTAGCTGGGTTTCAGTATCACCGATTAAACTGTAGTCACACTGCCAGTCTATTTCATTGACTCTTCATGGGCTAGAAAGTCATTCTGACTCCAGTCGCTTTGTTTGTCCTAGTCTGTTTTGTGTTGCTATAACAGAACATCTGAGACTGGGTGATTTATAAAGAAGAAAAGGTTTATTTAGTTCATGGTTCTGCAGGCTAGGAAGTTCAAGAAGCATGGTGCCAGCACCTGCTCAGCTTCTGGTGAGAATTTCTGGTGTTGTATCACAACATGGTGAAAGGTTAAAGGGGAAGCTGACGTGTGAAGAGGCAAAACCCACAGGATGTCCTGGCTTCTTAACAACCCACTCTTGCAGGAACTAATTCATCCCTGTGACAACTAATCCAGTCTTGCCAGGGCAAGAACTCACTCACTCCTGAGAGAATGGCATAAGTTATTTCAAGGAGGATTCGCCACCTCATGACCCAGATATCTCCCATTAGGCCCCATCTGCCAACACTGCCACATTGGAGATCCAATTTAAAGCTGAGTTTTTGTCAGAGAAAACTCAAATCATAGCACTGTTGATGTGATTAATTTGGTGCTTAGAATGCAACCTTATTCTCTGGTTCTTGAGTGTCATCTCATGATCACCACCTGTTACCCATCCAGAGAGAACCCATGTTGGCTCCTAGTGATCACTCCGCAAACATCCATAAGCCATTTGTTGTAAGTACTTAGAAAGCATAAACATTTTTACTGAAGTGTTATGACTTGGAGGATTAAGACCCTCAAAAATATACATACATAGGAAAGTCGTACTAATTTACTGTATTGTGCACTTATAATAAAGAATATGCTACTGATCTATTAGCCTATAGTTAAATAGTACTAGGCTCCTAGAACAAAGCTACCCTGCAGGTCACATTTTCCTTAAGACATCCTGCAGTGTATATGTTGCTCACCCTTCCATCCAGCTGATAAGTGGTATATTCCAAGACAACAGAGGTCTTCTCGAGCAGCCTGGATTACAGCCTTCAGGAATGGCCTTATTTATACGATACTGCATACTGAATGCATTCTCCCAGCATTATTCTTTTTTCAAAAACAACTTCATTGCAATTTAATTACACATCATGAAAATCGCCCATTTTATGTATACAGTTGGGTAAATTTCAGTAAACCTATACAGCTATCCAACCATCAACACAATCCCATTTTAGAACATTTCCATAACCCTAAAAAGTTCCTTTATGCTCATTGCAGTCAATCCCTGCTCCTATTCCTACTCCAGATAACCACTGATATGTTTTCTGTACATATAGTTTTATGCTGTCTAGAAACTCATGTAAATGGAATCCTACAATATTCTATCATCTTGTGTGTGCAGCTTCTTTCACTTAGCATAATGTTTTTGAGGTCTGTTGATGCTATAGCCTGTATCATGTAGCCCATTCCTTTGTATCATTAGGCAGTATTTTGTTGCATGAATATACTGTATTTTACTTATCCATTCACCAGTTGATCGGACATTTGGATTATTGCTAATTTTTAGCTATTATGAATAATGTTGCTTAAACATTCATGTACACATCTTTATGTGGGCATATGTATTCATTTTTAGCTAGGAGTTGCTAGCTAGAGTCAACTTGCTGGGTTATATGTTAGAAAACTGGGTCAAAATTTGAGAAACTGGCAGTTTCCTCAAAAGTGACTGTGCCATTTACAATCCTACCAGCAAGATGAGAGTTCCAGTTCCTCCACATCCTTATCATCCGAGGTAGGGTCATTCTTTTCTAACATTAGCCATTCTTATGGGTTTAGGGTGATTCCTAGCTCTACTCTGTGATGTGACTCTCCAGAAGATAAGGAAGGGGATAGTGGTGGGGGTGGGGACAAAGGGAGAAAAGGGACGATAAGAAATCTCTCTCACTGTTGTTACCCCTTTTTTTTTCCTCTTTTTGAACTCATCCTTGGGACTCAACCTCTGCTTTCCTTATAATACTTTCTTTTAACCTTAACATCCTTTTTGCCTCCATACGTAGCTGAAATATGGTAAATGTCCAATTCTAAAGTGCAGTAGTAGCTGGCTAGGCTAAGTAAAATCTGTGGATGCATTTTTAAAACTTTAGTTTAGCTAGTTTTAGGTAGATTTTTTACCTCCTCCCACATAAAACCCTTTTATCAGAGCTGCTGACAGAAACAGAATTGGCTGGATTGAATTCACTGCCTCTTTCACTATTCTGTCTGCTGATGGAGGGTGTTATATGCCATTAAAGTAGCTAAACCTCAAGAAGAGGGGCAGAGCAGCAACAGAGCAGAAAAGACCACTTATAATCCAAAAACGGAGTAACCAGGCCCTCACTTACCTAGGATTGTCTCTTGAGACTCAATTTGTCTTAGAGCTTCTTTTACAAATATGGGTGTGTTCATGTATGTTGCGTGTTTCTGTTTATTTTATATGGATATATGTTAATGAATTTCGGTAACCATAATTTCCTTTACAATACTGAGAGCATCAGTCACACAATATAATTGATCATAAATTTTATGATCTCAAAAATTGAAAGGAAATAAAGTTAGAAAATACCCTCGTTAGCAGTAAATATCCTGCATGGTTAGCAAAATATAGCAAAACAGCAGTCTCTCTACTTCTTAAGATGCAGAGCATTTTTATGTATTCATAGTACTGCAGGGAGATTTGCACTTTTCAGATGCTATTAGCACATCTTCACATCTCCAAGAATAACTTCAGATCTGGGATGTTGCACATACTTCCCATTTTCTTTTGTAACAAATTTTTCCTTCAATAACCCCAATGATTGGGTTATTGAGCAATGTAAACCAAATTTCTCCTATAAAAACTTAACTGGCAGCAAGCTTTACTTAAAAGTAACTTTCAGGGAAATTAGTTGGGAACTGATTTATTGTTTTGTTTTGTGTGTGTTTTTAATCTTCTGAAGCAATGTTTACATGAAAATCAGAAAATTAGTACCTTCATCAAGAGGTAATTCAGAGAGCTTTACAAATAAACCTAAGATTCTCATTGATTACAAAAGAAGGCTTTGTACCTCCAGAGCCCTTAAATGTTCAGAGGCAATTATACCATTAAGGTCTCTCTTTCCATGCAAAGATGATCTCATTTCCTCATAATTAGTATTTCCTATTTAATGAGACAGACTACATTCAGAAAACACGCATTCCTCCTCCCTCGCTCTTTCTCACTATCCTTTGCTCTCTCTGGAGCTGTATAACTTGGAACCTCTTTTCCTTTCCATAGGTTAGTACAGTTGTATTTCGGTGGCATCTGTCAAACAGTTATTTGCTGATTATTTAGTAGCAGTTGGTTTGGAAAGTAATAGCAGAAGGAAAAGGGAATTTGGAAACTGTAGTCAGAGGGATTTTTTTTAGATGAAGTGGCAGAGGTAAAGGGAAAGAGTTACAGATGGTGGGATGTAAGGAAGTTTTGCATCACCCGTGGCAAGACTGTGTGTAGGAATTAAGGTGCCAAAGCTCAGAAAGAATAGAAGACTCTTGAGAGTAGAAACGGAATGAAATAAGACATAGGTGTTATTTTCCTTCCCTCTTTTTCTTTTAGAGACATCTCCCCTGCTTCATTTGTTGTCCACCTTGACAGGGGTTTGAGTTGAGATCTTAGAGATCACCTTTGAGTTGTATTCGTGAGCTAGATGCATTCAGGGACCCTGAGATGCAGTGACACTATATCTGACTTTTCAGCGCCTAGAGTCTAGTTGATCAGGTAAGACACATACGCAAAAAAAAGAGAGTTAGCTATACCCACCAGGATGTATCATGTGTCAACAGCACAGGGTAGACCACAGATACTAAAGAAATTCAAAGAGAGAAAGGTCTATGTAATCCAAGGTGAGCAAGCAAGGCTTTAGGTGGATCTCGATTTCATCCTTGTGAGATTCTAATGAAAATCCAGGCAGAGACACTCTGGAATATGCACAAGTGTGTATACATGGAGCAAAGAAATAACAGGAGAGAAGATTGGAGAAGTGGAAGGCATGATTCTGGATCTAAAATCTACCCAGAGATATCCATAATGGCACATTTAAATATCAAAGGTAATATCTAAATATTGTTGATAGGGTAAGAAAGTTTTAAGTTTCTGTTATACTTAAAAGAGAAATAATACCTTAGTTAGTACCTTAGTTCTGTGCTTTATAATTTCCAGATAAGCTTCCTAGTCATTCTCATTCATTCCACAGAAACCCCTTTTAGGCTGGGAAGGCTGTGTAGACGTATATATTTAGATGGATGGATGGATGATAGAAAGATAGATACATACATACATACATAGATGCCTACATACATACACACAAATATACACACACATACGTTCACATGGTTTTAATATTTTTTTACTGCCTGGATTGAGAGCCCTGGAGGACTCGATATTTTTTCTTCTTTGTGGCTCACAAATTGCATAACATGGTGGTTATATGTGAAAGGCATCCAAGAAATATTTGTTGAATAAGACTGTTATTGTCCCCTTTATATTACAACTCAAAGACATTAAAGATTACTTAGCTAGAAGAAGAGTAAGAGAAGAACCAAATGTCATGACTTTCTGCTCCTGAGGTCTTTCTGTTCACCATCCCATGCTGGACATGGATTATTGCAGTTCAAGAAATAAGAGAGAAAAATGTCATGGTCAAAACTGTATGCAAGTTCAAGTGAGGATTTCTAAGATTGCAGGAATTCGAAATGGAATTTTACACAGGCACTTTTGCCTTGATGCTTTCAGGTGGAAAGTGTTTAGAAATTGTTATCAGGCAGGGGGGAAAACTTTGACAATTATTTGCAATTTTAGTTCTGCAGATGAGAACAAAGCAGATCAGTTTCCACCGCAACTTCCATTCTTGGCATTTAGGAACACCAGAACTGCTCAGAACACTTGCAGTTTTATTAGAAGAGGCTACTCTGAAGCCAGGTGAGCTCTACAGACTTGCATAGGAGCTGTTCTCTTTAGTTGGCCAAGTATCTAGAAAGGAAAGGGGAAATAATCTACCCCCTAAAATGGAAGGGAGTTCCAAATGCAGGATGAACTCCCTCCCTCAATAACAATCTAGAAATAAAAAGGATGCAGTCGCCTGGTGGTGAGAACTAGAATCGCTTGTGTGCCCAGCATCGCTGCATGTGTACTCTCTGAAGAATTCCAGCTACATGTGCTGTTTCACATCTGTCAGCTAAATCTGAACTCCAAAAACATAACAAAATGCAAAATATGGCACTGAGGAACATTATGTGGGTTTGTGATTTTCCCAGGAGTTGGTCCAGCCGGCAATAAACGGATTGAGATTTCATGCAGAACATAGAGACAGACTGTTGCTACATGACTTTTCTGCGTGACTTGTGTGATTCTTGCAGTCTTCTTTGGTGTTTTCTATGCTGTGTCTATGTAAACATGGCATTGAGAACGGAAATTGTAGGATGATAGAATTATTTAAGCATGTGGAATGTTTGCTATCCAGAAAGGAGCACAAACCAAAATTTTCAATGATAGGGGAAATGTTTAGTGAATTATGACATACTTCTCTGAAACAATAATGTGATAATATGGAGTTAGTTAAAATGTCTACTGAGAGTTGTATATGTAGAAAAGTTCTTTAGCTTTAAAGAACTGAAGAAAAGGCGAAAATGGTACTCGTGATATGACCACCACAAAACATAATCATGGGGGAGAAATGAAATATATCTATTTAGATATAGTTTGTGGATTACTGGTTCTCTTACTTGTTTTTCTGTATTTTATAAAGTGTCTAAAATGGGAAAGCAGTATAGCTATTATAATCAAAATGTTATTTACTTTTTTAAAAGCAGATAAAAATGCTTCATTTACATCATGTTTAAATTAAACATGTTAAATTTAATGTGATATAAATTTAAACATGTTTAATTTTATATCACATTAAATTTTAAAAGAAAAAAGGAAGTTTAAGTACATTGACTTTCAGCTTTGCTATGACATATATTCTGAAGTAAGCTATTCCATGTAAGGGTATATCATGATACTGTCTGGCAGAATTCCCACAGCCAAACCCAGAAACATAAACAGCAGTGACGTGATATTATAGGATTGTCATCCAGCATGATTATTCTCCTGTTGCTGAGATTCACAGTGGGGTTTCCGGAATTATCCTGTTTAAGTGATACTGGAGAAAATTCCTGGAGGCGGCTACTGCTGTGATGAATGGATACCCACCTGTGGCTGACTCCTGTGGTTTCAACAATACTCCTTGCCTTTGACCCACATTCCTCTTACAATAGTTGTAATAAAAACCATTAAGAACACATGCCATAACTTTTATTTCCTTTTCTTTTTCTTTTTTTTTTTTTTCTGAGACAGAGTCTTGCTCCATCGCCCAGGCTGGAGTGCAGTGGCGTAATCTCGGCTCACTGCAACTTCCACCTCCCGGGTTCAAGTGATTCTCCTGCCTCGGCCTCCCGAGTAGCTGGGACTACAGGCGTGCGCCACCATGCCTGGCTAATTTTTTTTTTTTGTATTTTTAATAGAGACGGGGTTTCACTGTGTTAGCCAGGATGGTCTCGATCTCCTGACCTCGTGATCCACCCATCTCAGCCTCCCAAAGTGCTGGGATTACAGGCATGAGCCACTGCGCCTGGCCAACTTTTATTTCTTATCTATTGGAACTCAGCAGTTGGAGCCACATTCTTATGCTTATGTGTATAATAATTTTTCTTAGTTAATGGTGTGATAATGTAGTTATTTGTGCCTGATCTCTCCAATATTGTAAGCTCTGTTCATAGACGTTCCCCTTTGAATCCTCCAAATAATTGGTAGCAGAAATTCAGTATTGTTTTTTGAGCCGAACTGAATTGCTTCAACATCTTAGAATAACTGAATCTCCAATATATTACCATTATTTTGTCTTTTACTCCCATTATGTTCTTGTCTGAACAGTTAACTTTAACCCAAACAGTAACGAAAACACAGAATTCTTCTCTACTGCAGTAACCATTGCTTTGGTGTTCTTGAAAACTAAAGTTTTCACACTGGTTATCACCCATGATGCCTGGGGTTGTAGGATTCCACTACTCAGGAACCCCATCTGCTTGCAAAGACAGTCTGCTATAAAGCCTTTCTCACTCAAGGCAAACCCAGCCACCTTCAGACTTGACTTTTCCATAATGACCATCTTTCTTTGGAATATTCTCTCTGTTATTGTTTTGCCAATTGGATTTCTTACTGTCAACTTGGGCGTTTTGAAGCCCACTGTCACCCTCTCTACCACTCCACAGTGAGCCAGCTCGGATTGAATCTTGGGTGATGAGGGTTTCCTGTCCTTGGTCTATATGTGTATTTCACAGGGAATACTGTGAGGTACCTGCCCTTGTAGCCTGTAGCTTTAACAATGCTATAAGCCTTACTAAAAAGTGAATTATTTTAATGTTTTCAGATGCTCAAAACCCTATATAAATGCTTTAAACATGATAACTCAAAGTAAGAAGCAACATCTTAAGAAGCCTCATGATGACATAACCAATAGTGTAGCTAAAGGTCAAAAGGTATAGAGGTTAACAGCAAGAAGAAGAGCAAGGAGAGTAGTGAAGGGCTGGTTAAGAATCAGGTGCACATCCTAGCCATGTACCTCTTAGCAGTGTGACCTTGGGCAAGTTACTTAGCATTTCATAATCTCAGATTTTGCATCTCTAAAATGAGAATGGTTTTATTGTATGCTATTGTAAGGATTACAGGAGATATTTATATTTGTGTATAACCACTTGGTAGTTTCTAGCACAACTAGGACATAGAACTAGAGTATAGAAAATGTTCAGTAAATGGAAGTTACCATCAGTATCTTCAGTGATGGGGGCTCATTTCTGATAAAAAGGAGAGTTATCCAGGTGATCTTGATAGTACTAACCATCCTGTGTTAATTCGTTTCCTGTCTATCTGTCTATCATCTATCATCTATCCATCAATCCATTCATTCATCCGTCCACCCTCATCTGGGTAGCTCTATGGAGGAGACAGCAATGAAGCTTCAGTGCAGAGGAGTGCCTCAGCTTACCTCCTATTGAAGATTAAGCGATGTGGATGGCAGAAGAGCATATTCTTTTAAATTGGGTCTGGCCTCAGACTAATAGCTAGAAATCAGCCATGTTCCTACTAGGATAAGTTACTTCATTGAGGGCTTTCCCAAGGTTAGCCACATCTCTTCATCCAAAGCTCCAGTGTATTTGTTTAACATGATTGACTTTATGACAATGAACAAGTCCTTGTTCTTCTGGGCCAGGATTCCTGTGCACCCTCAGAACCCATTCACTGGAATAAGCACACTGTGAAAGTTGCTTCTTCTATGTGTCAGGCACTATGCTGGTTATTCTCACAACTTACTCTTCATCTTCCCAACCACATTTGAAATTGTCATTAACTTCTTCACTTTATATGTGAGAAAACCTGAGATCAGAGGAGTCAGGTAACCTGCCCAAAATTGAGTTGTGGGAGAGTAAACCAAAAGCAATAGTGGGGATTACATCAGCTCAATTGTACCACAGTTATGTGTTATTTAGTGTCAGTTTTGTAAATAATAATAATAATAATAATAATAATAATTAAGCAAATGTCTTTATTATAAAAAACATTTCTAGCAGGACTCAGGGAGGGGGCAAGGTAGTACCATCAGCATGAGGTCCAGCTACCTGCTGGGAGAAAGGCGGTGAAGATTTTATGGGAGGAATTTATATCCAATAGAAGCCTTTGGCAAAGGAATTGAGGATGAGAATAAAAGAGAATTAGAAAATATGCTGTATTTAGACTTGCAAAATACCTTTGAAAAGGTTATCATATTTTTTCTGAGATGGAGGAATTATTTGGTCTTGATGCTTAAAAACAGAAACAATACAAGAATATAAGGGCATTTCTATGGATCGTATAAACAATGCTGCCTGCAAGTAATCAGCAGTAGGGCCACACTTAGTTAGCATATTTATAAATCATCTGAAAGGAATACATAGTGAAATTTCCAGATATGCAAAAATCACTAAGCTCTTCCAGGTAGTGAAATGCCAAACTGGTTAATATAAATGCAAAAAGCTAACATAGGGCTGTGTGAGTGGGCAGAAGGATGGCAGATGGGCTTCTGCCTGGACAACTGTAAGATAAGAAATTTAGGGAAAAATAACTCAAATCATCCCTCCTAGATTAAAGGGCTTTGAACTATTAGCTATAACAAAATTAAGGGATTTTATAGTCAGTGTATACTTTTGTCCCTGGTTATTCCTACTGCAGCTAAAAGGCTAGCTAGAAATCACGTGTGCTTAGGAAGGACATTTTAAACGGGTATTAAAAGCAGAAAACAGTATCCTGCATAAATGTAAAGCCATGGTTCACTTACACCTGGAATATTGTGAGCCATTTTTTCAGCAAACCTTAAGCAGCTATAATAGGGTAGGAGAAAGTCCTGAGGATGTCAACTGAAATGATTTATGGAAAAGAGGAGCTGCTTTATGAAAACAAACTTGCAAAGATTAGGATTAATCAGCCTGGGGAGATGAAGGTTTTATAAAATCATAGGGATATGGTGCATGGGGACATTCACCTTGGCTAACATTTACCCTCCTCATCATCAACAGACATGGGTCAGAGGGTGGCTGTCAAAGGAATAGGGCGTAGTGTGAGTTTAAAATCTACATCAGTTTAGGCCAAAAGGCCCGTAAGTTAACCAACAAATAGGCAAATAAAAAGTCAAGGTAGATGAAATACTACACAGACATAAAAAAGAATGAAATCATGTCCTTTGCAGCAGCATGGATGCAGCTGAAGGCCATTACCCTTAAGTTAATTAACGCAGAAACAGAAAACCAAATATTGCATGTTCTCACTTATAAGTGGGAGCTAAACGTTGAGTACTCATGGGCATAACGATGGCAACAGTGAACACTGGGGACGACAAAGGAGGGGAGGGAGGAAGGGAAGAAGGGCTGAGAAACTACCTATTGGGTACTATGCATACTACCTGGTGACGGGATCATTCATATCCCAGACCTCAGCATCACTCAGTGTATTCATGTAACAAACCTGCACATATACCACCTACATCTAAATTAAAAGTTGAAATTTAAAAAAAATTCAAGGTATCATGGGATGCCTGCCAAAGAAACGCTCTCCCCACCTTCTATCTTAAAACTTGAAAAGAGAAGAGAAAAATGTACACATGGGATAACGACTTTGGAAACTAGTTACCCAACAAGATTATTATATCCTGGGACTACACATAGGTAGGGAAGAGGTAAACACATTTTTATGAATGGATGAATATACAATGTGTTTTTAAGAAGCTGGTAACATTTGGAGAAATGCCCAAATTTTGTGACGTATACTTTGGAGTAAAACATGCTTTGGAATCAGGCAAATCTGATTCAAATCCCAGAGCCACGACATGCTGGCTCTTGGGTAGGTGACTTAACCACTCGGAACCACAGTTTCTTCATCTGTCAAGTGAGAACTCCTTCCAGATAGAGAAGTTGGGAAGATTGAAAGGGGTGTGGCCCTGGTAAAGCACCGGGAATGGGGCTGAGGATTGAGGCGCTGCAATTCTCAGTTCCCTTTGAGAGCTCTTCTACCATGTGCCCTTTGCAGCATGGTCAGATTCAAAATACCATCCTGGGGAGGCTCTGAGTCTACCCCAATAGGCAGTCCTTCATTCTAACTGTATCCTTATGCAAGATGACTCTAATTTTGCAACTCCCATCTCTATTACCATTCATTCTTTCATATTCATTAATCCCTTATTTTTTTTTAGTCATCCTTTTATGCTTTTGGGAAATAATAGTGCTCTACATATGCCAGTGCCCTGCTCTCAGGGAGCTTACCTGGAGAGGGTGGAACAAAACACAAACACTAAGCTTGTAAAGAAAGTGCTTTTAGAGTGTGATAAAATGAGGATGGATCATCGTGGAGAGCATGTCAGGGGTTGAGGGCATGGCTTCTTCAATAAGGAGGCGGGGGAGGACCTTTCTGAGGAGACATCAGCAGCACAGTGTCCAGAACCATGAGAAGTCACTGGTTATTTGAAAATCTCAGAGGGGAGAGGGGGCATTCCAGGCAGGTGGTTGAGCAGGGGTAGAGGCCCCAAGGTGAGAATGAATGTGGAGCTTCTAATACCTAGAGGAGGCTGGCATGACTGCATATCCTGGATGGAGGGAAAGAGACAGAGGGCAGCCTGTCCCTCTGAAGCCTGAGTCCAGACTCAGATTTTATCCTGTGAGGTTTCGGCTGCTTATAAGAAGAGCTGGTTTCTCTTGAGGCTGCTGCATTGGGAATGAGGCTCTCAGGCAGCATGAGTGGAAGGAGAACCATCCTCCCTTCTCTTTGTGCCCCTGATACTTAGCCACTCCAGGCTTTCCAGATGCTACTGCAATCTTTCTGGACTTCAGCGGTCACACTGAAGTGACACCACATCTCATGGTGCAGGAGTAACTTTGCACAAATCTTTTTTCACCCCACATGTTTTAGGACATATAAAAATTATTTGTTCTCCAGTGAAATATTTAACCCAAATATATGTTGTTTCAGGTTTTAAAAATCAATTTGATTGGCCACAGGAAACGTATTTTGGCATCTCTGGGAGACAGGCTGCACGACGATCCCCCACAGAAGCCCCCTCGGTCCATCACCCTCAGGGTAAGTGCCAAGCACATTCATCTGGTTCTCTGCCCTTATCTTAAGAACTATTTGTTTGAGACCAGCCTGGCCAACATGGTGAGACCCTGCCTCTACTGAAAACAGAAAAAATTTAGCCAGGTGTGGTTGTGCCTGTCTGTAGTCCCAGCTACTCCGGAGGCTGAGACATGAAAATCACTTGAACCCAGAAGGCGGAGCATTGCAGTGAGCAGAGATCGCACCACTGCACTCCAGCCTGGGCAACAGAGTAAGAAAATAAAAGAATTATTTTATGTAGTTTTATAGGTTTTATAAACGTGCACTTTATACAACTGAAGCAATAGATCAGGAAGTGCTGGCTCTTTTCTATGAAGTTTACCATATCTGTGTAGAAAACAATCTGTCTTTTGATTGTTTGACACAATCAAAACAACAAGATTTGTTTTTCTAGATTGGTTAAATATATATTTTTGAGATTTAGATATCCATCTATAATGGAATTCAGCCTGACAAACCACTACCTTTAAAGAACCACTCCCTCACCTCCCATCCCACACCCCATCTACGCCAAGAGAGCGGAAATGGGTTTTCTGTCAGACTCCTCAAACCCACAGAAAGAAAATTGATCAAGGACCACAGTTAAGTAAAGATCAATTTAAAATTAACCTTAGGGTCTTCTGTTTTTCAAGAAGTAAAATTTGTCCAGCTTTACTCACTTCAAAAATTCAGAATAGAGAATCTAAAACCTTACTTAATAAATTGTATTTCTTTTATTCAACTACACTTTAGAATTATGAGGTAGGGGCCGGGCGCAGTGGCTCATGCCTGTGATCCCAGCACTTTGGAAGGCAGAGGTGGGCGGGTCATGAGGTCAGGAGATCTAGACCATCCTGGCTAACACAGTGAAACCCCGACTCTACTAAAAATACAAAAAATTAGCCGGGCATGGTGGTGGGCGCCTGTAATCCCAGCTACTCGGGAGGCTGAGGCAGGAGAATCGCTTGAACCCGGGAGGCAGAGGATGCAGTGGGCCGAGATCGCACCACTGCACTCCAGCCTGGGCAACAGAGTGAAACTCCATCTCAAAAAAAAAAAAAAAAAAAAAAAAATTATGAGGTAGGAAACTAAAGAGAACCTGTATAAAGGAGAGAGAAATAAAGAGGAAGTGAAGGAAGGGAGGGAGGAAAGGGCAGAGAGGAAGTGAGAAAGATGATTTCCAGGCAAAAATGGCAGTGGCAAGAAGTGGCCGGCAGTCACTGGTGTTCATGAGTCCTACAAGAACTTTTCTAAAATTCGTCGAAAAGCTGAGATCTCCCTGAAAGCTGTGGGGTGCCCACTCTGCTCTCTATTTTGTCCTGCACTTGCTTGCTTCTGATTTCTTTTCTGAAGAGATGAACACAAGCACGGCACCCGGACGTAACCATCGTGATGAAATGCAGTGGGCTGCCTCTTATCAATAAACTTCAGCAAACAGCATAGCCACTGTCAGGATAACAGAGGGCAGGACAGGAAAGGAGCTGTTAGGATTTGGAGTTGATTCAGCTTTGGAGAGGAAAATGCGCAAGGATTTCAGGGGATGCAAGAGAATTGGCTCCAGGAGGACAAGCTTAGCCTCCTGAGAGAGACTGGAGTGGGATGGGTAGGGACTACATGAATACTGGTTTAATTAATTACTGGGGGCATTAGGGTACACTGGGATATTTGGAGGCTACTTGAGAGTTTTGGGAGTCATAAAAGTACAAATAGAAATTTCACCCCTTAGAAAGAGGAGCCTCAAATAAATTAGAAAAAAAAAAGATTTTTGTTTTGCCTTCATTTTGCTACATGGAAGGAGAGAAAGATATAAGCACCATCAGTGTAGTCACCCTAAAATGACTCTTTAGAGGAGTCATTTCCTGCTACTTACCCTGCTCTTTTTCCTTCCCCTTCTGAACCTCTCATTCTGGCTCTCTGGAAGAGATTTAGGGGAACAAAAAAAGATCAAAGACAGAGATTTCCATGCAAAAGTATAGGACCTAAATCTATCATAGAAGGTCCAGAATATCCGGAGGAGAAGGGATCTGGAGAAACACCATGATCCCAATCCTCATTCTACTTGCAAATAGTAGAGCTGAGCTGTCTATGCCCCCTATCTTCCTCCTGACCCGTTTCCCTTGGATGGAGTTGTCTTTGCCTTGGAAAAGCATCCTCTGTCGTAGCATGCACTGCTCTGCAGTCTGTGCGTGTGACATGCTGTGTTGCCGTACTGTGTCCTCTTCCCAACCCTGTTGTCAGACCATTCTTTGATGAAGGATCAAGACCCATTGGGTCTCATTTTAGCTTTCTCATCATGGCATCTACCATGGTGAGGACGCTCTGCCCACATGAGGGCCCAGTTCCTCCCCTGTAAACACATGCAGTAGTGTCAGAGGTGCCCAACATAGGTGTGCCTCCCTCCTGAGACCATCCATGATGCTGCTTTAGGAAAACAGAACCTGACTCTTGATATTTCAGACCTTTGACCTGAAATACTTAGGGGAAAAACGTATTGACTAGATCATGCCATTAATAAAGTGGTGGAATGTCATTCATTCCTTGGCTGTTGCTTCAAAAGCGACTCCCCACCCCCACAGTTTGTCTTGTCAGTATTTCACAATTTTGAAACCAAAGGTTAGCCACAGAACATGGTATTTATTTCATGATGTATTTCCATTCAGGAACCCAGTGGTAATCACACTCCTCCTCAGTTGTCTCCATCACTTAGCCAAAGCACTTACACCACTGGTGGCTCCCTAGACGTTCCTCACATTATCATGCAGGGCGATGCAAGGAGGAGAAGAAATGAAAACTACTTTGATGATATTCCCCGATCAAAACTGGAGAGGCAGATGGCTCAGGTAAGGTGTTATAAGCCTTTGTGATATTTTTCAACCATATCAGGTAATGCCTTTTAATAGTGAACAGTAGCTTCCTATGGATGCTTATTGTCCGTGCCTAACTAGAATTTATACCATGTTATGCCCCGCCTTTCATTCCTTGCTCATCTGAACTAGACCGAGACAGAAATGTCTGGGAATGGAATGTGTACACATGTCCTTGTTATGCATTCCTGCTGAAGAAATTATGTCTGATCTCATTGCACCCAGAAAGTCTTTGCCCTGAAGGGAATAATATAGTGTCAAAGTCAAATCATAATGAAAATGAGTAATAAAAGTCTAGATTACAAAATGTAAATTGGTTGGATAATGGGGCAGAAGTTTGGGGGGAAGGATTAACCCTGTGTGATGTGGTTAATTTCCTCCCAAGTCTATACATTCATACAGAAATGCTCTACTGGGACTAGTTGCGTTTTCTCATATTGTCACCTTGACTAGTTGAAAATGATGATGCTTTCTAGCACAAGTAATTGAAAAGGGAGATCTGTCACGTTCAGACCTTTCCATGTTTTTAGTAGGGATGTTCATGTCTAGCCTGTCCTCGGATTGCTGCTTAGAAACTTGAGTCAGCCTTAACCGAACAGTGGCGCTGTTCTTAATGTACATTCAGATGGGCGGGTAGCTCCGCATTTCACCCTGAGATTCAAAAATATGGATTTGTTGTCAACCATTGGCAGAATCAACTCTTTTCATCCTCATTCTAGGTTCAGACTGATGTGCAGGAGTCTTCTCTCTGCCTCCCACACCTAAGATGGGAATCTCGAGGTGAAAATTTGACTGTAATTGCTTTGCCTTGGTTGTTAAATATTTTTCTCAACTGTTTAGTGAGATTTTATTTTTAAAGCCTCTGGTAAACATTGTATGCTGCAGCTCACGAGAGACAAATGTGATGAGAATGTTCTGGAAACCATGGCTATTCTGCCTGCAGATGCCTTGGGGAGAGAAGGCCTGGGATACTGTGTCTTCTTTCAGCTCCTTTAATTTTGAATTGTTCTCTGGGTTCTTTGTGCAGGCAATGGCAATGTTGGGATTATGGAGACTCTTTTATTGAAAGGGGATGGAAAATATAGGAGAAATAAGAATAATTTTATCTTTCTCTGTTGCTAGGTATTGTCTTTTAATTTTTATTACTGTTTTCACTGGTGCTCTTTTAAATAGGGCATCTGAAAGCTTTTTCCCCCCAAACTTTTCATTTATTTCGTTACTTGTTATATTTTCGAGTCACATATGTGGTTAAATTTCTCTAATGACAGCATTTCAGAGATGTGGTTTGTTTTAACTTTGAGCCATGTTGTCTTTGTGTATTAATATGAACTGGGTCTTTTCTGAGCCCATTTCTTCCCTGGGTAAGGGAGTATAGTTCTTTAATGAGCATTAGCTATTATTGACTGTGTCAACCGCAGTATAGCAGAATTACCTCTCTCAGCTGCTCACATAATTTATGAAATTTCTCCATATACTGCAGGGTTTTTTTAAAAAACGACTTACCCTTCTACCTATGTATAAACACTCAGAGGTGGCCTAGCAAGACTGCACCCTTACATGCTGCCTGAGGTTTTCGAAAGCAGGGGCAGTAGTACCAAATAGCACAAATCTTTTAACGGGTCACTCCAATCAGAAATGCATCCCTTATGAGAATTGTCTTGCCTTGAGAAAATGGAATGGGCTTTTATCTGGCCAGGTGAAAAAAGCCTAAAAGCAGAAAACAGAGTGAGATAAGCAGGCTGATGGGACGTAGTGAACTAGAGCACCTGTGCACGCATGCATTCCCCTCATGTGGAGTACTAACGATGATCGAGTGACTGCTAGACACACAGGCTCCATCAGCCATCAGGAGCTTATTAGAAGCTTTCTAAAAGCCTGCTGTTCAATACAGCACTTCTGCTGCAGAGAAAATAGGAGATGACACCACAGGAATCTGATCAATGAGAAAAAGGGATTCTGGAACTGCAACTCTCTGGGTGGTGTTAATTGCAGTTTTGAGCATGATCGCTAGTATGGAAGGCCAAAACCCATGGAGCAATGAATGCATACCTCTTAAAAATACTGCTTTAACCTGTCAAAATATGAAATACTCTGTCATCTTGTTGTTGAATAATTCAATTTATGTGACTTTTCACCACTCAACTACTCAATTGATGTTTGTTTTTTTCTTATTCTACCTTATTTTTGGTCATTTGCTGTAATACTTTTTGAAATTTATATACTTTTTTAAAAACCTGTCATATCTCTCTAGACCATACTTTTTCCCCTGAAGTTATGTGTTTAGACAATCGAGTTGGGTCTTCCTAAAGACTTGAATTAGCAATTAAAATTTTTGCAAGCAAGCAGCCAGTTATACCTCCTTCCAACCTGGAGCTCCATTCCTCCAGTTCTTTCCCAAGGAGTTTCTCCCAAGAAGCTTACTGTAGCTTGGTTAATGCTTGCCTAACCAGTCCATTTCCCACTAAAATGCAAAAGTCCACCTTCAGGCTTTCTTTCTTACCTACTAAAAGAAATGAGAATGCAGTTGAGAGAAAATCACCTGGACAGATTTATGTTCTTAGAAACCCCTCTACTTCAAGTTTAGCTGAGCTACCATTAGAGTGATTTGGAATTCTAGCCCTGGGCCAGAAACCTTAAGTTCTTGGTGGCCGCAATAATTCATTAGGAGTTTTGCCTTCTTGAGGTCTGCTTACCAGATGTTTGGAGGTGCTTTGCTTAACTTGGAAAAGCAATGCTTAAAGTTAAATTGAGATAAATTTAATGTCCATTTTACCTGTTAAATTTGTTGGCAGATATTTAAAATAAAACACTAGAATGGGGTTTAATTGATTTTTTCAATTTGAAACAATATTTAAAATACCTGTCTTGGGATACAGGGGATTTGCAAATATTGTGAGTATTGTTTGCTATTATTCTGATATAAGCAGTACTCTGGCATCAAATTATTTTAAATGAATATGCAAGAAACAAAATTTGAGTTCAGCATGAACTGAATGTAATGATATAAATACATCTGAATGATGGGTTTCCTATCATGTTGAAAACATAGCTTCTCCAGCCTGTAATTCTAAACTGGACTCATTAGCCCAGAAGTTCTGAAACACTCCCCAATTTCCACACCCCTAATAAATAAATGTTGCATTCACATATGTGTAATTATACCTTAATGTGCATAGTGATTTTAAATTCTCAAAGTACTTTGACATCTGTTATCTCATTTTAGCACAAACAAGGTGTCCTACACACTATTAATGTGTGTACAGCACATGGCAGATCAGCTTTTAATTCTGAGTTATGTGGAAATGAGATAGTAAATGGAAAATATATCAGAAGGAGGAAAATATTTTCAGTATTTAGGACCTAATTGCAGTCTTCAGAAGTTTTCTTGAATGATATTTAGAAGTCGAAGTACCCTTAAAATGAACAATAAGAGAGTGATGGAATGAATAAGGTTAAGGCCACATTCTCCAAACTCATGCAAGAAAAAAAAAAGTTTCCAAATGCTGCAAGTTAAGCCATTTATAGAAGGCTTCCATTTACAGAAAAACGTATGAGAAAATGAAATAGTACTTGTATTTTCACAAAACAAAGGCTTCTCAACAGTAAAAGAAATGCATATCTTTGCATAAACTTTAGCTTAAATATTAGTGAGAATAGTGTGTAATATAAAATCTTTATGTTTTGAATGCTCTTGCCTAAGATTTAAAAAAAAGCAGTATTACCTGGGGGCACTAAAGACACTTTTTCTAAATTATTAGAAAATTAATTCAGTTGCAAGCTTAATATTTCTCAATCTAAATAGTATTAATAAGTACAACTAGGTCAATTACTTCTCTATTTGAAAGCATTTTGTATATTACATTTTAGTTCTTCCAAGGTTTGTTGTTTTGATATTATTAAAGGAAGGGAAGTAGAAGCTGAGCCATACAGAAGCACTGCTGTGACCAGGTTCATGCCTGGGATTGCACATGCAGTATCTTATTTAATCCTCACAAGAGCCTATGTGCACATCTGCCAAACAGGGTGAGTGCTTGGCCTCACAGCTGGTAAATGGTAGAGCTGGGACTCAAGCCCTGGCCTGCCTAACCCTATCCTTGTTCTTCTATAGTCCCTGATGCCCTGTGCCTGCCTCTGTATTAAAATGATATAAAATATTTTAAAAACAGTTCAACAAATACTAATTTCTCATGTGCCATAATAGATTCCATTTATGTGGGCACAGCAAGCAGAAGAGAAAATCACAGTAGTTTAGTGGAAACTGATTGAATCAACTCGTGGTTAACACCATGAAATCCTTAAATGCAAAACTGCACTGGTTATTTGTTGATCCTTCAGCAGAGACCCTGCACAGTGTGTCAGAACGCTGCCTGTCTCCCATGTTTGTGAAAAGCTTTGTAGGTAGGTGTGGGGTTAACTCTGTCTACAAACAAATTCTTGCTTGTGGTGTTTCTCCAAATAGTCGATGCTGTTTTCTTAGTGGCTTCTTCGGTTGGAATTCTGATTTGGTTTCTTTCTGGCTGTGTGACCTGGACCGAGTTATGTGGTGACTCTGAATTTCAATTTTTTTGTCTTTAAAATGTGGATAATGTCTGCTTCTCAGGCCTGTATGTATCAGATAATTTATATGAAAGCATATTCTAAACTGTAAAGCACTATATAGACAGATATGACTATCGGTTCAGACCCATCACCTGTCAGTCCCTAATTCAAAGGTCCCTGCTCATTGTAGGCCAATTAATGACAAAGAGAGTTGAAGGGCAAGTGCTCCGGTGGTTGTAGCATTCTATAAAGACCATCTTTTGTTCCAGTGTTACCCATATTTAGCATGTAGATTGAGAATGGAATTTGCATTTTTCTTTTATTATTTTAATTGTGTAAACACATCATCTGCCAAGGAGCATATATCACGATGCAGAGGGATCTGGGTAGAATGATGTCAAAGCCAGGGAAAGCAGAGAATGGATGCCATATTTCTCTACCAATTCAGGTTACAAAATTGTAACAAAAAATATCATATGGTAATAACACGTTATTATTGTAACATTGTTAGATAAAATATCAAGTGAGAGGGCTTTTTTTTCTTTAAGTGAAATTTGGAACTTTATGGAAATATATTGTGCACAGAACTGTTAGCTTAAAAAGCATGGATATCCCAGAAAGCCATGAGGCAAACACTTTGCCATGTCTGGGAAAGAAGTAGGACAGTAACTTCTCCTCTTATATACTTTTCCTGAGAGAATAGGCCTGTTGTTCCCAGAAATTCTACCCACTGCTCTGGCATTACTGGAATTTACAGAATCAGTTTTCAGAAAATAGCACAACCAAGAAAGGAACAGCATTTTGGAAAGTGGCTTTTTTGGCCAGGCACCGTGGCTCACGCCTGTAATCCCAGCACTTTGGGAGGCCAAAGCGGGCGGAGCACTTGAGGCCAGGAGTTTGAGACCAGCCTGGCCAACATGGCGAAACCCCGTCTCTACTAAAGACTCAAAAGTTAGCTGGGCATGATGGCGGATGCCTGTAGTCCCAGCTGAGACAGGAGAGCTGAGACAGGAGAATTGCTTGAACCCTGGAGGCAGAGGTTGCAGTGAGCTGAGATGGTGCCACTGCACTCCAGCCTGAGTGACAGAGGGAGACTCTGTCTCAAAGAAAAGAGAGTGTTTTTTTCCCCAAACTAAACAAGTTTTCCTATTACTGTGTCACATCAGATTTTTTGTTTAATGTCCGTAAGTTAATGCCTAGATTTAATTTAGATTTTCATCACATAGCCACTACTCAGAAAGGCTCAGCTTGTCCATGATTTCAACATTTCCTTCCATGAAGGTCTAAAGAGCAACTCTTAATACTTAAGCACAGACAGATCATACATAACCAAAAAAGAAGGTCAAGAGTGCACTCAATAAGCTCTTCCGTCAGGAGCTTCCGATTTGACAGCTCGTCAAGTTGACAAGCTGACACCCGAGCTTCAGAGATCATCTGGAATGTTGATGATATCTGTGCCCTATTTCAAGCCAAGAACTCTAGGCCACTAGCCAGCTATGACCAACACAAAAGTGGAAAATAGCGCTTCCATACTTGGAATTTAAACCTGATGTATTGTACACCTTTTTTATTAATATGGTCAGTTAATTTTCTTTTAGCAAATACACCCTGCTCTATCTGAGACAACTTTGGGATTAGAAATTCCAGTATGATTAAGTGTCTTTTGGGCAACACTAATGTCAATATGATTAGTGTCTTGTGAATACTGTACTATAGTCTTAAAACAAATAATTGGAAGAAGTGGGAGAATCACTCAGATGGATTCTTTTTCAGGCTTTGATACTCATCTTACAGGTCTAGATTGTTTTCTTCCCTGTCAAGGTCATCAAGAAGGCAAATTAGCCAGAGTTGATTCTGATAGACCCGTCAGCCCTAAACACCTCCAGTCGTTTTGCTAGAGAAGCTCTGACGTCTCCACCTTGTCTCCATGTGCTGGTGCTTAACCAAGGGTCCTGTTTGCAGTTAAAACCAGACCATGGATTTAAAAAAAGAAAAAGAAGATATCAATAGAAAATATTCTGTTTTCAAAACAACTAAACAAAAAATCTGACAATATATAAAAACCCTATTTCAGTGGAATTGACCTTGTGATATTTAGTGGTGCCTTGGGCTTGTTGACATTGAGCAGCTTGTTCACAAAGAGGCCCAGCAGGTTATTTTTCCACTTGTTAAATTTTCAGAATGTTTCTTATTACATGCAGTCCAGTTCTTGGGTCCACAGGTCAGTTTTGGCTGTTATAATCTGCCCTTGCTAAATTTTCAAGGGTAGGAGAATTCTCTGGTTCTTATTCTCCTTCTCCTTCTTCCCTTTCTTTTTCCAGTGGTAAAAAAAATAAAAAGAAGGTTTTTTAACATCTAGTAGAAATAGGGCTGTTTGTGTGGCCCTGTCTTGGTTAATTCTGTGCGTATAGGCCTAAAGTAATTTATCAGCAAGGACTTTTCCAGATGCATGTAAGTAACAAAAAATCCAACTCAAGATGGCTTAAGCAGAAAAGGGCAGGAGTCCTGGATCCAGGTGCTGTTTTGCTGCATTGCTCTCTGGCTCTCCTTCTCTTGGCTCTGCTGTCCTCTGTGTTGGCTCTTTTCCCAAAGAGCCTCCCTCTCCGTGTGGAGAGATTCAAGCCAAATTGCTGTTTAACTTGAAGTTACAAGAAAGAGAACCTATCTTTCCAAGAGTGTCAAAAAAAAAAAAAAAAAGTCCCAGGCCAGGCATCGTGGCTTATGCCTGTAATCTCAGCAATTTGGGAGGCTGAGGCCGGTGGATCACTTGAGGCCAGGAGTTCAAGACCAGGCTGGGCAACATGGCAAAACCCCATCTCTGCTAAAAATGCAAAGATTATCTGGGCATGGTGGCAGATGTCTGTAATCCCAGCTACTCGGGAGGCTGAGGCATGAGAACCACTTGAACCCAGGAGGCGGAGTTCACAGTGAGCAAGATCGCACCACTGCACTCCAGCCTGGGAAACAGAGCAAGACTCTGTCTCAAAAAAGAAAAAGTCTCAGTATTACGTTCCATCAGTTCCAGTGAGCCTGGATTGGATCAAGTGTCCTTCCCTGAGCTAATTGCAAAGGGGTGTGTATATGTGAGAGAGAGAGACAGAGAGAGAGAGACAGACAGACAGACAGATTGATTAGCAAGACAGAGGTCCCACACCAGGGGTGGTTTTAGCTCCATGTGAACAATGTGGACTGAGGAGTAAGGAGGCACCTCCTCCCATGAACAGCCAGGCCGCTGCTGCTAGAAGAGGGGCTGGTTTCTAAGCAGGCAGAAATAGCAATAATGGGCATCTGAATAAATCCACTCTGACTTTGGAATTCTGAGATTGTCTGATGGAAAATTGCTATATCAGATGAGTATTGATTTCATTTTTTCATACTTAATTTGATGAGCTTTGTTAGAATGCCAGGTTTGAAGAAATGAGATCATGGTGAAAAATCCCATCTCTGATGTCTATTTCCTCTGTAACCTTGGACACGCTTCTTAGCTATGCAGAGCCTTAGTTTTCTCTTCCTAGAGTGAGGTTAATGCCCACCCCACATCATTGTTGTGAGGCACAAATAAAATGGTATTTTTTCGAAGTGTTTTACAAACTATGAAACTATACGTTTGGGTTGTTTTAGAAATTATTGTTATTATTTTGAGATAACTTCTAGTTTTCTTCTACATTATGCTTTCTCAACTGCATCTGGGAGTAAATGCATTTTAAAGTAAATCTCATGTTTAGCTACATCTTGCAAAACTGTTTCTGTTTTCCAGCTTGTAAGCCCAAACTAATACCTCTTCACTGACTTGGAAATCATAGTTTTTATGAAAGCAAACACTGTCCAAGAAGCTCCTATTCATGTTATAACCTAGTTAACACTGGTGCTCTTTGGAAAAGGAATTATGGATGATATCCATACTTAAATACTTTTAAAAATTAAAGGATGTTTATGAGTTAGTGTATTTCAAAATATTTCATTATATTTCATTTTTAAATGTTTGCTTCTTTTTTGGTAAAGTGTATGTTGGCTATGTGGGGGCAATGCCTCACTCTTCCGTAGTCATTTTTTAATTCCTCTAAAATAAACACTCTGTAAATACTGTTGACCAAATTACTTTATGTAAGGCTATAGGCATCATAAAACCACAGGGCTCTACGACAGATCAGATTGGACACAAATTGAGATGGTCTCCAGTTTTTTAGGGAAATACACTGCCTGGAACAATAGCGTATCATCGGTCTAGCTTAGGCCTGGTGATTCATCGGCATCATCGTCAGAGCCAGCACTGATTAGTACAGCTTTATAAGGAGGAAACTGAGGCATGGAGCATTTATGTGGCTTGCCCACGGCCACAAAAATTAAAAGGTACAGAACCAGGATTCCAATGCCAGCAGCCTAGCTTCACAGCTGTCGTGTGAACCACAGTGTTGATGAACACCCCATATTGTCTCTGCAAACTGGGAACTAGCGGACGTGGCACATTCCAGAAATTCCAAAACCCCAAATGCTCCAATGCAATGTTTTGAGTTCCTTGAAAAATCCTATTAAGAATATCTAATACCTTATGTAAATGCAACTTCAGTAGAGAATTAAACCTCTAAAGTAGCATGGATAAACATTGTATTTGAAGAAAATCCTTTGCTCCTGACATCCAATTTTTCATTCTTTACAAATCAGAGATAGTAAACAATTGCTTCATGTAAAGCATTGTGAAATGATATGACCTCCTTTCTGTATGGGCCTCTATTCTAATGAGGTTTGAATGCAGGATCACAAAATTTGTGATAACTTGCTTTTGTCTGTATGCATTAATAGCTAGAAGATTCTTCTGTGCAGTCAGAAGAATGCAGAACTGAGAATACAGATGACCAACTGTACTGTTAAAGAAAAGCAGAGAATTTTAAGATGAGAAGGGGCCAGAAAATGTATGTAGTCCCATCTCTTAATTGATGCAGGCACCCATTCTAATACATCCTTACAGACAGCCACAAGTTTCTGCCTAAACTTGACTGGAAAGCTGGCCCGCTCTTTGTAAGGCAGCCCCATGATTGGAAAAGGTCTAGTTGATATAACTTTTGCCTTATATTGAATTGAAATAAGCCTCCCTATAACTCCTACATAGTTCATGATATCTTCTGAAACAACAAAGAATACATCTGCTCCCTTTTGCTGGGAAGAGTTTTTTTAAGACTGAAGACAATTTGATATTTTCCCTTCACTATATTAAATGTCTCCAGCTCCTTGCCAATCCCATGTGATAAGGGGGATGTGGGCCGTACAGCATCCTGGTTCCCCAGCTCTGGGCAGATCAACATTAACATGTCATTCATTCTTACTGTGCTTTTCTTCATGAAAATTTCCCAGCCTTTATCAATAGCTACGCCTCCTTTCTCAGCAGCGCTGGATTTACATTATCCTTTTCCAGATAAAGCAGTTTTTATAAAGTTACTCATCCAATAATCCTAGTCTATCAAGACCTTTCTAAGACTTAGTTGCCACTCAGTATATCAGTGATCCTTTTCAACTATGTAATGTGCTCATTTTAAGAATCTTACCTCAAAACAACAAACCTTTGAAGTCATCCATCAGTGTATTGAGTGAAGTGTTGATTAAAGTAGAATTGAAAAAAAAACTGTGAGCTTTCTACTAGAGACCTCTTAGCTTGGCATCGTTCAAGAGGATTGTTCAACTGCACCTTGTTTTTTCATATTTTTCACAAGGATAAAATGAAGAAATGGTGGGGTCTCAATAAACATCATTGAATAAATGACTCTGCCCAATGCATCTTTTCTGTCAGAAGCAGGAAACAAACAGTCGGGCTCCAGTTAATAAATGAATTTAAGTAAAGGAAATGACAACCTCACTTTGCAAGAAAGGAATATAATGTATATTGTAAAGAGATGTTACAAAGAACAACATTACTTTGCAAAATCTAGGTTTTTTTCAGCCATTCATGTTATGATAAAAAGCTGATCACTGCCTTTCTGAATTAGTTATTAATGTTCTGCTTTTTAGTGGCCCTGAAAAACGTTTGATAGCATCCAGACTTTGAGGTAGAACAAGTAAAACAGCCCATATTGCTATAAACAGCATGATCCCAATTGACTCAAATTCCCTGCAACATCCCTGGAACCTGGGGAGCTGCACAATGAGAGCTGGATTGTACAGGCAATGCTCATTTTTTTCCTCTGCTCTATTTTTTTCTTGTAAAGGGATTTCATAAACAATTGTGTAATGCCATTTAGGGCTACAGCTGTCATATTAGGGAATACAGGTTATATATTACCTCTACAAATGAATAACAGGAATATCATAAGCCTATAGTTCTCTCCTTCTCTCCTACTTTAGTAGCCGAGGACTTCTTTTATGTGATATCAGTCCCAGAATTAGAGTTAAGGAAGGAAGGGAAAGAGGGAAAGAGGGAGGGAGGAAGAGAGGAAGAGAGGAAGGAAGGGAGGGAGGGAGGGAAGGAGGGAGGGAGGGAGGGAACTGGAGAGGAATGGGAAAGGGAAGGGAGTTTGGAAAGGGAATGGAAGGAAAACCTTAAACTTGGGAAGACAGTGTTAGAATTTATATCATGCCAGTGGACTTAGATGGAACCAAATGTGTTGTTTACTTCCTCCCACTCTTGGTAGGTTGATTAATGCTGACTCCAGCAATCATGGGTCACACGTGCAGATGTTGTTAGAGAAACAACTGTTGGCCTGGCTTTTCCTTCCCAGCAGGTGATAACTGATCTGTCCAAAAATCCTCCCCACAGGCACAGGGGAAGGTCACGATCATGAAGTTTTGGAAGGATTGCCCTTCAGAAAGATGGAGAAATGGCAGGAAGCAGCATTTTCTTGACTCTAGCATTTCCTGCAAATGAAATAGTTCAGCTGAGACCTTTTATAAAAAGGGTCAGTGGGTGCATGCATAACTTTTTCACACTTTAGAACTAGAAATAAATAGACACAGACAGGGAACTTGAGAAGCTAACAGTGTGGTTGCAGAGAAGAATCTAAATCCCATGCAGTTGTTACAGGACTGAGTGTGTATCTCAAAACTCACTCAAGAGGTGAGAAGGAGGAGTGTTCCTCTGTCTCCGATGGTGGGCAGGAAGAAGTAATCAGATGCTGGCCTGCGGCCTCTGGGTAACTCACAAGAAACAAAAGGCTCTAATTTTCTGATTTTCCAGGCAGGGTTCAGTTAATGCCCACAGAAGAAGCAACTGTGGGGCTGTCACTGCTGAAAGAAAATATGCATACAAGGTGTTTGGTGCGTTACCCCTTGACTGCACTGAATTTGTTTGACTCCATCCTTTGACAGGTCTCATTTCATCCCAGTCTCTGCTCAAGGAGCCACTGAGTTTGCTGGCTATTGGCTAAGGCTTCCTTTGCTGGGATGCCCTTTTTTCTTCTGCCTTTGAAGCTGTTTTGTTTGCTCTTCAAGTCTGTTTTCATTTTCTTTTAGAAGCACTATCATCCAGAAGAAGGAATGCACTTCATTATTCCTTGAGCTTTCACTCTGAAACTTTCATATTTCTTGCTGGTTTCTTTCTGGTCAATTTCTGAATACCCTGAAGTGTTGAAAGTATTATGACAAACATAAGGGAGAAACAGAGAAAAAGTCTTTTTTTCTTTTTTTTTTTCAGGGCTAGAACACGGCAGAAAATTTCATCTCTGGTAGAATCTGACTGGAGGGCTCTATTCATAAAAGTTTCTTTATTAGATTAGCTATATAATATCAGCAGACTCCCAGAAGCTTTCCAGAGCTTAATAGGGGTTATCGAGTTGATGGAGCTGTCATCTACTTGCTCTGTTCTGAGACCCACCATCAGCCTGTCAGTCCCAGTTTACTACTGGTTCTGTCCACGGAGAAAGCAATTTTCATGCCATAAACGTTGATTAAAAGCAAGATTGATCCCTACTCACTTTGTGACCCAGGCCTTGCACACAGTAGATGACCAGTAACTACTTTTGCATGAATGTCAGGGTGACAGGGAGATAGGTTCTTATGTGCCAAACATTTTTTACATTTTAAATTTCTGCTTAAGGCCAGGTGCAGTGGCTCACACCTGTAATCCCAGTACTTTGGGAGGCCGAGGCGAGGGGATCCTATAAGGCCAGGAGTCCGAGACCTGGCCAACATGGCGAAACCCCGTCTCTACTAAAAATACAAAAATTAGCCAGGTGTAGTGGTGCACACCTGTAATCCCAGCTACTCGGGAGGCTGAGGCACAAGAATCATTTGAACCTAGGAGGTGGAGGTTGCAGTGAGCCAAGATCGTGCCATTGCACTCCCTCCTGGGTGACAGTGAGACCCTGTCTCAAAAACAAACAAATAAATAAATAAATAATTTCTGCTTGAAAGAATAATTCTTTTATAGAGTGGAAAGCACAGACTTAATTTGGATGTAATATGCCTAGGGAAGGCTTCTCTGAAAAAGTGACATTAGAATAGAACTTGAAGGAAGTGAGGGAGCTAGCTAGGCCTATAGTAGCCAGAGGGAGAACATGTCAGGCAGAAAGAGAAGCAAATGCAGAGGCTATGAGGCAAGAATGTGCTTTGCTGTCAAGAACCCAGACAGCAAGACGAAGATGGGTAGGAGAGGAGGGTAGGGAGGTAGAGCAGTGTGGGTACCAGAGAACGGAGAACCTTGCAGGTCATTGTTAGGACTGAATTATCTTCTGTGTTGAATGGAGCTGAGTGGAATGACCTGGCTTTCATTTTAGATGGGTCATTTTGGCTGTAGTACTGAGAAGAGATACTAAGGAGGCAAGGATAACAGCAGTGAGACCCGTAAGAAGCCAATGGAATAAATCAAACGAGAAAAGGGAGTAGCTTGGAGCAAGTAGTGACAGGAAGGTGAAATTTTAGAAGTAGATTCAATAGGCTTTGCTGCTGGATTGAATGCGAGATACAGGAGAAAGGAGAGCTCCAGCATTGTGAACCTGAGGAACTGGAAAAAAAATGGCTGCCATTTGCCAAAACAAGGAAGCTCACAGGGAGGTGAGGTCATCAGGAGCTTGGTCTCTGACATTTAATTTAAGGTTGAGCTGATTTAATAAATGCAAAAGGAGAAGCATCAAGCAGGCAGCTGGGTGTCCAAGTCTTGAATTTAGGGAAGAAGTCTGGGCTGGAAATATGAATTTGGGAGTCACAACTGGAAGAGACCACCTAGTATAGCCAAGAAGGAAGGGAAGACTGAGGACTAACACTCCAGGGATGCTCAGATAACAGGAAGCAGCCAAAGAGGCTAAGGAATGGAGGAGTGATCAAGGGTGTCACATAGGTCAAGGAAAATAGAAAATTGTTTCAGTTTCAGTAGAGTGGGCTCAGATGAGGACAGGAAAAGAGAAAGTGGAGACCATCTAGACATTTCTCAGGGAGTTTTGCTTAAAGAAGATTAGAGTAATTGAGCAGGAAACCGAGGGTGATGTTGGGGCAAGGGAAGGAGTTTGTTTGCTTTTGATGGAAGATGTTATAGCAATTTCTGAGAATGCTCCAGGAAAGAGGACAAACCATAATGAAGGGGAGATAATTTATTGTAAACTACTGGATCAAAAAGGAAGTCCACCTTTAGGAGGAAAACTTTGGAAATTGGTTATATTCTTTTTATTTTGTGATTAGATTTGAATGCAGTTGTGTTGTATTTTCTGAGCTGAAGTCATGGTAACCGAAAGTATAAGACGGTAACAAGAGCGAGACATGCATTGCATTTTAAGAAAACATTTCCAGAGCTAAGAGAGAGGTCTGAACTGAAGATAAAATTATACACCTTCAAATGTGTGTTGACTTCACCATCAAAGAAGTAAACATTAAATTATTGGTAATATCTCAGTTGTAAGTCTACCTTTACTTACCCCTATTTGTTTGGGTTTCATAGTAATTCAGGTTCAGAAAAACTAAATGAGGCTTTGCAATATATGTGACAGGGATTGAGAGAAAATAGGCAAATGAAATTGCAAAGGGGTGATTAACATTCTTTCATGGAACTGTTTCTAAGCTCTACAAGCAGCCTTTTGACACCTAGGTATGCTAATGACAAATGTTCCTTCTCTCTTCGGCAAGCTGGCAGCCCTTTACTGTCTTTATCAGGAAATATGAGGAATCTTCCAATAGGAAGTCAGCAGTTTCTGGTACAATTAACCGGAAGTGTGTTGGCAGTGACATAGCTTATGAAAGGCACAAGTGGCACCAATAGAGTAGACCAGTTAAAAATGATAACGGATAACGGTAGTGACTAATGTTTGCATAATGCTTTGCCATTTACCAAGGCCTTTTGAATGTGTTATATGATTCCATTCATTCGGTAAAAATGTGTTCCTTCTGTGTTCCAAGCCCTAAACATTTAGCTGTGAAAAAGTTTCCTCTCTCGTGAAGCTGCACAACAACTTGGTGAAATAAGTAGGTCAAGTACTATTCTCCTTCTTTACAGATGAAGACATTGTAAAGCTTAATTATGGCCAGGCGCGGTGGCTCATGCCTGTAATCCAAGCACTTTGGGAGGCCGAGGCAGGCAGATCACCTGAGGTCAGGAGTTCAAGACCAGCCTGTCCAACATGGTGAAACCTGTCTCTACTAAAAATACAAAAATCAGCCAGATGTGGTGGCAGGCATCTGTAATGCCAGCTACTCAAGAGGTTGAGGCAGGAGAATCACTTGAACCCGGGAGGCAGAGGTTGCAGTGAGCCAAGACCACGCTACTGCACTCCAGCCTGGGTGACAGAGCAAGACTCTGTCTCAAAAACAAACAAACAAAAACTAAAAAAACAAAATAGTTTAATTTGGCCAGGTGCGGTGGCTCATGCCTGTAATCCCAGCACTTTGGGAGGCCAAGGTGGTTGGATCACTTGAGGCCAGGAGTTTGAGACCAGCCTGGCCAACATGGTGAAACTCATCTCTACTAAAAATAACAAAAATTAACTGGGTGAGGTGGTTCACACCTGTGATCCCAGCTACACAGGAGGTTGAGGCACTTGAACCCGGGAGAGAATCACTTGAACCCAGGAGGCAGTGGTTGCAGTAAGCCAAGATTGTGCCACTGTACTCCAGCCTGGGTGACAGAGCAAGACCCTGTCTCCAATGCCACCAAAAAAGAAAAAAAAAAACAAAACTTAAATTTAAGACTGGGCACAGTGGCTCACAACTGTAATCCTAGCACTTCCGGAGGCCGAAGAAGGCAGATCGCTTGAGCCCAGGAGTTCAAGACCAGCCTGGGCAACATAGCAAGACCTCCTCTCTACACATTTAGAAAAAAAAAAAAAAAATAGGTGAAGTGGTGCATCCCTGTAGTCCCAGCTCCTTGGGAGGCTGAGGTGAGAGAATCACTTAAGCCTGGAAGGGCCAGTCTGCAGTGAGCCATGGTTGCACCACTGCACTCCAGCCTGGGTGACAGAATGAGACTCCATCTCAAGAAAAAAAAAAAAACAAAAAAACTTAACTCACTACTTTTCTAGGAATTTGGGCCCCAGATGAAATTTTATGACTGGTATTATATTTCTTTCTCAAAACTTTTCAAAACTCAGTACTTCAATACATGTTTTACCCTGAAATGTTATTTTCATAAACATAATTAATTTCTACTCTGGAAACTCTTGGATTTAAAAAATTAATTCCAGCACTCAGTATAATGACCCTATGTCTAGGAGAAGAGCCATTTCATATTATGAATGCAGCAGTTACAACAGGTCTGCCTTAAGTCGCTTGCTCTGTGAGCCTGACAAATTATTTACTGCTAACAAAACTACTGCGGTATCTGGAATGCATCCGATTTTTTAAAAAAATAATTTTCATCCCAGCATTTTGGGAGGCTAAGGTGGGTGGATCACTTGAGGCCAGGCGTTTGAGACCACCAGCCTGGGCAACATGGTGAAACCCCATATCTACTAAAAATATAAAAATTAGCTGGATATGGTGGCACATGCCTGTAGTCCCAGCTTCTCGAGTGGCTGAGGTACAAGAATCACTGGAACCCAGGAAGCGGAGGTTGCAGCGAGCCGAGATCGCACCCCTGCACTCTAGCCTGGGCAACAGAGCAAAGGTTCTGTGTCAAAAAAAATAAAATAATAATTTTCACAACTCAAACACAACTGCTTTTAAACTCTTTTAAATTCTGACTTTTTACCACTTGCACTGACACGATGACAGTTACGCATAACCTAATGATGGGGATACGTTCTGAGAAATGCATCGTTAGGTGATTTCGTCATGCAAACGTCATAGTGTGTATTTACCCAACGTGAGATGGTGTCACCTGCCACACAGCTGGGCTGTATATGATCTAGCCTATTGCTCCTCCCAACCTGTACAGCATGTTACTATACTGAATACTGTAGGTGACTGTAACACAATGGTGAGTATTTGTGTATCTAAACATACCTAAGTCTGGCTCTAGCTTTACTTCTTCCAACCCCCACAAAAGGTACAGTAAATATATGGTATTGTAGTCTTGTGAGACCCCTGTAGCATATGCAGTCTGTCGTTGACTGAAACATCGTTATGTTGTGCATGACGGTATTAGAAATTATAGAGGTTTTACTTTCTCTAAATTTACAACATAGCTTATAAATAGAAAATATTTGTTATAACATCTAAAAAATGTACATAAGCCATGTATGAACTCTCAGTGTATATGACTAGGGGTAGGTTCTTTATTCTTCATTGAGAAAAATTTTATATGATTTTTTTTAATGAAATAAGTATGGCGTAGGATCCTCTTTTCCCTTCTTAACTCTGGTAAATTTCTGTGAGTAGTGAAAGATCTATTCACTATTGGAAGATCTATTCCCAGGATGCTAAGTGGGAATTTTCCTGTAGGTACTAAGCACTGCACACCCTAAAGAGAAAGCTATCAATCATGGAGCCAGACACCTAGTTCGGGGTTTACAAGGAGGCAGTGTGAATCCTGCCCTGCCCCTGTCAGCTACCTCTCCACATAGGCAGAACATTGGTTAGTGCTGGAGAAGGACAGGGAATTGTCTGAGTCCTGTGGAAAGAACTAAGGCTTTTCCTCCTTTGCCATGAGAGAGGAGACAGAATGCATTCCCGTGCTCTCCAATCCTGGTGAGAAGGGGTCCAGGAGGAATGTACATCTGGCTTGGGGGTGCCTGCAGGAGGGAAAACTGGCCTTGGTATCCATAATTGGACTTCTGCCAGGCAGGTCACATAGCACCTACCGAGCTGACACAGAGAGTCTTGGGGAGGGATGCCCTGGCAGAGAGGGGGAGTGTTCACAGAGCAGCCCGCCCTTCTACTGTTCTGTGTGACAAGGATGTGTGTCCATATCATGTGGGCCACATGGATGTGCAGAAGGAGTCTGGGGTTATGTTTGTCCCCCTGGGTCCCCTTCAGGGGGCATGCATGTGTCCTAGGAGGGCTGAGTGGGAGTTGGAAGAAGTCAAGCTAGAGGCAGATTTCTGCCAGCAGAAACTGTGCAGTGGGAGGACCTGCCCTCTATCCTAGAAGAGCTCTCCAAAGAAATCACACGGGGACACAGGAGAACCTAGGTTGGAGCAGCTGCTACGTAGAGCACATGGGAGACCATGTTAACGTTAGCTGAAAAGCAGTGCGGCTGCCAGAGGAACAGCCAGACAAGAAAGGGACCTCGTCCTTTTCCTGTTTCTTCCTCCCCAACTAAACACATGAAGTAGGTAGAGCTTGGGGCAGGGAACATCCAAGGTAGACCATGACACCTGCCCTCACCTCTCCTAGGAGAAGTCAAAGCGCAGACCGAGCTTCTCTTATCCACCCCGGGCTTTTTAAGCCCCAAGACTGACACACAAGGAGGGAAGGAAAAGTTTGAATCAGATATGAGTTTGGATTTCATACAAAATGGAGTCTTCATGACTCAAAGTGACCAGGAAGTGATGCAGTCTGCCCAAAAGGTTAAATGGCCTTGTGCCCATCAGGCAGGCAGACTGGGCATGGCCCCTTTGGGAGTAACCAAAACAACCTAAAACAACTTTTTGGTGTTTGGACCCCAGTGCAGTTAAGACTGTCTCATGAACTGATTGCATTTAGATATACTTGTGTTAACTTAAATATATATATATGAATTTAGTAAAGTAGAGGAGACTTTATTTCTTCTAAAGGGTTACAGCCTGCAAGATGGCCATCCCGCAGGCTGGGAAGCACCTCCAACCAAGACCCCAGAGACGGGTACTTCGAAGGAAAAGGGCTTAGGTAGAAGATTTATGCTGAACAGATTAGCTAAACACATATATTCAATGTGTTACAAGAGCTGTGAATATTCATGAAGGTGGTCCTGACACATGTGTATTGAACCAACATGCATGTAACATGTGGCCTATGTTCACTTTGGGTTGGAGACTTAACATGTAGATATATTACAGTTAGCCCTGTTCGTCAGAAGGGCTTTTCAGGACATGAAGGCACACAAGTGTGCAATCTCTGTAGACCAACCAGAACTAGTCCATGGTTAGTAATCTTATTTGGATAAAGTTACTGAATCAATCTCTTGTCCAGCTGTAGTTATGGCTGGTGGAGCAGGGGCTAAGGGTCAATCAGCATCTGGTGGAGGTGCAAATTGTTTAAATATTGCTTCTCTTAAGGCCAGTACCTGTTTAGCTGCTAGAGAAAAAGAAAAACCTTGTGGCAGTTGGAACATAGTTTATTCTTTAGGTATAGGGGTGCGTGACTTAACCTTTGCCTAGCATGGCCTCGGGTCCTGTTGATAATTTGGTATCTTATAGCCACAAAGAGACTGTTCTGTCACTCTTATGATGTCTATTTTAACATTAATTCCGATCAGTTGTTGTGTCTAAACCATGAAAAAGAGGAGGTATAATGAGGCTTGTCTCACCTCCCATCCCATCATGGTCAGAAACTCAATTTTAAGGTTTTTCTGGGGTCCCCTTGGCCACAAGGGGGTCCGTTCAGTCGGTGAGGGGGCTTACGATTTTATTTTTAGTTTCTGTTCATTTCAGGGTCAGTAGAACCAAGCTGTATATAGCTGGAGTGGCCCTCTGCCTTCTGGTGACATCAGTACCAGGCTCACACTCCTTCTTAGCCATCCCAGCAGGCTGACACATTGTGCCACTCACCTGTGTGACCTGAGCAAGCCACTTCACCTCTTTAAATGTCTGTGTCTTCATCTATCAGATGACAGGTGGTCTCTGGATTATTTAGCACTAGAAGTGCTAGAAGCACTTCTAGCACTAGATTAACACTAGAAGTGTGTGAAAGTTGCAGAAGATGTGATTTGTGTAAAGAATTAGCTCAGGACTGGGTGAGGATGCCACTTAAGATGGTAATCCAGCTAACGCATGGAGTTAGTACATTCAAATCAGAGGAGAGCTATTGGAGACAAGGCCAACAGAGTGAATGGGTCTAAGACTGAACTTGCTAGAAAGGTAAGAAGAGGAAGAACCCTCTATGGATGTATAAAATAGCATGAAGTTTAGAGAGGGAACTGAGGATAGCAGAGCTGGTTTAAGTGAAAGGTGTTTGGAAGTGCCTTTGGTCAGACCCTGGGGATCTAACTTCCTTAACCATCCCCAGCAAGCCTCTGGTTAACAGAAGACATGGAAAGCAAAGGTGTAGGGGTGTGTGGAGATGCAGTTGTAACTAGAGAGAGAGGTGTTAAATTGCTGGTGAGCGTTTCTGGGGTGAGGAAACTTTTAGCTAGGGATAAGCCTTCTTTTCTATCATTTGTTTGCTGATGATACAGTTCTTTGCCGGGCCTCTTAACCATATTATGGTTATGTGCTTGCCTTCTTCCTGCAGTGATCTTTGTACGGACTGCTTGTGAATGCTAAAGATGCTCACAGAGCTTGCTGAATAAGTTTACATGCTCTGCCATTTTCTGTGATTTAATTTCACAGTGTCTTTTAGAATGATGAAATTCGGGAACAGAACTTGGGATGGGTCAAGCCAAGAGCTCAGTCGGTCTCTTTGAAGGTTTCTACTGTAACTCCTGGGAAGGGATGCTGGTTAGTTTAGTGTTTGGTTCTGAGCAAACATTACTGATAAGTTTATCTTATTAATGGTGTGGGGGAGAGCCAGAATTATGGAGCTGAATCATTAGACTCCCAAATGCTGTTCCCAAGGGTTTCTGCTTGAGGAACAGAACTGAATTTCCCTGACTTCAGTTCTTCCCTGCCCCAGCCTCCTTCCTGCCACCTCCTTCACTCCTCCCAGTGCTGGGTAGCAAGCTGACACGTCTTCCTTTGTTAACTACCGAGTTTTGCCCGTAAGAACTCTGGAGGCATAAATATCTTCTAGGTTTGTCAAATAGAGCAATGACTAAATCAGGAAAAGTCATTTTATTGCACTGTTTGCTCTTGGTCATTGAAGATAAGAAAATAAAAATATCGGACCTGTGTTAAAGGTTTTTTCCTGTTTTTCCTGAAGTTGATGAAAATATTTATCCTCTGAAAGTAGTGACGTGAAGGGGGAAGGTATTTCTGGTTTTCCGGCAAATATAAAATACAGTTTGCTTTTTTCCAAGGCATGAATTTATTGGTAATTTTCCTTGCATAAATGCATAAATGATTTTTTTAGTCAACTCAAAATGTTTTAAAGCAAAAAGAATGACTTGGAAGTCAATTATTAAACCTTGAGCACCCTAAAACATTTTTTGAGTTTTTTTTAAATGTGATTCTTTGCATTTTATTATTTTCCTCTTTTCCTTCCTGGATGCTACCTTGGTAGCTGCCATGTTTTAAATATTGACAAGATAAGATAGTTTTCTGTTTATATCAGCAGTCGTCTGTCTGTGAAATATGGACGAATCAGAACGCAGGATTTCCTTTCTCAGCGATCCATCAGGTTCATAATGTAAGGTTACAAATGGTTCTTTTCTTCTCCTGAACTTGCGCTATGTACTGTGTTGCACAGTGTTGTCAACAGCTATAGGTACTGTGTCCTGGCAATGCAGAAAATTTGTAATGTCTGGTGACTCCGAGACTCTTTGTCTATTATACTTCATTTACTGTGCCTTGTGATTAGTTGATGTGCAAACATTGTCCTAAAACAAGAAACATACTTGGTTTTAAAGTGTATGGTTAAAATATGTCCCATGTGAGTTTTGGCTTTCATTCCAGGCGTCTGTGTTAAACTTGCTTTTACAGGAAAAAGAAAAGGGTAAATTGATATATATATATATACACACATGTATATATCAGCATTATTCCTCCCCATTTTGTACCTCCCCATATTCATGGACTCTTCAACCCTTTGTGTCTAATGATTCTCAAAGATTCATGTGCTTCACTTGTGAGAAATTTCTGAGTATGATTTGCATGTTATTCTGTATACATTTTATGCAAATGTGGGGGGAGGTGAGCTGGGAGAGGCACGGTTACAGCTACAAAGTGGTTCTCAGCCTTTTTCCATTTGACAGTACTGAATTGATCTTTGCAAATTGTATGAAATTGTGACCCATTTTACTCTGAGCTGCATGATTTTCAAATGTTCATATTTCACCTTTGCATACTTTAGAAAAAGTTTATTTCTATTTGGAAAATAAACATTTAAATGTTTGGGGTTTTATGTTCCATATTTTAAAATACTATTCTATTTTCACACCCTTTTGAATTTCTCCCATTGGATAGCCTGCTGTCTGAGAGGTTGAGACACTTGGTTGAGAATCACTGAGCAGATTCTTGGGGCGGCATGTGAAGGGATGCCACGGGTATTTTTGTGAAGTGCCTTTTGGGATGCTGCATCAGGCACATATGTACTCCTGTGCATGGGACTTCTGGCTCTTGAGGACCATGGTGTCTATACATTGCCTGGTACTGGTGTTCACGTGACCCAGCAGTTCCTCTTGGACTCATAAATGTTAACCAGAGCTTTTATGTGTTCGTAAGTAGCCATCTCTGCTCTTTTTCATCTAAAGGAACAAATTCAGTATAACCAACTGCATTTGATCAAACTAGAATTCTTCATTCTTGAAGATTTTTTGAAAGAACAACTACAACATCCTGCTTTCATTATGTGTGAATGTTTATGGGAAGCCTTTTCCTTACATTCACTTTCAAATATACGTATGCATATTTATAAGCATAGAGCTGTGTATAGCATTCTTCAAAGCCTTAGAGATTACAGAAAGTAAATGTAATCACATATATCTTATGTATGTTTGGGTAGCCCATCTCTGAAATTTGTCATAATTATTGAAAGTAAAACCTTAAAACAATAATTGTCCTTTAAAATCATTTTAGTTTTTCATTAAGTGTTCTGAAGAAATTGAGACTAATGTTTGTTAATATTCAGATCTAAATTTATAAGCAAGTAGGTGGGAGCAGTCCTCATAGAAAAGATTTTAAAGGTTCTATTTTTAAAAATCAATTAAATCCTAATTTTTAAAAATTTTAAAGAATAATACAAGGCTTGGAAAATGCCATACTTTTCTATTAATGTTAGAAAAGTAAGTTGTAAGCATGGCTTTTAATTATCTACTGACATCCTTAGGAAACTTTTTCCTTAAGAAGAAAATAACATAAAGGCCTGGTAGAGTGTCTCATGCCTGTAATTCCCAGCACTTTGGGAGGCCAAGGCGGGTGGATCACTTGAGGCCAGGAGTTCGAGACCAGCCTGGCCAACATGGTGAAACCCTGTTTCTACTAAATATACAAAAGTTAGCCAGATGTGGTGGCACATGCCTGTAGTCCCAGCCACTTGGGAGACTGAGGCAGGAGGATCACTGGACCCTAGGAAGCGGAGGTTGCAATGAACCGAGATTGTGCCATCGCACTCCAGCCTGGGTGACAGAGGGAGACTCCATCTTGGAAAAATAAATAATAATAAAGACGGAAAATAACATAGAGAAGGGTTTTTCCTTTCTATTCTCAGAGCATATAGAATATGTAATATTCAGTTTCCCTTTTGGAGGGAGACAGCTACCTGATACAATTTGTTTTAGAATTTGCTGTAGGTGTCCAGTGCATGTGAACTAAAAATTTGCAGCTATTTACCACCTGTTGAAATAATGCAAAGTTTAAAAGCTGCAATTTGGAATCTGCCATCCAGTAAAAATCTCTGTATTTTGTGAAGCTTTTTGTTTTTTAACTAAATCCCATTGATGCTTTTGTATTTTTCAGTTGTTGGTATAAGAGAATGTTTAATTTAATTACATTATATTAGATGTGGCCCAATTATAGTCCTTCAGACTCACCCAGACTACAGATTTATAGTTGGCAGTTGCAAACATGTGTTACACAGAATCAATTCTCCATTTAAAATTCTAATGTCAAAGTATTTTTCCTTTATGTTAGAAGTTTAGTTTTTATTTGAGTTTGAAGAAGAGAGCTAATGATGTACATTTTCCTCTGTTTAATTGATGTTCTTTAGTGTGCTTAATAAAAAAAAAGGCCTTAAGCATACATATAAAAAATAATAATAAATACCAAATAAATGAAGTTTTAAGCCATGACAAAATTCTTGGAATATGAAGATCTTTCAAATACATGAACCTAAAGGAAAGATTTTCTGTAAATATTTTAAGTGCCAAAGAGATAGCCTGAAGACATTTATTAGGAGTACCTTGAATCATTTTGATTTCTCATTTGTGATTACTTAAGGAATCCTTTCAAAGACCACTGTGTCAATAATAATTTAAAATATGACAGAATTCTACCCTAAACTTTTCCTACTTCATTTTGCTATTCTAATGAAATATTGCGTTGTTAGCTGTGTTTAGGTCTGCTTTTCATTAAAAATAAGCTTTGATTATAAACCATTATTGTGGCAAAAGACTTCTTAGGTCTGTTATTTAATATTTAATAAGGATTTTTAAGTGGAAAATTACTAAATTTAAAAATATTTGCCTGAGGAGATGCAAGTATTATGTAGACATGAATGTACTAGTCAACAAGACCTAACACTAGGCTTCAAAGTTCAAAATGATTTTATGTATGAGGCAAAAATCTTTCTTTTTTGACCTCTTCTTCCATTCCATATAGTAACTACTCTACGTAATTCCTCCATAGCTCATTCCTGCTGTAATTCAGCCTCCAGGAGGGTTGAGACCTAAGGCACCCTTGTTCTCTGAACTCTTTTGTTCTTACTGGGAGTCAACCAGGTACAGCTGAATCCCAGCCAAGGGCCAAGGTCATACCTGTCCTTTACGACAGTGTAATGTTAAGTCCAGTTGTTGGAGTCCATCCATTCCCATTAAATTAATTCCAAAAAGAAGAATTAACATCTACAAATTGAGTCTTCTAAATACTTTTAGATCTAAGTTTAAAAAAAAAAAAAATAGGCAGGGGTGGGGAGAGAAGTTGATGAATTTCCAGGCAGAAAAGAAATTTATTTTCTAATAAATTCAATCTTAAGAACACCTTTCCCTCTGTTTAAAAATGAATTTCTGGAAATAGCACTAAATCTGATAAAATTCAGTGTCTCTTTCCAGAAAGGTAGATTCAGTCCCTGTAGGGAATTTGACAATATTTGGACTGAAGCAATATTTGAAGGCCACAAAGAAAATGAAATAAGTATTATATTTCTTTTCCTTGTAATTATCTCCCACCTTAGCACCTAGGGAAAATCCTATCAGATCACTCTGAATTCAAAGCAAGTGGTTTGTGATTTTGGACAAAGTGGAGTCATGGGAGAGCAGATGATGGCGCTGTCTAAACAGATTTAAGTGGATGTTCCACTAATTTCTTCCAGTGGTTATCAAATAAGGGATTTCAGTGATTTCCAGACCGAGATTGGAATGTATGTGCTGGGGCTTGTTATTCCCACAATGGCTGCTACAACTTATGTGGATGACGTAAATATTTGGATCAGCATTTGGCTGTGGCTCTGGCTTTAAATGTATGGAACTCACATTAAAGTTTAATTATAAAAGTGTGTGAGTTAATGGAACAATTAGAGAATGAATTTGCATATGATTTGCATGCTTAATGTACTAACACGTGAAATGTTTTCATAACCCTAGCTTCCCCCAACTCATTCCCACCCCCAGCCCTGTTCCCAGCCCTGGCCCTGCAACTCATGGCACCACCAGCTCATGCCGTGTTCAGACTTTTTTGAAAACTACCTGTTGAGCTTGGCCAAGGTCTACCTCTGCTGAACTGTAATAGGGTTCACATGAAGATCTGATGCTTGGTTTGAGTTGTCACATCAGCAGACACTGGATCAAAGGATCTTTGGAAGCCATCCAGATCCTCCTTTTGTATCATTCCACGGAGTTGCATGCAAACTTCTGTTGTTTTGTTAACAGTGTTACCTGTGACTTAAATGTACAATACCTGTTTGCCGTGTTGTTGTTGCTTTATCCAGGGAGCGGGAGAAGGAGGGAGAAGTTTAATGGGGGAGATTAGAGGATGATTTGATAGATTTGGGTAAAGCTTTTGTTTAAGAACCCATAGCTGCATGTTTCCAGAATTTTAAGCTATTATCACTTAAAGGTTATTACACTCAGCTTCAAAATGATATTGAAATCCACGTATCCTATATTTTGAATTTTATACTAGTTTTTCAAAAGTAAGTTACAGCCAGATGAAATAAAGACCAGAGAGAGAATAAAGAGCCAGCCATTTGAGAAAGAAGGAAAAGAAAAAAAATCAAAATAAGAAGCCAAAGAAAAACTTAATCTAATTTTAGAATTGCAGTCAGTTATCACTTTTACAAACTAAAAATTCATATAAATATAAAAGAAAAACTCAAGAATGAGTCAGGGATGGATAATAAAACAGACAAAAATGCTAAAGTTAATATTGCAAGTAAAGTCTTAACAATACCAACAGACAATATACATGTAACAAAATTTCACATATACCCCATAAATGTGTACAAAAATAAAAAATACCAACAGACAGGGAATAGGAGGATTAAGCAATGTAAAAGTAAATCAGCAACGAAAACAAAACTAATGTGGAGAGTGGCTGAGAACAGAGCAGGAGAGAAAAGCCGAAGGAGTTCCAACTAGTCACACACTAACTACAGTGAGAAGCCAAGGAAATAGCGTGATGCTAACTTTGCTCTTCTGCGAGTCGAAGTGACCCATCTCAAGGAGAAAAGCTTCAGGCACTCCACTGCTAAAAAAAAAAAAAAAAAAAAAAAAAAAAAAAAAAAAAGCCTGTGCATTACTGAAGTCCTCTAGAAAGGGCTTTTTATCATTGGCAGCTACTTCATATGTCACCTAATGTAAGTCCAAAGTGCGCAAAGAAAATTGGAGAGCTAGTTCTCCTCCCCAAAATATGCACCCTATGTACGCCATTCCTAGAGAACTGTGGTTCTTAATCTTTTGGAGTTTCTAGATTCTTTCAAAGAATTTAATAAAGCAGAGAACTTCCTTTCTCTCCCAAAACATACAACTGCATCCAAAATTTTGCATTCTTGTCCTAGACTCCTTAAAAATTCTCCTTAAGAAATCCCACAGTGTGTCAACACACTTTCTAGCACTTCTGTGGAACTTGTTCTCTAACCAAGGTTTTATTTGATTTTGGAGTTTATGAGACCTTTTTACACTCTTCCAACTCCTGAGAAAAGTAATTTCTCATAGTTCTATATATAGCCAAATCTAGGTTAGAGGAGAGTCACTCTAGAAATCTGCCTATTTAGTTTTAGTTATGTCCACTTGAGAACAAAGAACTGAGTTTTGGAAAAATCCAAATCTTTCCCAGGAGAAAGAGTAAGAAATATCTCATGCGTAGTATGTAAATCAGAGTAGAGCCCAGAAAATACCTGCCAACACTGGCCTTTGACTTTATAGATGCTCACATTAAGCTATTATACTGATGAAACAGGTTGAGGCTAACCTCATGGAAAATGATAAATGAAATGATGGGAGGTCCTCCTGTTTTAGGTCTGTATCATATGATATACCATCATTTGGGAATGTGCTTGTATTTGTGAATCAGAATCCTCAAAGTACATGCCTATGTACATGTGACCAAACTTGGCATTTCACTGTTTAGTCTTCATTGGTACGTTAGGTTTTCTGAGAAAAGTAGCTGAATCCATCTGAGACAGCATCATTAAATCAGTGCAATTGAATTCAGATGAGAGAAATTAGTGTCACCCATTAGTAAATTTTTCTTTTAAATTTTGTTTAGCATCATGCTTACACTACCATTTCTCCAGAGATCTAAAATTATTCAAAGTGGCTAGTACATGTCATATTTGGGAACTGAAATTTATAGAACTGTGTGTTCTGAATGTGAAAGCAATTCAAACTAAAAATTTCAGTCAAGTTTAAAAACAAAATTCTTTTAAAGATTGTGTGTCCTTTGCTGTTGTGATGGAAAATTGTGATTAGTAAATCATTTATGAATATCTTCATGTTTTATTTTAAAGTGACTTAGCTTAGGATGTCATTCTAAAAATAGAATAATTCAACTCCACACCTCAAAAATTAACTCAGCCTTGAGAGATATGCTAATACATATAAAAATGTAATAACCAAGTATTTATATTCACATAAGACACCCAAATGCATTTTGGTACATTCACAGCACCTGTGTGTAAGGTGAGCTCAGGGTAGCTACAGGGAATGAACTTTGCTGACTGCTCATATTGCCTCTAGAATAAATGTCATTTTCAGACAGGAGACTGGGGAGAACCTTCCATTACCTTGCGACCTCCGAATGAAGCCACAGCCTCTACCCCGGTACAGTACTGGCAGCATCACCCAGAAAAGCTTATCTTCCAGTCGTGTGATTACAAAGCTTTTGTAAGTTACCCTCAATTCAGTATTTGGGCCTAAGTGGAGATAGGGGGTATGTTTTCAGCTTGTTTGCATTTACATTGAAAATATACCAAAATATCCATATCCATCACTGAAATTTTTAAAATGTTTTTCTCTTCACTTTTTCTTAAAGTAGCCTTCTATCCAAAGAGAAAGTCCAAATAACTAGAGCTTTAAAACCGTTTTAATCTTGTAAGTTTAAGGTCTGTTGTGACCTCTTATATAGTTGTATATTTTTAAATAAATGTTATAACGTACAATCTTAAAATGGAAATGAGTGTAAATATGGCATATATATATATATATCTCTGCTCACTCACCAAACACTGGGTCTCAAAACACTGGGTCTGCCACTTTATGTAAATACCAGATTCTTTTCACTGTCATCAATAGGATTATACTATTTTTCTGTTTTAGTTGTTTAGTTTAGTTTGGTTTAGTTTAGGTTAGTTGTTTAGTTTTTTAGAAGAGGGGAATTAATTATAATTAGCTGAGAAATGTAATAGGAACTGGTAAATGTTCAAAAGATACTGTAGGTTTTGGGTCAGGTGGTGGTTGTCTTGACGACAGCAGAAAAAGTGGCTGAACCTTCAGCAGTGCATTGAAACTGCCTCTCTTAAAAAGAAACATTTCAATCAGGCAAACTTCCCTGATAACTTAAAAGATAAGGATTTTACCAAAAGATAATAAATTTCACCTTCATTTGATTTAGATGGACATTGTGGTTATCTCATACCAGTTGAGCTTTTTTTTTTTTTTTTTTTCATTTTCTGCTTTCTGCCCCTCTTTTACTAAAGCTTACTTATATTGCAGCTTTGGATTTATTTCAGTGGTACTGCCCAAAACCATAGGATTGAAATGGCTCCTCCCTCCAAACCCCAAGTCCCCAAGCCTTTCTGAACATGCCTTTCTCCAAGGCCCTGACCACGCCTTCTGCTGTTGTGCCCTCTCACGTCTTCTTCAAGTCAGGCACTTCCCTAGTCCACAAGAGTGGTTCCCATCCCCGTCTCTGCAGAGTACAAGTCTCCAGTCTTGTCAGGAAGTGTCCATCAGATATCTTCTAAAATAATTATTGTAATTCACTTTTTTAAAAAACATATATAGAGCTCTTTGGGGGCTGGTGGGGGGAGGGCAAGGGGCAGGGGAATGACAAAAGGCAAAAACCCTACTAAAGCTTCAAAAGGTTGAAGGGGAGTCAATTGATAGAAAGGCAAATCAGACATTTTGTTTAAAACCATTTGGCCCCAGCCAGAAGCTGGAGCACGAGGGGCATTTTGTACCAGGATGATACAGTATGGGGTCTGGTCTTCTAACAACAAAGTAGTTGGCAATTCTTGGGAGACTGTCATCCTTCTAGCTCCATTCAGCCCTCCAGGTGGCACTTCGCACCAGGAACCCAGCTCTCTTCCCCTGGGAAACAACTGAGAATGCCTCTCTCCCTCCCCCCACCCTCCCATCCCGTTCTCAGGTGGATCAACCATAGGGCACACAGCTGTGAATGAAAAAGGTCCAAAACTGCATCTCTGCCTAAAAGCCTAACATTAATTACCTATGCAGCAGAATAAGCCTAAATGGGGGACATGTTGCTTAGCTTCTCAGCTGTCTCATGCAACCCTGTAATTACAGAGATAGTAGTGTGATTTATTTTTGCAGACATTGCTGCCTCAAAAAAGGGGAAAACATTTTTAGATGCCCCCATTTTGCAGTTAAATATGATTTGAAAGATGGCATCTTTAGAAGATGTTGCAGTTTCATTATAAAGAGCAATTACAGCCCCCAGAACTTATGGTTAATTCTGCTGCATTTTCTCTATGAATGCATTTATTTGTTAGGATTAGTTACTGTCAGTTTTTTAAAGTTATGCAACAACTTACAGCCAGGAAACCTAGCCAGTAATACTTCCACAATTTGTTTTTAAAACATTACTCATATGTATATTCCATTTCATAAATCATTGAATTTTTTTTGTATTTTAGTATTTAGGTTCTATGCTGATAAAAGAGCTTAGGGGGACAGAATCAACCCAAGATGCTTGTGCAAAAATGCGGGTAAGTCTGCCAAACTACTTTATTTCTAGTAGCTGAAATACTAAATACTGGGTATGGATACAAATTGCCACCTTTCAAATTACTATTTTCTCCATCTGTTGGTCTGCTGAATCACATTGGTATTACATAAAAAGGTGCTCTTGCTTTCTGCATGTTTATGCTTGAACTTATCTCACTATAGTTTGAGTTAATGTCTATTTGCTATATTTGTACTATATTTGTTCTTAATTATTTTTAAAGATTTAAAATTAATTGTATCATTTTCGAGATTAGAAAAATGATCTTTATTACAACAAAAGGTTTTAAGCACGCACTGAATAGTCTGAGAATATTTACTGAAAACATCACCAATTGACTAAAATTATCAAAAGCAGAAGTATTAAGAGCATATTATATAAAGCTAATATTCTTTATGCAATTTCTTACTCAGTTTTTTTTTTTTATTTTTTTAAATTCAACTTTGAGTGGAATGAACTATTTAAGGGCAAATGTTAACTAAAAATGGCAATTCCAGGCCGGGCACAGTGGCTCACGTCTGTAATCCCAGCACTTTGGGAGGTCAAGGTGGGTGGATCACCTGAGGTCAAGGAGTTCAAGACCAGCCTGGCCAACATGGCAAAACCCCTCTTACTAAAAATACAAAAATTAGCCAGGCATGGTGGCATGCACCTGTAATCCCAGCTACTTGGGAGGCTGAGGCAGGAGAATCGCTTGAACCTGAAGGCAGAGCTTGCAGTGAGCTGAGATCTCACCATTGTACTCCAGCCTGGGTGACACAAGTGGAACTCTGTCTCAAAAAAAAAAAAAAAATGGCAATTCCAAATATCTGTGATTAGTGGCTGCTTGATTCCTAGGAGTCTATTTTAGCCAAAGCAACTCTAACTCGTATTGCAGACCCACCTTTTCCTTTTGTACGTGTCCCTTGTTCTTGCTTCCTCCATAACAGGTGTATAGAGGCTATGCTGGTATCTGAGTAACTGCACAAATTGAGAATATCAGACTTGTTCAATATAGCATCTAACTAAAGTCAAATTTAAGGTCATTAGTAAGTGCAATCCTAACTTTTATTTATGGCCAATATACCTTGTTGTTTATTTTATATGAGCAGCTTTTGGTGGAAAATAATTTAAGAGCATATAATTACACTGAAACAGCTATGAAGGTAAACATGAAATATCCATTGTTTATGGAAAGCTAAATATGTGTGAATCTTCATGAAATTGAGACTTCAATATGTAATCACTAATATTTTGATCAATTCAACAGCAAAAAAGACTGAAATAGTTATCCTTCTATTTAATGCAGAGTTAGACAGTACTTAAATTGTCAGTACCAGTGAATATTTAACTTAGGTACTGAGTTTAGATAAAAAAACAAGCTTCTGTATATATCAGAAACTCTAAGTTTTAGTTCCGTGGCTGGTTATTTGCCTTAGGAGTCACCTGTTATTCATAAAAATAATATGATAGCTGCTAACATTTACTGAGTCTTTACAGTGTCCCCTAGTACAATTATTGTCCCCATTTTACAGACGAAGAAATGGAGGCTTACAGAGGTTGAATAACTTGCTCAAGGTCACACAGGGAATAACTTGCCAATCTGAGACTGGAATTCGGGTCTGTCTGACTCCAGAGCCCAGGCTTTTAACCACTACATTCTCCTGTTTCCCCGATCCTCTGTTTTCTTACATATAAAATGAGAACATTAGACTAGATACACTTTAGAGTTCTCCCTGGTTTTATAATTCTGGAAATCTTGTATTCTAAATATTTATCTGGCCTAATTTGTGTCACCAATGAACAATAAGAAAAAGGGAAAGTTTTCATTCATCAAGCCTCATAATAATTTTAGAAATATTCATGAACATGTCTAATAAATTAATTGGGCATCTCTGATTTAATACTCTTAACTAAATTACCTGAGACCAGCTACTCCGGTGTGATAATCAGCATCAGTATTGCCTAGTGCATGCAGCATCATTTAAAATATACCAGATGTATGATTTGAATCTCAGTCAATTTCATGAAATTGAGTGGATCTGAAATTACATCCTGATAGCAATAGAAAAGCCATTTTAGTAGCCTAAGTAGAGAATAATTTAGTTAAATCCTTGTCTGTTGCTTAAAATGAAACTTAGAAAAAAACATATATTTAGAAGCCATTCTTCTGTTTTGGGGGGCATTTTTCTGGTTTGCTGCTCTTGGTGCTTATGTAGTTTACATGAAAATAGAAACTTCATTACTTCTCGGACTATCATAAACCCTTATTTCCAATCTTGATTAAGTAAGTCTCAGTTCTTGATAAAGTAGCTAAGGTTGCATTCACTACATTTCACCAGAGTCTTTCAAAACCAGAAGCATAGGGTTGATCTGCTATCTGGAACTATTCTATTGTGAATTAGAACTTTCACCAACTATAAATGATGTAGATCTCAACTTGCAGCTAATTTTCAGTTTGAACCCCAAGTTGCTGTTTTCTCTGTTCTCAGCATGGTGGCATTTCAGCCAAAAGTCCCAGTTCAATCAAAACTCCCCATGAAAAATACTTTAGGACACAGACGGTCTAAAAAGTTGATTCATGGTAATATTATTAGGCCAAAGTATTGTAGATTAAGAGTTACCTGTTTATTCTTTTAATTGAAAAAAAGATGTTTTCTGTTCAAAGTATGCATTTTAGCCAAAATGAAAATGTCTCTCCCAGTAATAAGTAAATCACTGTGGTTCCCAATTCTGATCAATGTTTCCTTAAATGTACTTTGTTAACAAAGATGACTAAAATCCACCGAGTTCACAATCCAGTGGAGGAAACCAACATGTGAACATTTAATTACCCCAAAGTGGTAGAAGTATTACCATAGAGGCACTTTCAAGTTGCCATCAGCCTAAGGGATCATAATAGACGATCTTAAAAATGACATATACTCATGCCCTCCTAAAATCAGTTTATTAGGGCTAATAACAGGTAGCAGTTGAGAGCTGTACACCCTGCCCTGCACAACTGAATTATGTGCATTAGTTCACTCAGTCCACACAGTAGGTATTGCCATTGCTCCCACTTTACATATGGGAAAACAAAGTCCAAGAGAAGTTAAGTCACTTGCCCAAGGTCACACAGACAGCAGGTGGCAGAGCCAGGATTTGAAACCAGGCAGTCCACTCCACTACCCACACTGTGAATCCAGAGACTGGACTGCCTCTCCAATGTGCCAGGAACATTCATTGCCCTGGGTTTTGTTTTTTGTTTTGTTTTGTTTTGTTTTTTTCACTTTTTAAATGGCTTATTTTATGTGCAAATAATAAACAGATGTTGTACCCAGAAATTCTACTTTCCAAAAACAGGAGCTTTTTAAAAGAAAACCACATAATAACTTTTAAAAGGCACTGGGATTCCTCTGCTTCTAGATCATTGCTAGGCTAGAAAAATAAAGTTTGTTCTACCAGGAATCACAAGTTAGAACTGAGTATTCTCCAGAGTGGAAATTCTAGAGTGTAGTGTGATTTCAGGCAAAGATTATTCAGTTCTCATCCTCGACATCCACAACTACCTATCAGAAGGGTTAAACCAGCTCAAAACAGTCCAGCATAATTAGGCTTCATCAAACAATGTCATTATGCTCTTCTAAGATGCAAATGAAGCAAAACAGGAAATTCTAAAATCTAAATAATATTTGACACTGTCATACAAATTGTTAGTTCCTTGTTGTATCCTCCCTTCTATAACATTAATAAAGGGAATATTTTACTGCAAAGAATATTTTATTTTATACATCACTAGCCATGAATTTTTGCCATTAGTTATTATACAAATGCTGCCTAGTGCCATTAGATGGCAAGGTAGGAAAAATATATTTTAATCATTTTTCATTTAAGTGGCCTTATGTAAAAAATAAGCTAATAATTTAGCAGTTTCAAGTCTCCAAAGGGCATTTTCAAATGTTCATAAAAGAAATGGTTACAGAGATTTTTAAGAAGCATCTTCCATGTCCACATCCTCTTGTAGCTGCTGTGCCATTTTCTCTTCCAACTGCTTCCCTTTGCCTGCAAGAGGGGCTCGGATAAGATGGATGTTTTGCTTGACTTCTTTGATATCCTGAACTTTCTGTAGCTCTTTATTTTTCTTCAATCTGTTCATTAAGCTTCGTGTTTCTGTTTGATCTCTTCAATTCTCTTCATTGCATCAGTAGTTTTATTCCATAGCTCTCACTGGTATTTGATAGGTTCATTTCTACGGTTTTCAAATTCAAATGAATTATCCACTGTAAGCTCTTTACCAGCTGCTTTCCAGAATGCTTTGGTCCACCTAACTTTGTGAGGATCGCACTTCTTTTTAAAGTTTTTAATGACATTTAGATTTACAAAATCTGAACACCTTGCAATCATTGCGGATGAACATCTTGCCATGGCCAGGGTGGATGGGCCCCAGACAGAAATAACACTTCTTGATACACATGTTGAACCCCCATGGGTCCCCATCGACCAAACGCCAAGCTTGCCAAGCTTGAGAGGAAGTCTTTTTTTTTTTTTTTTTTTTTTTTTTTTTTTGAGACAGAGTTTCGCTCTTGTCACCCAGGCTGGAGTGCAATGGTGCAATCTTGGCTCACTGCAACCTCCACCTCCTGGGTTCAAGTGATTCTCCTGCCTCAGCCTCCCCAGTAGCTGGGGTTACAGGCGCCTGCCACCATGCCTGGCTAACTTTTGTATTTTTAGTAGAGACGGGGTTTCACCATGTTGGCCAGGCTGGTCTCGAACTCCTGGCCTCAAGTAATCCACCCGCCTTGGCCTCCCAAAGTGCTGGGATTACAGGCGTGAGCCACCGCGCCTGGCCAAGAATTACCACTTTTAAATAATGTGTCCACAGGACTGGATTTTACAAAGCCATAAGTATATTGCTTTGACTTTTCAGTGGGTTTGTTGTTGTTGTTATGTTGGTATGAATAACTCCCACTTCAAAGATTCCAAGACATACAGTTTTTGGTGAAGTGAAGGATTTGCTCTGGCCAGATGAGGTTCTGCTCTTCAATTTTGCCTCCCTAGGCTTACCCATACCCCATCCCGAACCCTGAATTTTGCCCTGGGGCTTAATTTTCACTAATATACAGTAATGCATCACTTCCCTAATTAAATATACAATTAGGAAGCATCTGTTACTGTAAGAGGTAAGCCATTATATTCAATTTAATACTCTCTGCAGTCTTACGTTCTCTAATCCCATAGTTGATGGTTAGTATCATTCACAGGTGTTTGTTCTCAAGGAAATTTCTCTTAAAAAGTAATAAAAATAGGATTATTTGTTGTTTTGCTATTGCAATGTTTGGGTCCCTTATAAATTCTGGATATTAATCCTTGTCAGATGTATAGCTTGCAAATATTTTCTCCCATTCTCTAAGATGTCTCCTTTGCTGTTGTTTCCTTTGCTGTGCAGAAGGCTTTTAGTTTGATGTAATCCCATGTGTCTATTTTTGCTTTTGTTGCCTGTGCTTTTGGAGTCATATCCAAAAAATTCTTTCCCAGTCCAATGTCATGACGTGTTTCTCCAGCGTTTTCTTCTAGTGGTTTCAGGTCTTATATTTAAGTCTTTAATCCATTTTGAGTTGACAAATAATCAACTTTAAAATGGGCAAATGACCAGAATAGACATTTATCAAAAGAAGACTTACAAATGGCCAAAAAGTATATGAAAAAATGCTCAATATCATTAATCAGTAGGGAAATGCAAAGCAAACCCAAAGTGAATCACTAGGGAAATGCAAAGCAAAAACCACATCTTACTCCATTTAGAATGGCTATTATCAAAAAGACAAAAGATAACAAATGTTGGTGAGAATGTGGAGAAAAGAGAACCCTTGTACATTGTTGGTGGGAATATAAATTAGTAGAGCAATGATGGAAACAGTATGGCGGCTTCTCAAAAAATTAGAAAGAGAATTACTATATTATCCAGCAATCCCACTATTGGGTATATATCCAAAGGAAATGAAATCAGTATGTTGATATCTGCACCTCCATGTTTACTCTAGCACTATTCACAATGGCCAAGATGTGGATCCAAGCTAAGTGTTTATTTAAAATTGTGTCCATCAACAGATGAATGCGTAAAGAAAATGTGGTATATGTACACAATAAAATACTATTCAGGGAAAGAAAAAGAATGAAATTCTGTTATTTGTGACAACATAGATGAGCCTGGAAGACATTATGTTAAGTGAAATAGGCCAGACACAGAAAGACAAATACCACATGATTTCACTCATACATGGAATCTAAAAAGTTGATCTCATACAAGTAGAGAATAGAACAGTGGTTATCAAAGCCAGGAAAGGGTAGATGAGGAGGAGGGGAATAGGGAGACGTTGCTCAATGGTAACAAACTTACAATTAGGTAGGAAAAATAAGTTCTGGTGCCCAATTGCACAGTAGGGTGACTGTAGCTAACAATGCTGTACTGTATACTTGAAAATAGCTAGAAGAGGATTTTGAATTTCTGAAAACAAAGAAATCATAACTGTTTAAGGTTCCAGGTATGATAATTACCCCTATTTGTCATTACACAATGTATACATATATTGAAACATCACATTGTGCCCCATGAATATGTACAGTTATTATGTGTCAATTGATATTTTTAAAAAATAATCCTCCCCAAAAAAGAAATATCTGTTTTCAACTAAGATGAGGTAGAAATCTGCCTTCCTGATATAAGAAAGGAAATATTTTAAGATTATTTTTAAGTCAGAAATAAGCAAATCTAGTGTATTTAGGTCTTGGAACTTTTATTTCCCAAAGGATTTGGATAGTTTCCCCATAGTTCTCATTGAATCTGTTCCTCTTAATTTGTATGATTTTTAAACTTTCAATCCAGAAGCACTTCTAAAGCGTGAATTTTCAAATATACAAATTTCCAAATAATAATCCATGCCCTAGTTGAAGTATTAAGACTTTTCTCTTTTTTATGTGTTTTAGGAAACAATAGAGGGAATGGGTTGGAAAACTTTGAAAAAGTTAGATCTTAAAATTAGATGGAAATACTAAATGTAAAAGCCTCTTTCCTCTTAGAAGAGACTCAAACTAAAATCATGTTTTGTTCCTCTGTCCTCATACAAATTCCTTCTGTGACAAGTTGTCATTTTCAGATATAACTTCAAGAATTACTTCTTAGGAATCAGACTGGGAAAAAAAACTTTTAAACAACTATTTTTTTAAAAGTCTCTGTTGAGCTGGGCACAGTAACATGCACTTGTACTCCCAGCTACTTGGGAAGCTGAGTCAGGAGGATCACTTCAACCCAGGAATTTGAGACTGTAGTGTACTGTGATCACACCTGTGAACAGCCACTGCATTCTAGCCGGGGCAACATAGCCAGATCCCATCTTTAAAAAAAAATTCTCTGTTGCCCAATTTCATGGAAGCATCAATTATTTTCTTTCACTCTCTCCCAAATACTGCGTGAGTCATAGTGAATACAGCTTCTAAGCCCATAAATGTGTGTTGTGTGTCTATTGAATCGCAATGCCCACAAAGAAACAGCCACATAGGTAACTCCTTATTGCTGATCCTTGCTCACATGTGCCTTTCCCATTGTGAATGTTTTCTTTTTTTTTTTTTTTGACTGTCTCCCAGGCTGGAGTGCAGTGGCCCAATCTTGGCTCACTGCAACCTCTGCCTCCTGGGTTCAAGCAATTCTCCTGCCTCAGCCTCCTGAGTAGCTGGGACTACAGGCATCCGCCACCACGTCCGGCTAATTTTTGTATTTTTAGTAGAGACAGGGTTTCACCATATTGACCAGGCTGGTCTCGAACTCCTGACCTTGTGATCTGCCCACCTCGGCCTCCCAAAGTGCTGGGATTACAGGCGTGAGCCACCACGCCCAGCCTCTCATTGTGAATGTTTTCTTACGGGCCTACTCTAGAAGGCTAAAGAGCACCAACCATCTTATTCCATATTGTCTTCAAACCCCAGTTCTCTTTGTTATTTTTTATAGCCCTTGTTGCTAGCTTTTCTCCCATATAACACCCTTACTACTTCACATCACTGAAAGATTTCCTGGGCTGCTTCTGTCTTTAATTCCCACTTGTCTCAAGCTCTTTCTAAACATGTTGATTGATTGAGTCTCTTCTCATTGGCCCAGGTATATTGATCCACTGAAAGTTCATTGTTGCAACCACCATTTCCCTGCCATCATAGCAAGTAGCCTGGAGAGTGTTCAGTTATGCACACAGATTTCAATTTTGTTTCTGCTCTCTTTTGCCAGTGCTTTGCTTTGGAGAGGGACTTTCTAAGTGAAAGCATCTATCCTCAGAATAACAATAACAGCTGGCCGAGCAAGGTGGCTCACACCTGTAATCCCAGCACTTTAGGAGACTGAGGCAAGAGGATCTCTTGGGGCCAGGAGTTTGAGACCAGCTTGTTCAACACAATAAGACCCCCATCTCTACCAAAAAAAATACTGTTTTTAAGCAGTAATAGCTAAAATCTGTTGATGTTCACTACATGCTAGGCACTGAATTATCCTGTACAATCCTCACAACTCTAAAATGTAGATGCTATATTAACATACCCGTTTACAGATGAAGTAACTAAGACACAGGGAGGTTGAGTACCTAACCACGCCGCAAGGAAGGAATGGAACTAAGCCAGGAATCCAAACATACCCTGTACTCTCATTTGCTGACAACTACCCCTTTCTTCTCAGAGGAAGGAGCTCCTCAGTGGGTCCCTTCATAAGCTCAAGATGGCTACACACACCCCCAAAAAACACAGAAGTTGCACTTATAAGTGATAGATTCAAACAGTGTGTTTTTTCACACATTTGCAATTGGCATTTTTAATTAAAATCATACATTTTTAAAATTTTATTACAAAAGCAATACACGTTCATTACTGTTCACTTCTAAAATAGAAAAACAGGAAGGAGAAATAAAAACAACTGTGATTTTACCACCTAGAAGTGGTAAATTCCTCCCTGTTAACATCTTATGCTTGTGTAATCCTCCAGACCAATTATTTATGCATTTGTAGGTACTATTTTTCTAGTAAGAAGTGGAAATATTGCATATCCACTGTTTTACCGTGTATTTTAAACACAATAATATATTTTGAAATATTTTTATTCCTATACATATTCATCCCCAATATCATTTGTGGTGGTTGGTTACAATATTCCAATCCATAGTTGAACCAAATTTATTTAACCAGTTCTCCTTGTTGGTCATTCTGTCATTTCCAATTCTTTTCAAATGATAGCCAGTACTATGGGTAACACCCTTTACCTAAATCTTTTGCAGTTGGTTTGATTATTTCCTTAGAATGAGCCACTAGATATAGAATGGCTGGATCAAAGGGTATACACACTGTGAAACTTTGGATAACTATTCCCAAATTGCCTTCTAGAAAACTTCTTCCAGATTACACTCCCAGGGGCAGTACACAAGCCCATGTTCATGTTTGCCTGTCACATCTCTCAAGAGCATGTGCTTAATTTGAGGGAGAATAGGGGAACTTTAATAAAAAAAAAAAAACTATACATCTTCATCTTCAGCAAGACCCCTGATCTTATTAACTCTATCGTTGTTTTTTCAGGTTTTTTGTTTTTGTTTTTGTTTTGAGTCTCTCTGTCGCCCAGGCTGGAGTGTGGTGGTGCAATCTTGGCTCACTACAATCACTGCCTTCCAGGTTCAAGCAATTCTCCTGCCTCAGCCTCCCGAGTAGCTGGGATTACAGGCGCCCGTCACCACGTCCAGCTAATTTTTAAATTTTTAGTAGAGACGGGGTTTCACCATGTTGGCCAGGCTAATCTTGAACTCCTGATCTTCAGTGATCTGCCCGTCTCGGCCTCTCAGAGTGCTGAGATTATAGGCATGAGCCACTACACCCGGCCAACATCTATTCTGGGTACAACTCTTGAATCTGTCATTATGAACTGAACTCTTTGTTTTATGTGAAGAATGTTTTATCCATTCACAGTCCCTGAGAAACCATGAAGAATTAAATAATTCTTGTTAATTGCTCTCAAGACCAAGAGCTGTAGCTAAATGCTAACTAAGGATTTTTGGAAATCACTTGTCAAGTGGAGAACAGTGTGTTTTGATAAACTAGATTCTTTCTGAATTAATGTAGGATGCAGTACAGCGAGTTTACATGCACAGCAGCAGAGAACAGTTCTGACAGTAACTTTCAATCAAACTGATCGACCGCATTTTTAGAGCAGTAGTTCTCAAAGTATGGTCTCAGACGTGCAGCATCAGCAGCATATAGAAACGGAGGGCACCGCTTTGTGCTGTGCCAGACTTGTGCTCCAGAGCATGTGAGTTACACAGGCAGTACAATGGCCATGTCATATGCAGGAGGTGTGGTTTCAATGGCTGCTTGCCCACTGTCTGTTCTTGTCACCTGGTCTTAGGTTCTGTATTCCCTCAGCCTTTGTGCCAGACCTCCTATGACCAGAAAAGTCCTTGCAAGGTCATTTAGCCTCATTAATGACAGATGAGAACCCAAACTATTTTTAAAGATGTCTAGAGGGGGAAACTTCCCAGCTGCCCTTAGGAATCCTTCTACCCTGTCAAGAAGGCTTTTCTTCTTAATGCTTGCAATTTGAGCCAGTTTGCTTTGCAGAAACGAAGACCTAAGCCTTGCCTCCTTGAGACTGAAAACTCTCATGATCTTTTTTTTTTTTTTTGTCTGTTTTCTTCTCTTTTCTAGAGATGGGGGGTTTCACCATGTTGGTCCGGCTGGTCTTGAACTCCTGACCTCAGGTGATCCACCCACCTCGGCCTTCCAAAGTGCTGGGATTACAGGCGTGAGCCACCACACCCAGCCAAAATCTTTGAAGTTTTCTCCACCCCATAGGAATGTCTTGGTAACCCTCTAATCACATTTGTGGTCCTCCTGCAAGCTTTGCAAGGCCTCTTTGCTGGCTCTGGGTACCAGAGCTCTCTGAAAGTTTGCTGAGCTCTCAGCGTGTTGAGAGGCTGGCACTGTGCTTCCTTTTTTTTTTTTTTGGAGATGGAGTCTTGCTCCGTCACCCAGAGTCTCGCTCTGTCACCCAGGCTGGAGTGTAGTGGTGCCGACTCAGCTCACTGCAACCTCTACCTCCTGGGTTCAAGCAATTCTCCTGCCTCAGCCTCCTGAGTAGCTGGGACTACAGGTTCCCACCACCATGCCCGGCTAATTATTTGTATTTTAGTATAGATGGGGTTTCACTGTGTTGCCCAGGCTGGTCTCGAACTCCTGAGCTCAGGCAATCCGCCCACCTCAGCCTCCCTACGTGCTGGGATTACAGGCGAGAACCACCACGCCCAGCCTGTGGTTCCTTATAACGCTGGCTACGTGCTTGTTACGATACATTAATTCACTGGCCTGTTCCTTTAACAGTCATGGAGTTCAGCAACCATTAGATCGAATCCTATGAAACTGCTGGTACTTAGCCATTCTTGACTTGAAAAATGGCTACTTCATAGGGCTCAATGTAAGACCATGTGCTAGTCATTACAGTGAAGACAAATCAAGAAAGGTGTGGGCAGTCCTCAAGGAGCTCCCTATAGGGAAGCAAGCAGACCACGCTGAGACCCAGGGCAGTGCACGGGAAAAGTGGCAGAGAGGGGAACAAGAGAAAAGCCATCCTGTCAGCCTGGGAGACCGCGGAAGCCTTTCCCCAGAAAGTGGCCTTTAAGCTCAGTTTCAAATGGTGAGAGTTCATTTCAAATTGCTGATTGGTGTTCTGCTTTTTATCTCTTGTAATCCCACAACCTAGCTAGTTTCACTGCCTACAAAATCACCACAATAATGCTTATTTTGTGTATGTTTTTTAATCATTTGAAAGTCACTTAGGGCTACCAAACATAATTGCTTGATCCTATTTTAATTTACTTGCTGAAATGGAATATAATAATTAAGCTTTGAATCTAACTAAGGAAGATATTATATGCCAAAATTAATAGTTACGACTCAGGACTGAATATCTAACTAGAAAGCATTCTCAGGATAGCCATGTGTAGGTTAAAAATATACTGTAAGTTGGATGGCAACAGACCAACCGGAAATCCCTTCCCCAGCCTGTGCTTCAGATACACTGGGAGCAATCGGGGCATTGTAAGAATGAAGGGTTGGTGGCGTCCTCCCCACATTAGCCTCACTGTTTTCCCTGTCTGTGCTGATGATGGGGCACTAATGATTCTTACTCGGAACATTAACACCACTCCAGACTCAAAGAGCATTACAGCTCACAACTGAAGTGCTCCCCATCATAAACCCCTCTGCTTTCATTCGTGCTCGGAAAAGTCTTGCTCTGAGATTAGAGTTCGTGCACTCTGGAAAGGGTATCTCCATACTACTGATTCTGCATTCAAAATAGAAAACCTACTTATTTTCAGAACATGCTTTAAGGCAGTAATAAAAGCACCAATGATAATTTCTGACCTGATACCAAGCCGTTCATAATTTAAAATTAAAAAGGAGAAGAAGAAAGATGGTTATTTCTTTCTCTTGGTGATTTCAAAATCTCTTCTTTTTAAAAATGCTCTAAAAGCATTCAGTGACTTACTAAGAACAATATTTCAGGTGGCCACCTCCAGATATGAAATTCTGATTCCTGTTTCTGTTTAATGGTTATAGACAATATAAACTCAAGTGCTTAAAGAGAAGACTGCCTTTGAATTTAGGATTCAAATGTTGCATTGTATTTTAGATTTCAGAAACGTAACATCTCTATATAACTAAATATCATTTCTCTTGGAAAAATAAAAGTATGATCCTCTTAATTTGGGAAATTGTGAACAAAATACATTTGAATATCACTATAATGCTTTTTGCAGGTGACCAAGATGCTGTAAAAATTAAAATAATTTGGAGCCTTACCCAGGAGTATTTATCTGCTTATGTACTCAGAGGTCTCCATTACAAATTAGTCTCTTCTGTAAAGCTGGCTCTGAAGGGGGGTAAATTTGAGAACATTGGGAAACCTGAAAAATGCCACAAAGAGCATGGCATAGGGAAAAGCAACTAGAAACGAAAGAAAACGATAACAGAAGGTTCGCCTTGAGCATCTTTCACTGGGGAAATGGGCCTGAAGTACAGAGTTCTGTTTATACAAATCAATAAAGCTTGAATTTTTAACAGAAACATATGGGAGTATTAATTATACAGACACCCAGCAGAGCATGCAGATAGATAGGTCATAGAAACCAGTGTTGCCTGAGAGCACGTGCTCAGTAACTTGATGTTCAGAGTAGGCGCCTTCGTCCCTGGGAAGGAGAAAAGAATGATGATCATAACACCGAAGAGAAAATGGGGAAGGAGGGACTTTGACTGCCTGTGATTGGACTGAAGCCCCGTGCTCACATTTTGATGCCTGTAAAGCCTTCATGAAATGAAGTGGGCACTTACTAGATTTCTTGCCTCCCAGATTAGACTCCCTGAAGACTCAATAACTTTGATCTTTGCCTTTTTTTTCCTTTTTCTTTTTCTTTTTTTTGAGACGGAGTCTCACTCTGTTGCCCAGGCTGGAGTGCAGTGGCGCGATCTTGGCTCACTAGAATCTCTGCCTCCTGGGTTCAAGTGATTCTACTGCCTCGGCCTCCTGAATAGCTGGGATTACAGCCACCCACCACCATGCCTGGTTAATTTATTTATTTTTAGTAGAGACGGGGTTTTGCCATGTTGGCCAGGCTTGTCTCAAACTCCTGACCTCTGGTGATCTGCTCACCTCAGCCTCCCAAAGTGCTGGGAATACAGGCATGAGCCACCATGCCTAGCCTCTTTGCCTTCTTTCTATGCATTTTCATCTTTTGCTAAGATTATGTATGAAAAGACCTCTTTGGAAACTCTTGTCAAAGTACACCATCAGAAAACCCCTTTAAAAGACGATGGATCCTTATCTTTTGTAGGGTGTATAAATGCCTTCAAGGAGGGGCTCTACCCAGAAGATTTCCCACCCTCCCTTTGAACTCTCTGGCTGGTCAGGATCCATCAGCTTCTTGTCAAATGACTCAGTGGAGAGAGCAGTACAGTTTGGGCTCCAGATTGGAAAGCATGGCCACCCCCAACACTGCCATTCATAGAGGCCTGTGCACAGCCTGCATCACTGACACCATAGTGCTGCCTCCAGTTAGGAGAGCAGAGATTCCTGGGACCCATGGAAGAAAAAGAAATGACTATCCTTCATCTTTTCTTTTTTTTGTTCAACTTGGCCGAGCATCTGATGTGGGATCTTTGTACCATCACAGGAACCACCGCTGATGCCTTCATGTCAGCTCAAGAGCTGTGTCCTGACCTGCCTGTTGTTCCAGCTTTCTGCTTCCTTTAACTGGCATCCATTGCACAGCTCACTGTGTTCTCCTCTCCAGCTGCTGCCACCATTTTCTTGAAGCTACTCTTAATGAAATCAGCAACAATTTTTTCTTGTTGCAAAAGCCAGGAATTCCACCCAGTAAGCCCAATGAAAGTAGCAGCTCCTGTGTGAGCCAGCCACTGTGGTAGGCACACCATTTTAGGCCTTGTTAGTCCTCATGGCATGGGGCATTGCTCCTACCTTCTAAGCCCTCTCCTCTTTGGCTTCTGTGATACTGTGTTGTAGGCATCTTCCAACTTCAATTCCAGTTCCTTCATTAGCTCTTGTTTCTGCCCCACCCCTTGGGATTTCATCTTCCCCTGAAGTGTGTCCTTCCCTCTTTTCTTGTTCACTCCTTAAACCACCTTGTCCACTCCCACCTCCTTGGCCATCCATGTATGTAGGTGGATTTCCAGATCTGATTCTCATTTCCTACTGGATATCTCCACCTGCTTATCAAACTGAGCATGTGCAAAAGCATTTCCATTATGCTTACGCAAAAACACTTTCCCCTCCAGTATTCCTTATCTCAGTGGCTTCTTCATCTGTGGAATCCTCCCACCCATTCATCTTCCATAGCAGATCAATCAACAGAACCTCTCAGTTCTTCCTCATCGACATTGTGGTGCCTCCTCCTGTTCTCCAATGCCTCTACTTCAACTCAGGTGCTTAGGGTCTCTCTCTCCTTTGGATTTGCACAATAACTTCCTGACTCCCTGCATCCAGCCTCTAGCTCTTCCAGTCCCTCCTTCATAAACAACCACCAGAAGAATCTTTCTGCAACACAGGTCTGATTGTGTCACTCTCTAGTGAAAAGCTTCCAACGGACCCTAACTTGGCAGAGTAAGTCACAACCTTCCAAACCTACTCTACCACTCTCATCTCCACCAGTTACCCAAACCCACCACATTCTCATTTCTAGGCCTCTGTGCATGTATTAGTTCTGTTGCTAAAACAGCCTCTTTTGGCCTCTTTGCTACTTGGAAAATGCTTATTCATCAAGAGTCAGCTCAATCACCCCTAATAGGCCGTCATTGTCTTTTGAATGAATGAATGAAGACTGGCCCCACTCTGTCAAGCAAAATAAGGCTGTTTTTATTCACTATCCTGGAGGCATGTTGTTCATATTGCTCCTGTCACATTTGTCAACATTGTAATTGTAGCTGTTCTTCCTATCAGACCTAGCAGGCATGTTCATGTGTAGCCCCTGGGCCGCCTCGTCCTCTTCTTCTCCCATGGCAGACATCATTTCCAGCCCTCTTTTCTACTGAGCTCAGACACAGCTCAGAATCTTTCTCAACACAGTGCTTTCAGCAGACTGGTGTTTGCACACAGTTTGAGGTCTGTCTGCCATCCCTGAACTAGACTCGAGCTTTTCCAGTGACAAGCACAGTGGGTTGCCTAAAGTAACAACTCGATTGCTGAACAAATAACGAATAGATTTTCATCTGAATATTAGCTGTATATTGCTTTGCATTACAGATAGATCTGTCCAGGAGAATGGATTCATGGCAAAAGATAAGTGAGGTGATTTACCGAAATCCACTGTGACGCTTTGCAGAAAATTTTTCACATATGCATTCAGTTATTCCAACTATCGCCTGGGCTGCCCCAGCCCTCCCTCTTTACAGAGTTCAGCCACCGCGTTGCCTTAAAATCAACACATTGCACATGATTTCTTCTAGCCTGCCTTTGATGTGTCTTGCACATTTTTAAGAAGTGGTTGGAAGAAGCATTAAAACGAGTTTCTAACCTTATATTTTATTTTCATAATCTCTCTTTTTGGCAATCACAAAGGAACACTGATGCATCCAGGGAATTTCAAAACTGGTTAAAAAGCAAGAGAGCTGCTTTTTCACATCCTGTATACAACAACAGATATTAAATAACAATACTTTTAGTAAGCCATTGTTTTTGAAACAGGCGTAGTAACTCTCAAAAAGATGTTGTGCCAAAACAATCAGGAAAATGTGAAACACCCCTTTTCACAGCTCAACTAAAAGATGCAATTGAAGTCTCATCATTGAGTTCAATGAGTTTCACTCACACTATCCAATTAAAAGCCTTCCTGAATTCTGGCTGCATTCCAGAATTTAAAACTAGAAAATTGGGAAATATAAATGAATAAATCAAGAAAGTTTCTATTTTTTCCTGATTCCCTTAATAGACATAAGACAACTAGTTGTTGAAAGCTCAAAGTGGAAGGTTCTTGTGTGTCAGTCCTAAGACTGTGCGGTGCAGTAAACAGAATGATGAGAAACAGAGAAAGAAAGGGGCCGGTGAAAGCCTGCAGCATTTCTAAAATAACAGTGGCACTGCATCTTTGATGACTCTGAAGCCTGTTCTTTTGTGGCATCTTTTGTTTTTTAATGAATTTACACTGTTGGTGAATTATTGAAATGGTTTCCTCTCTCTCACCTTTTATATGTTTTCTCTCCTATTATGTTCCCATCTGTCTTAACTGGAAAATCCACCAGGCTAACTGTCAGGTAGGTTCTTCTTGATGTTTAGTGTGATTATTACTAGTATATATAGAGGGCAATGAAGTAAACTGACTGCTGGTGACTGGTGATGAATGATAAAGCTAAACAGGAAAGGCACATACTAAATTATAGAGAAACTTTTTGCAGATGCATAAAACTGTACAAGCTGCAAACTCTAAGCACATTCAGCCAGTGTGAACATCTATCACAAGAACTTGGCCTAAGGGAATGTAGCAGCTCTAAATGATAAAGTAGGTTACCTGGGCTGTCCAGCATTTTGCTGTGGCTCAAAACCCAGACTGCTCCTGGAGGGCTTCATTGTTCTAGAGCATCATTACATCCCTTGTGGTCACAAGTGATTCTGCTGTAAATATAATATCAGCATTTATGGATTTGGTCCAGTTCAAGAACAATACATAGTGATATCTTTTACATCCCTATTTTAAGTATACATCCAAGCATTATCTGTGCCTGGAAGAATGAAGGTAACTAGGAAAAGGGGGGGTGCATATATTTTGTTAATGTCAAATGCACCCTTGGAGTTAAGTCCGATGTGGTTTAACTCTTGTGAAAGGAACAGTCACTTGAAATTGCAGTAGGAGACAGACCTCTTCATTCACCCTTTAGTGTCAGGGAAAAGAAGTACTCCTTCATCCACACAAAGTAGCGGAACAAACTCTTTTTAGATCCTCAAGGGCAAGACGGATAACTTTATAAGCCCGAAGTATAGCTAAGCCCAAGAGAGGAGAGGCAGACATTAAAATTAGAGTGTGCGTGGTGTGTATCTGATGTGTGTGTGTGTGTGTGTGTGTGTGTGTTGTTGTTGTTTTTAATTTGAGCTCATCTTTATCTTTCAGGAGGAAAAATTGTGTGCTTCAGTTGCCACGCAACACAAACTGCTCTAACAGCTTTCTAATTTTAATTTCAGAAGTCTACAGAGCAAATGAAGAAGGTCCCTACTATTATTCTTTCTGTCTCATATAAAGGAGTCAAATTTATTGATGCAACAAATAAGGTAAGTACCACTCCTCTCTCTGGTTTAGACACCAGATGCAGTCCTGAGTGTATGATCTAAAATCCTTTGCTTCCTATAATACCCAGCACTCCCCACTGTAATCATCCCTTTCCCCCAACCTTCATGCTTCCTACATATACCTATAGATACACGCTCATGTACACACACACATACACACCTTCATACATACAGAAAGGAACCATTTGGGGGAAGGGCTTGATCTGGGGTTTCTATAAATATTGTGCTTTCACTTTGTCATGATGCTTTCTCTAATAGACTGTGGCCACTTATTATCCAGCATGTCCCTTTGGATCTGGAGAACATTGAAACAGAAAACAAAAATCACTTGTAGATTGAAAAGTCAACAATGTCATCACTCCTCCATCAGAGGAGATGTTACTAGATAAAGGGCTAGAACATTTGTCTTTCTGTTTATCTAGAGATATATATGTGTCTTTTCTGTTGATAATTTTCTGACTTTTTAATTTTATAACTACATTTAATTCCCAGCCTCTGAGATGGGAGAGAGTTTCAGCTGTACTGTTTTCTTAAGAGACACAATCAGAAAAGAGCCCAGGCCATGCTGTGGCTCCGCTGTGACTTCTTCCTCACAGTGGGAATAGTTTGTGGGCTGTGATGTCAAGCGTGGTCAGTGGGGTTGCATTTTACTGAAAAAGCATTCCTTTCTTGACAAAGACAACAGCATCGTGGTGCTGAAGTAGAAAGCTTGGGTGTGACCATTGTCCCTCTCCATAAACTCAAAGCTGACTGACTCCTCCTCACAAAACCCCAAACGTTCATGTGTTTTATTCCTGCATCCTTTCAACTAATCAAGTACAGAAGGAGGGTAAAAGAGGTGATCACCATTGGTGAATGCTGGTCTTTCTCTGGACCTCTCACCCAGACCTCCCACCTGGACCCCCTCCGTTTTGGAGAAAGGGAACAGAAGTCATGAAACAGGTGAACTTAAGAAACAGCAACTTAGGGCCAAGGCAACTGGATTTAGGTTCCAGGGAAAAGTCTCACGGGCAGTGACTCTTTGGTGTCTCTATTAAACCCCAGCATCTGAATCGGAAGTTTTTCCAATTGGTTTTCTGTGACGAAAGAGATTGTTGTTTCAGTAGTTAGGTAAACCCAAGTTCCCCAAATCTGCTTGGGAAAACAACCTCCCGGTTATAGAAAAAGTTCTGAAACCCAGGCAAAAAGCATATAACCCAGCATCATGCTGACCAATAATATCAGCATAATGGTGATTCCAACTGTGCAAAATATTGTTGATGGTTGTTGACAGATAATAATTGTGGAGACTCAAATAAGAACAATGCTGATTGATTTGCTTTTTTATTTCTTGGAAGCATCTTTAGTTCCTGGTATATAAAATTACTTTATCCTTAAATTATAGTCAGTTGGTTTTAAAAGTTCTAACACTTTATGGAACACATTATAGAATGGCAAAGATACCATTGCTATTGCTGTATCTAAATCTTAAGAAAGACTTTGGCACCTGGATTTTTTTTTCCCTAAATTGAAACAACTCCCTCTATCCCATTTATGCTTGGAAAGCTTGAATAGCAGTATATTTTCAGTGGATGAATTTGACACTCTCTTAGATGAACAACTTTAGCAGACTTGGATTCTGACAATTTCTAAACAAGTGGTATTTGCCCTGAGAAGTTCCTACAGTCCTAAGGCAATCATTTCATGATTTTGGGGGTATGGCTGGATGCAGCTGTATTAATAGCATTTTCTCTAACCCACTCTCCACAATCAGAGGAATGAAAGAGAGCTCTGCCGGTTCCATTGTATGTTGCTTACTGACACGGCAAGAGACACAGAAGTTGATGCTCCTGTGCCTCAAGGAGATACTTCTACTTCAATTGCCAATAATTAGATGAGTTAACCATAAACCTCTGCTCACTGATGACTACTCTTGGAAGCAAAAGCACAGAAAGATATGCAAAAGATAATTCTATGTAAATAAAGATGCTAAATAAAGAAGGTCAGCATATTTTTTCAAGTCTTTGCAGTGTGGTCCTCAACATATTTTCAGAATCTAGAGCAAAGGCAAAGTGCCTATGTTGGTGGCAAGTGGAGCCAGTCTGTGAATGTATGACAACATGTGCCTGGCTTTTTAAGGAACTGAAGGATGTTAATTTCAACTGGCTATACAGGGTCCACATCCCAGTGACCTGCAAGGTAGCTGATCTCCCCCAGTATGACAGTGGGTAGGGAGAGTGTGGGTGACTCAGGGCAATAGTCTAGTAGTTGCTGTGTAGGGAGCCCAAGTAGAGAGATTGTGTTTAGCAGGTTAGAAGAAAGAAAATAGTGGAAGGCCGTATTGGTGGAGTTTGACTGGGTAAGACTGAGAAATACTACCATCAGCCAGGGTGGGAGGACTGGCTTCAGAAGGGACGGAGGATCCACAGTTGAAGGATCATCCTCAAGTTGTGGTGTGAAAGGAACCATGCCCAGATACCTAGATTCTAGCAGTGTGTGCGAGGACACCTGTGTATGCTACTTTGTTCTAGAGCAAAGAGCACAGCAGAAAAGGAGCAGATTGATAAACTCCAGAGTCCTGCTTTCTGTTTTCACCAGGGATTTCCCCCACTGGGCAGTGCTGTGTCAGTGGGCCACTTTGATTTGAAGCAAAGAACTTTTAATATGCAAGCATATTTAAAGATCTCACCATTTCAGGTACTAGAGGCCACTAGGCCTGGAATTCAAGCGATTCTCATGCCTCAGCCTCCCGAGTAGCTGGGATTACAGGTGTGTGCCACCATGCCCGGCTAATTTTTGTATTTTTAGTAGAGATGGGATTTCGCCATGTTGGCCAGGCTGGTCTCGAACTCCTGACCTCAGGTAATCATCCGCCTCAGCCTCCCAAAGTGCTGGGATTACAGGCATGAGCCACCACGCCCAGCCTACTGTTCATATTTTATGTTTTCATCGTACTTTATTCTTCAACAGTACTCTCCTAACCTTGCATCTCGTACCCCTGCCTTGGTCAGAGAGGTGATTGTTTAATCTGCCCTGGGCAGCTGGAGACCTGAAGGCCTCAGTCCCTTGGCTCAGTGCTGCCCTGCAGTCACACAGCCTGTTGGTCGTGAAGAACGACTAAAACTTGATTTTCAACCTCCCTAACCTAATGCTTTTTCTGTTACTCCACAGCTACCTTCCACAAATTAGTTTGAAGTGCAAACTAATTCATTGTGTGATAATTCATTGTGTGTTAATTACTCTTCCCTTCCTATTAGCCCCCATTAGACTTTGTGAAAGATTAACCCTCCGTGAAGCATTTCTTTCCTTTGATTATAATAAATAAATGGGTTTGGCTGAATTCATGGGAAAGGGTTAGAGGCCTAGTTATAAACTCATAAATGTATTGCCTAGCAACTTAGGAAATGAATTGAATCACTAATCCTGATTTAAGAAGGAGGAAGCAGAAAGCGATCTTGAATTAAAAGTGGAACTTGCAATAGATTTAGCACTAAAGTGTTTTAGATAAATCACCTCAGCCTTCTGTTGATCAATAGCCCAAAGGTTGCTCTAGCAGGGAATTCGGCCTGGGGGACTGCAACTGTTTAGTAACGGACCCTTCTTCAGGTTGGGGGAGTCGGGGAGGGAGGTCTTCCGAGAGGAGACACGGTTTCTACATTCAGTGCTCAGCTGAGGAGCAGGTTGCATTTTGCCTTCCTGTGCTGACTCCCTCCTCAGCCTTCCCATCTGGCTAAATTAAAAATGATGCAGTGCCAGGGTTTGTTTTTTGCTTTCATTGTTGTTTTGTTTTTTGAGTTTTTAAAAATTTTTTTGGAATGCCAATTTTAAACAAGGCCTATGCTATTTTAGGGGCACAAAATACTTTGGAACATTTGCCTAAACAAGTGCCTGTTGTTTGGGGGTTTTTTTGTTTTGTTTTGTTTTTAAGAGACAGGGTCTCACTCTGTTGCCCAGGCTGGAGTGTAGTGGCGCCACCACGGCTCACTGTAACCTCAAACTCCTGGGCTCAAGTGATCCCCCAACCTCAGCCTCCAGAGCAGCTGAGACTACAGGTATGCACCACCAAGCCTGGCTAATTATTTAAGTTTTTTTGGAGTGATGGGATCTCGCTATATTGCCTAGGCTGGTCTTAAACTCCTTGCTTCAAGCAATATTTCTGCCTCAGCTTCCCAAAGCACTGGAATTACAGACATGAGTCACTGCAGTGGGCCTCCCATTGTTTTTTTTTATAGCAAATACTCCTAAGAAGCTTGGAGACAAATTAAGGCCATGTTAAGCACATGTGCTGTTCTCAGCATCACGTGCCCCACAGGGCATCACCAGTTAGCTCTAGGTCTATACTGTTGGCCCCGCCCTGGAGGGAACACTGCAGTCTCCTCACTCAGGAAAAGCCCGGCTGATGAGGAGATGCAAGAGAAAGGTCCCACCTGTCGGGGCTCAGATTGAATGCAGTGGCGAGAGGCAGATTTCTAAGCTGCATCACTTCATCACCACGCGCCCTTCTCAGAACCACCATATGAGTTAGCTGGACCCGAGAATCCTGTCCTACCCCTACCAGCAAGACACCTCTTCAGCTGTTTCTCACCATGATGGCAAACAACAGACAGGCAAAACCATCTCTCCCTATTGAAGGGTGCTATGCTGCCAGAATTTCTATCCCCAAGAAGAGGCAGGAGGAGCCCCTCCCCAGTTCTTCTCTTGAGCCTTTTAAAGCTCTGGCCTTCTTAAAATGTGCTTAGAAATGGAGACTGATCAACATGTGAGGAGTCCAGTTTTCAACTGAGGTGCATCACCTGTACCTCTTCATGACATCACTTTTTAATTTGTGGAAAAGCCACTCATAAATGCATGACACAAGGTGGAAAGAATGTGTTCCTCTTTGGCTTCTTCTCCAAGGAGGAAGTCTACCATCTAGTCTCCATACAGTCTACAACTGTAGTATCCTTGACCTTTGATTCGTCCTGCACATAGAGAACTGGCTTCACCATTCTGCACAGGTAGACAATGCAGAGTGATGGCAGTATTTCAGTAGTGACATCCCAGGACCTTACCCCATTCTAGCATTGGCAATATATCACAAAGGTCTGTTCAAAAATACCTGCCTCCGCAGGCTATCAATACAAATTCAAGAGCATCTTTTAAGCGCCAGTTAGGATGACCACAATGATGAGTTATTCCTACCTGAATATAGAATATTTTAACTAGCATGAGCTTTCCTTATAGCTTAGACAATGGGAACAGAGTAGTAGAAGTTTCCACAGTCGGGGAGAAGGCTGATTTTGGAACATGGAGTATCACAGAGGTCAGGCCTCCCTGGGCAGCTAAAAGACAGTCCTGGGCTCCTGGGGAATAGAGAACAGGAGGGCTGGGCCAGGCACAGTGGCTCACACCTGTAATCCCAGCACTCTGGGAGGCTGAAGCAAGTGGATTGCTTGAGCCCAAGAGTTGGAGACCAACCTGGGAAACATGGCAAAGCCCCTTCTCTACCAAAAAAAAAAAATACAGAAAATAAGCCAGGCTGGTGGTGCATGCCTGTAGTCCCAGCTACTCAGGAGGCTGAGGTGGGAGGATTGCTTGAGCCTGAGAAGTTGCAGTGAGCTGAGATGGTGCCACTGCACTCCAGCCTGGGCAACAGAGCAAGACCCTATCTCAAAAAAAAGAGAGAGAGAGAGAAAGAGAAGAAGAGGGCTCCAGAAAATTCAGGGGTCAGCAAAGACACAGGAGGAGAGAGTACCAAAGATATACTTTTCCTCCTTTGCAACTTTCCCCCAGGCCACAGTGCTGCCGTGCACCATTGGAAATTGTCAAGAGTGGCATCCCATGAGTTGGCAAGATTCAGAGAGTTCAGTGCAATAAAAATCACAGAGCACTTTTCATTTCCCAAGAAGTGCATCTACCTTGAGATCTTGCAAAAGATCTCAAGAACACAAAATGCCAACTTAGTAAAAGTTGAAGCACCTATTTCCTGTGACAGTGCCTCCTGGACAAGTGAGACCAAATCCACCCAGGCTTCCCAGGGCATTGGCTGCCCCCAATCAAGATAATGGCAGAGGTTCCCACACCATCTCACATTGCACCTTTTTCTCATTTTAACATTATTTTAAGACTCACCCATCCCTAATTTGGTTTTCTACTTGAAGGAATGCTATCTGGATGCCAGAAGAGGATCATCACCTTCTAGTCTGAAACTTATCTTGCAATAGAATGTTACTTGTTTATGGGATTCCAATTGCAATTTGAGTTATTTTTTGACAGAGCACTGCATTAATGTCAACACAAAAGGCCACGGTGAAAAATGTCTTAATTTAATTTTCTTTTGTGAGTTAATTCTGTAATTGCCTCCGAACCACTCAGCTTGGTAAAGTGAGGGACATGAAGTACTTGCTGGGGGTGCTGGCAGGGAAGGACATTTTGTAAGCATTTTTAGGCATTGATGGCTGTACACGGAACACTGTATTGCCAACAGGTTATTTAAGACAGCGCAATTAAAAAGTAATTAGAGTAACTAAAGCATCGAGGGTTTTAGATCTGTGACAACTGCAAAAAAACATAAATGGGATATTATAAGATAAGAAAATGATTGCAAGATTATGTGAATTTTTTTCTTTTTTTCTTTTTAAACACATCTATGTATCAAAAGAAGTTTCTAGCAGGGTTTGCAGCCAAGCTGCTTCGTGGTTATTTTGTGCTTCAGGACAATGGTACTTAAACCTTTCTCCCACCAGGGAAGAAGGCACAAAGAGATGCTAGAGAAGAAATAACTCAATTCTTGTTAAGCCAGTAAGAGGGAGGTGGAGACGTTGAAGGGCATTGCAATGCATTTCAAAGAGCCTGAGCTCCACAGTCAGACAACCCCAAATTTCAGTTCCACCCCAGCACCTGCTCTGCATAAGGCACTTAAATTCTTTGAGTACCAGTTGCTTCACCTGTAAATAATGGTAGCAACAGCACCACCTCCTAATTATACACAGTGGATGTAGTTAGGAAAGTGTTGTTAATATAGCCACAGGGCCCAGATCAAGCAAGGCATCCAAGGCCTGAATCTTGCAGTATGGTGTTTCTCTTATCAGGCCCCTGCACCTTAGTTTCCACGGAGAAAGCACCTTGAGGCTTCCACCTGCCTGCTTCCTTCAGTACCTGCCCTTGCTCTGAGGGAGGAGGAGCAGGACACAAGAACAACGTGCAAGCATGATGGCGAGGGATTTGAAGAGCCTCATTGGGTCAGATCTCTTCTCATACAGAGAAAGCGACAGATGCTCCCCTCCATACAGAATTAGCAGAAAGCAGTGCTGCACAGCTACAGGTGGACATGGGGAATGGAAACAGTCAAATGCTTAGTAATTACTATTATTTTTTAAAGTGGAGGCCGGACGCGGTGACTCACGCCTGTAATCCCAGCACTTTGGGAGGCCGAGGTGGGCAGATCACCTGAGGTCAGGAGTTCAAGACCAGCCTGGCCAACATGGTGTAAACCCCGTCTCTACTAAAAATACAAAAATTAGCCAGGCCTGGTGGCATGCACCTGTAGTCCCAGCTATTCGGGAGGCTGAGGCAGGAGAATTGCTTGAACCTGGGAGCGGGAGGCTGCAGTGAGCCGAGATTGCACCACTGCACTTCAGCCTGAGCAACAGAGTGAGACTCTTGTCTCAAACAAACAAAAAAAAAGTGGCCGCCACCCAGACTGCTTCTATGCACAGCAACTGGTGAGAACTGCAGCTCCAGGATATGACTGTGTTAGGTTGTTTTTAATTAAATGAAAATATTTCTTCCATATCTGGTATTCATTTACCCACAAATAATATAGTGGACCACTTTGAGTGTTGCTAGTCTAGAACACTCCAGAAAGAAGGAAAGCAACTGCTTCCTGGGTTACTTGTCTTGGTTGTCATATATGCTGGTTCGCAGAGGAAAACAATGATCATTTATGTCATTTCTTCCAGAACATAATTGCTGAGCATGAAATTCGTAATATCTCCTGTGCTGCCCAGGACCCAGAAGACCTCTCAACATTTGCCTATATCACAAAAGATTTGAAGTCTAATCACCACTACTGTCATGTGTTTACTGCCTTTGATGTGGTGAGTACCCACCCCCTTTCAACAGATTAAAGACTTTGCAGAATGGGCCTGGACTGTATTGAAAGCCCAACTTATAATTAACACACTAGCTTGGCTTGTTTACCCGGTATTAAGATACATACCAAGTGTATTTGTTTGCTAGGGCTGCCATAACAAAGTACCACAGACCGAGAGGCTTAAATGGCAGAAATTCATTTTCTCACAGCTTCTGGGGGCCAGAAGTGTAAGACCAATGTGTCGGCAGGTTTGGTTTCTTCTGAGGCCTCTCTCCCTGCCTTGTAGATGGCGGCTGATATGGTTTGGCTGTGTCCCTACCCAAATCTCACCTTGAATTGTAGCTCCCATAATTCCCATGTGTCATGGGAGGAACCCAGTGGGAGGTAATTGAATCGTGGGGGTGGGTCTTTCCTGTGCTATTCTCATGATAGTGAGTAAGTGTCGCAAGATCTGATGGTTTTATAAATGGGAGTTCCCCTGCACAAGCTCTCTCTTGCCTGCCGCCATGTAAGACATGGCTTTGCTCTTCATTCACCTTTTGCTATGATTGTGAGGCCTCCCCAGCCATGTGGAACTGTGAGCCAATTAAACCCCTTTCCTTTATAAATTACCTAGTCTTGGGTACGTCTTTATTAGCAGCGTGAGAACTGACTAATACAGCTGCGTACTTGCTGTGTCCTCACATCGCCTTTCCTCTGTGCTTAGATGTCTGGGTCCAAATTTCCTCTTCTTGTAAGGACACCAGTCAGATTGCATCAGGGCCCACCCCAATGACCTCATTTTAACTGAATCACCACTTTCAGGGCACTATCTTCAAATACAGCCACATTTTAAGGTACTGCATGTTAAGCCTTCAACATATGAATTTTGGGTGGGTCACAGTTCCACTCATAACACCAAGTACATTTTGGCAGACTAGGCTGTTTGGAGATTTTTCGATATTTTCATTCTTCCATTCAACTTAGAATGCCAGCCCTACCTAGTATCTCAACTGCCATTACTCATTTACTAATTTCACTTTCAGACTTGAGAAATCCCTTTGTTTCTCTGGCACCAAAACATAGTAAAGGTCTTACAGCCTCCTTGTCCCTCACTATGTCTGTCAGTTTCTCTAGTAGCCATTTCTAAGTACTAGGGCATAATAGGTGTGTTTGCCTCATACAAATCTGCAGTCTTCTATATTGAATAGGAGTCAGATCAGATACCTACAGGTGGTAATTGGGAACTCCAAGATTTGGCCCATATGCTCATTCAGAAATTAGTCTTGGCTGGGCTCAGTGGCTCACACCTGAAATCCCAGCACTTTTGGAGGCCGAGGTGGGCAGATCACTTGAGCTCAGGAGTTGAAGATGAGCCTGAGAAACATGATGAAACCCCATCTCTACAAAAACAAACAAACAAAAATTAGCTGGGTGTGATAGCACATGCCTGTAGTCCCAGCTACCTGAGAGGGTGAGGTGGGAGGATTACCTGAGCCTGGGAGGTCGAGGCTGCAGTAAGCTGTGATCACACCACTGCCATCTAGCCCAGGTGACAGAGTGAGACCCTGTCTCAATTTTTAAAAAAAGTTACTCTTGGCCAGGCACAGCTCATACCTATAATCCCAGTACTTTGGGATGCCAAGTTGAGAGGACCACTTGAGTTCAGGAGTTCAAGACCAGCCTGTGCAACATAGTGAGACTTTGTCCCTATTAAAAAAAAAAAAAAAAATTAGCCAGACATGGTGGTGTACACCTGTAGTCCCAGTTGCTCAGGAGGCTGATGAGAGAATCCCTTGAGCCCAGGACACTGAGGCTTCACTGAGCTATGATCGTGCCACTGCATTCCAGCCTGGACTACAGAGTGAAACCGTCACTCAAAAAAAAAGTTGGTCTTGTAATGACATCCTTATGGGATTACACCACTTCCATTTATAGCCATACTTGTCATTAAACCTAAAAGACTAGCTCATATATTACAAACTTGGAAAATGGAAACAATTAAAGGAAATAACAAATGTTTCTTTAAGATTGATATGCCCTCAAGGTGGTACAAATTGCTTGAGGATATCTCTGATATAGTATATTAATAATTTATAATCAGAAGAATTTGAAAATGCCACTTAAGTTTGATGATTCTGCTCTGCTCACTGGGTTTGAAATATACATATTTAAAGAATCAGGAATCACGTATTCATATATTCGTGAGAGGCCAGCCCCCAGTTCAATGTCATGGGTAGAAGACTGCCTGAAGCAATGTTTTCCAGTTCTGATGAACACCTATAGGCCAAGGCCAACTGTAATCCAAAATCTATACCAGCTTAAGGTCCGTGAGTCAGGCAGTTCATGCTCAGAGCATTTGTATCATGCTACATGTTCCTCACCCCTTTTGGTTTTTAAAGAAAGATTGAAAATGGGAAAGAATGATCATGGGCCTTTAAAAAAAAAAACAAACCCTTCCATTTGGGGAGGCTTGAGGAGAGTGATATAAAAGTAGTCTGTGGTAACAGTAAAGACTGCAAAGCAAAGCCCTGCGAGACTGCTCTAAATATCTCAGGAAGCGTTTGTTTGCACGGGATTAAAGTGTTGATTAAAGCCATTTCATTCAGGGTTTACAAGGATGTGCAGTGTTAGGTTTCTGGTGCCTTAAACATAACTTGCAATTCTTGTAAAATTTGATTGTTTCTTTATACAGTCAAATTTCATCCTGTTCACATCTATTTTGGTTTATGTGAAATACCTTTCTCTATAGGGGTTGGATTGATGTCATAGAAAGAACGGAATACCAAAGTTCACATCCCAAATCAGCTATCTCTCTACTCTCTGGTCTTAGAGAAGTTGCTGGACTTTTCCCAGTCCTAATTTTCATAGCTAGAGAACAGAGACAAGAGTTTCTACCTTGCAGGTTTTCACCAGGAGTGAAATGAAAGAACATATGTAGAGTGCTTCATAAATAACAGGTGTTCAGCATTTGTTCCTTCACCTCCTCCCTCTCCCTGCCTGCTGACGTCAGTTAACAGCCTGACCCTTTTTCTGCTAAAAGACATAAGATAGGTTTGTCAGATGTGTATTTATCTTCCAAAGTTTTCCTACTGCCATTACGAAAGGATTGAAAAAGTGAAAGCAATAAATAAACATTAAAATAGAAATAGCAGAAAGAAAACATTGACTCCACAGAGCTTGCTGCCTCTAGACCGTGTTTGCATTGAACATCAACATGAATATTCTGATACTTTTCAGGATGAACGCCACCTTTTTCCTAAGTATTGCAGCATTTCTTTCAATAAAATTGGTTTTTAAGGTAATATATAATTTGCCTTCATCAGAGTATCTAAAGTATTTTTCCACATGAAACTAAAACTGGTTTCTGTGGACTATCTGCCCCCTTGAGTTTATTAGCTATACGTGTGTGTGATATATATATATCACCAGAATACTGAGGTGAAATGTTGGGGGAAGAAATAGTCAACTGTTTAGTTTTATGATGAACGTTATATCCCTGATACACTTAGAAAAACATGTAGAGAATTGCCTTAACATTTATCTTTTCATCCAGATGTTTGATTTAATGTAAACATTACTAGCTTAGGATTCTCATACCAGCTCCAAAGGACTTTCATCTTACACAGATCCTCCATTTTAATCTTCTCCAGGTGAACAGTTTGTCAAACCTCAAAATTAGTAACAAAGGCCACCACCCTTGACCTGGGACTTTGAGCAATTCTGAGATGCAACAAGCTTCACTTGCACTAAAAAAAGCTTCTTTGAGCATGGATTTTGTATCCTTATGTAGGGCAGTTCAATACCAGTCCAGTCTTGAAGGCTTAAAATTCTTTTGATATGAATCAGTCCCCTGGGCTGCCCCAAATGGCAAAAAAAAAAAAAAAAAAAAAAAAAAAAAGTAAAGAAGACCCTATAATACCTCAAATACACATTTAACCTTTTAGCTAAATAAGTATGTATACATTTTTAATTGTGAAGTTACTGCTTTTTGGACCTTAAAGACCTTTTATGGGTCACATGTTTTTATGTACTGTTATCACATATCCCATGTTTTTATCTGATATCATCAAGAAAATTCAGTGATGTCTAGGAAGTTTCCAGTTTATGGACAGTTAGATTTGAAGTTCAGAGCATTTTCTCATAGAAATTGTAGTCCGAGAAAGGAGGCCTGGAGCCCCCCCTACAGAAGCTAGGATGTGAGCTTAACATAGTTTACGTACTATGGGACTCTGCAGGGCCCTGAATGTGCTCAGATGTGAGGCGGGGGTGGAGTGTGCGGGGCTTCTTAAGCTTATTTGGCCATGGTAGCCATTTTTTTTTTTTTTTTTTTGAGATGGAGTCTCGCTCTGTCGCCCAAGCTGGAGTGCAGTGGCACGATCTCTGCTCACTGCAAGCTCCGCCTCCCGGGTTCACGCCATTCTCCTGCCTCAGCCTCCTGAGCAGCTGGGACTACAGGCACCCGCCAGCACGCCCGGCTAATTTTTTGTATTTTTAGTAGAGACCGGGTTTCACCATGTTAGCCAAGATGGTCCCGATCTCCCGACCTTGTGATCCGCCCGCCTCGGCCTCCCAAAGTGCTGGGATTACAGGCATGAGCCACCGTGCCCGGCCTTTTTTTTTTTTTTTTTTTTTTTTTTAGAGAGCACCCCACAGGGGTGGCCTTCTGCAGAACACATTTTGGAAAATGTTACATTTGATGATCTCTAAGCCTGCTTTTGTTGCTTGGAATCTACCATAAATTCAGCTTGTGATATTTTCAGTTTTAAATGATGGGGAGATGAAAATAAAAAGACTAGAGCAAAACAGAATTAGGGTTGTCAAGAAAAAAGCCAATATATACACACAAGCAAGCACCAAGCCTGCTCTGTATTCTGGAGTCTATGCTCTCGTTGTTGTCATAGCTGATTTCTAATCATATCCCTAACTTGCTAGGCCTGAAACACATCTCACCCACTGTAGAACAAAAGCTTCCCCAAACTCCACCTTCTGGGCAGTGAGAACTTGGGGAAGAGGGAACTGTAGGGTGAGCAGAAAAGAAGGATGTGTTATGAGACTAGGAGTTGTGAGAGTTAAAAATGGACTCAGCTTTTCTCTCCTCTGCTCTTAAATGAGTGGAGAGAATTCTACACAAATGGGACTGCCAGAGAGGGAATGGGTATTTCAGTGGCCACCAGATCCCGAGGCTGAAGTGATCGTCCTCAAAAGGCCACTATAGGTGAGAGAGAGAGACAACCAAGGTAATTTCAAAACTGTTGTCTTCTGTATTTTATTTGCTTAGTTACTCTAGATTTCTCAGTAATAGAGAGTTGATGTAAGTCAACATAGAAAGATTTTGATGCATTCTCCATGGGAGTATCAGATTTGTATCAAATATCTGAGAAGAGCCTCATTCAATAGTTTTAAATGTTAAAAGGTGTTCTTCCTTTTTAATAGCATTAAAAGCCATGGCTTTGCTGCCAGACCCTTGCTAATTCTCACTCCTCTGAAAAGAATATGTTTGCAGTCTTTGATATTTTTAACCATGCTCATTTTTCACTTGCAACTCCCAAATCCTGTGCTCCTCGGTGTGCAGCACATGGCGAGGCTGAGACGGTCTCAGGAGTGCGTAGAGAATGTTGAAGACGTGGTGCAGGGTGGGTGGGACGTGTGGGAGACGGAGCTCCCTCTTCCCTGTGCTTTCTTGGCTGAATGTGGGCCATGTGAGGATCTAAGCTGGAGAAACAGAAGTGACAAAACGCAGGAAAACATGGTCATCCGACTGTGTGATCACCTTCTGTAGTACTCTCCCATCCATATGCACAAAGCCAGCCAAAGTGTGGGGCAAGAAAAACACTAGCATCAACCACGTGGTCGTGATCAGTGATACCTACACCACTTCCAACTTTGGCTCTGCTATGAGTTTGCTTGTTGGTTTTCTCATCAGTTTAATAAAATTTAAATTCCTGGCTGGGCACAGTAGCTCATGCCTGTAATCCCCAGCACTTTGGGAGGCTGAGGCAGGAGGATCACTTGACTCCAGGAGTTCAAGACCAGCCTGGGCAACATAGGGCAACCCCATGTCTGCAAAAAAAAAAAAAAAAATTAATAAATAATAGCCAGGCATGGTGGCACACACATGTAGTGCCAGCTACTCGGGAGGCTGAGGTGGGAGGATCTCTTGGGCCTAGGAGACACTGAGCTGTGATTGCACCACTGCACTCCAGCCTAGGCAACAGAACAAGACTCTGTCTCAAAAAAAAAGGAAAGAAAAATTTAAATTCTTGAGTGCTTTTTTAAATGCCGAGATTACTTCCATGGAGTAGTTTGAGGTCCCTGAAGAAAAATATTTATGGCTTATGTTGCAGAGATTGTCCCACAAAGTGAGAACTTAAAGATGCAAAAGAACTCTTGCTATTATTGATGTTAGTTCACCTCTGACAATTGAATTAATATCATGGAGGCGGGTGATCTCTCTCATTCTGTTTCTCATTTTCTCCACCTGAAAATAGACTTCAACCTATTTGACTGTGATACTGTGAAAAGAAATGGCAATATAAGAAAATGTCACAATGCATAGAGCCCTTAAAAATTGAACTCGAACACTTTCCCTGGTTACTCTTCTGCATACAAAGTGGCAACCTACAGGTAAAAGAGAAGCCGTTCCCTGGCCCTGTCCAGCCAGCTGAAACTCACCAGCAAGTCAGCTGCAGGAAGGACGCAGCTCCTAAGAGGAGCAAATGGCCCTGATGGAATAAAAAAGACAGCATCGCATTCCAATGGTCCTTCTACACTAACACCACCACCTCCCAAAAAAGAATAGATAAATTAACAGTGCTGGGTTTCATTTATCCAGATCTCCTCTCCATTGGCATAAATCACTGAGAACTAACCAGGCCACAAAGACAAAGGTGGTTGGATATTCAGAGATCTTCTCATCCCTATTTTGGGGGTGGGGAGACAAAGTTTTCAGTGCCTTAAATTAATCCCATTTTTTGTGAAGTTAGAAACCAGACATTCTGAAATTGTTTTCACAGATTGCTTTGCAGCATTTATGCATGTATTTGTTGCACCCCCCACTTCTAAATAACTGGCAGTCAAGTGTCATGATCAGGGGGTGGCCTTTAGAATCAGTCTGGTTTTGAATCCCAGATCTGCACTCTTAGCTTCATAGTTTGGGCGAGAATGCCATGGGCCAGGCACGATGGCTCATGCCTGTAATCCCAGCATTTGGGAAACCAAGGCAGGCGGATCACCTAAGGTCAAGAGTCCCAGACTAGCCTGGCCAACATGGTAAAACCCTGTCTCTACTAAAGATACAAAAATTAGCCTGGCATGGTGGTGCACACCTGTAATCCCAGCTACTTGGGAGGCTGAGGCAGGAGAACTGCTTGAACCTAAGGCTGAGACAGGAGAATCACTCGAACCTGGGAGGCGGAGGTTACAGTGAGTACAGTGAGCAGAGATCGCACCACTGCACTCTAGCCTGGGTGACAGGATGAGACTCTGTCTCAGAAAAATAAAGGCCAGGTGCAGTGGCTTACACCTGTAATCTCAGCACTTTGGGATGCTGAGGCAGGTGGATCTCCTGAGCTCAGGAGTTCAAGACTGGCCAGACCAGCATGGTGAAACCCCATCTCTACTAAAAATACAAAAATTAGCCAGGCGTGGTGGTACACACCTGTAATCCCAGCTACTTGGGAGGCTGAGGCATGAGAATCACTTGAACCAGGAGGCAGAGGTTGCAGTGAGCCAAGATGGTGCCACTGCACTCCAGCCTGGGTGACTGAGCAAGACTCTGACTCAAAAAATAAAAAAGAATGCCTCTAGTCTTCAGTTTCCTAATCTGTAAAATAGAGATTATAATAGGACACCTCCTATGGTGATTGCAAGGATTAAACAAGGTGACACATACGCATTTCCAGCACATGGTATTCAATAACTCTTAGCTGCCGAGGACACAGAGAATAGCAGAAGCAGTTAATAGTGATGCTTATATTCTTGTCAGACCCTGTGTGAGGCTTTATGTCCCGGTTTTTGATTCACGACATATGTTTGTTGCTGCGTGCTTCCACATCTGAGGAAAAAAGTCAGATTCCACATAAAATGCATTCCTGTATTGATAGAGTGCCTGCCATGCATTAGACACACATCCCTGCTCTCCAGGAGCTCATGGTCCAGCAGGAGATGAAGGGACACAAGCAAATAGTTACAACAGAATCAGATCCATGCCACCCGGGCACTGCACCAGCAGCCAGCAGGGTGGGCTCTCCAAGAGGAGGGACGCGCAGGTTGGAAGCTGAACACTTAGTCTGTGTGAGTGAACACGTGGTCGGTTTGGAGGCACGGCAACTCATTAATTCAATTTAGAATAGTGAACTCAGGGTATCAGGTAGGCATCTGCAATAAGTAAAGGAAAAGCCATTTATATTTGCTGTGCTGACTAAACCAAGGAAACAGGCATATCCATTTGAGAAAGATTTAAACAACAAGGGTTCAAATTTAAAAGGTTTGAATCTGGTGAGTGACCCATGTCCAATGCCTCACAAGTTAGTGAAGAAGCCAGGCGCGGTGGCTCACGCCTGTAATCCCAGCACTTTAGGAGGCTGAGGCGGGCGGATCACTTGAGGTTGGGAGTTTGTGACCAGCCTGGCCAACATGGTGAAACCCTATCTCTACTAAAAATGCAAAAAATTAGCCAGGCACGGTGGCAGGCACCTGTAATCCCAGCTACTCAGGAGACTGAGGCTGGAGAATTGCTTGAACCCAGGAGGCGAAGGTTGCAGTGAGCTGAGATCGTGCCACTGCACTCCAGCCTGGGTAACACAGTGAGACCCTGTCTTGAAAAAAACAAAAAGTTAGTGAAGAGTTCCCTACAGCTTCCACTGGAGCTTTTTCTTTTGAGGAGCAGGGGAGAGGTTGAAATCTGGCATTTCTTCCTCCTGTACCACCTTTGCACAAACCCTGGCCAAGTTACAGGATAAAGATTGCATGTTTCTTCCTCCCAGGCAGGCCAGTCCCTCTGGATGGGTGTGACAGGGCTGCTGGCCAGCCACCTTAGGCTGTGGTTCCATGAAGACAGGTGACCAGTGTGTTGGGCTGCAGTGCATGACATCCACAGGGAACCTGGAATGCTATTAATATAAGAAAGCAAGTTGTGGTTTAACAAAGTAAGGCCCAACCTCCTATACTTGGGGTGAGGCATAAAGTTAAACCTCAGCAGATACAGTGGAACGCTCACCCCCTTTAAAAATCTGGTTTTTGAAGAACGTGTAATGGCATGCGAAGACCAACTATGAGATAATGTTGCGCAAAAAAGGAACTTATGAGACTGCACATAAAATATGTTATGATTTTAGACTCATAAAGTATTCTAGTTTTTAAATTCATATTTAAATATTCATATAGGAAATGAAAGTATTTGGGTGTATATACAAATATAAAAAGAAAATGCACCAAGATGTTAGCAGTAGCCATATCCCAACAGTGGAATTTCACAGCTGAATTTTATTTTTTCCTTTATTCTTAGTATTTTCAAAATTTTCTACATCTGCCCCTGTTATAATTAGGGAGATAAAGGAATCTCGTGGCTCTTTTAGTTAGCCAAAATTAGCCCTAAAGAAGCTACCTGCATTTTGGCCAGTTGATTTGTCATCTTGCCCCAGATAGACATCTTAGCAGAATTGCTAATATTTGTTTCTAAATGCTGAAGGCTATGATTGGGCACTATTTATTTCTGTACAATCTATGAAGACTAATTTCTGGCTGGTACTTGAGAGAACTAACTATAGGTAGAGCTAAAGAGATGTCAATGAAGTCTGTGAATATGCCCAGAATATTCTCGAAGTTATTTTTGCCTCCGGACGTGGGTGAAGCAAGTTGTAGACCAGGCTTACCCCAGGTCTTAAAAAAACAAGTACAAGCAAAATATAGCCTAAAAAGAAATGTCGCTTCTTTCTGGAGACCCCACTGAGAACCCAGATTGAAAAAAACCTTCTTGTGTCTTCAGGCCCCCTGTGGCATTATCTGCACTTGTCTAGCTTTTGTTCTTCAGGTCTGCCTGTGGGAGAGAAGACAGAAGGAAGGAATTGGCTCTGGCCATCCATATTCCCCCTTTTCTTAACCTTAAGGTGCAAGTTCCCTTATCTTAGGGACCTACCAGGCAACTTCCTTTTTGTGTTTAGCCAACAAACATTTCTTGAGCACCTGACCTATTCTAAGCCCTAGAGATGCAAAGCCCAGTGAGACCAGAGCCCTCAAGGAGCTCAGTCAACTGGGGGAATCAGCCCTATAAGGAGAAAATCATAATAAATACCACGTGGTAAGTAGGGCTGTGCCCAAGGTATTGTGGCACCGCAGAGGAGGGGCACCTAACTTAGCCAGGGTTGGGAGGACAGGAAAGGAGATTCAAAGAAGGCTTCTGGAGATATGATGCCCGAGGTGAGTCTTCAAGGATAAGCAGTAACTCACCAGGCAAAGGTGGGAGATGGCAAACGCATGTATTGCCAAGAACAAATCCATTTTGTAATAGATGAAATGCTTGGCCATTTGGAATAGCATTTAGGGGTGATTGCTGGAATGAAGGTGTTTTCTGAGATGAAGGGCAGCCCGTTGGTGGTGACTGCCTCTCTGAGCTCTAGCTGGTGGGTTATGGAGCCCTGCAGTCTGGCCTCTGGGTAACATGCCACTGTTTAGCACAGCATCAACTGTGCGTGCATCTCTAAACTGAATCTGTAGTTGACTGGGTAAAAGATAGCCCCTTCTAATCAGAGAATCCTGAAACTCCCAGGGTGGAAAGGGACCAATAGGTCACCTGGACCACACCCACTTCTCAGTGGCAATAGGTGCTGTAGGTAGGTAGCCCATGGTGGAGCTGGCCTATGCAGGTGATCCAGGGACTCTGTTTATGGCCTCTATTCACTGATAGACACTTTTCAATCAGACATCTCAAGGTACTTTATGACACCCAAGCTTTTCTGCCCTGGACTCCCACATACAGACACAGCCCTTCCCTTGAACGTGTCTGCATCTGTGCCCTCTTCATGGTGTGGGTGAGCTTCTGCTGACCCCTGTCTGGGCCTGCAGCTCTCTGATGCTATGGAATGAATACATTTGTTCATTCCATTCCAGTCATGAAAATGTGGCCATTGTGTTTCTAATGGTAATGCAAAGCACTGCAAGGCAGGTCAAAATGGTCCACTCAGAAAGAGCAGCCTCCCAGCCTGGGTCAGGAGGGCCTTTCCTCCCTGGATGGCCTCCTCCTCAGATTCCTTACTCCTTCGTCATATTCGCCAGATGAGATGAAGCTTTATGCCTGACATACCTTGTCAGCCATTTGGGCAGCAATGCATTCAACAAAGTAAGTCCTGGAATAAATATCTAAGTGAACAAATGGACAGTGTTTCTACCATGCCTCATTCCATAACGGATTGAAGACAGCCTACATGAATAGGTATAGTAGTCTGAAAATATATATATACATACACACAAATCTGAATTAGGGAAAATATAGGCTAAAAGGAAGCTCCATATCAAGGGAAAAGTTGTAGCATCAATATACAGACCATGGAGTTGTGGAAAGGTATGGGAGCTGGGCTCTCTCTAGCTCTGAGCTTTTAGCTCTGAGCTTCCTGGAGGTCAAGGCAAAAAGGGAAATGCAGTAATTTTATGCTGCATATTTCTTTGAAAGAAAAGTATACCCCTTCCCTTCCGAAAATAGTATTTTAATAAGACTTAAGTATGAAGGAACTTTCTGTCCTAGGCCCCCATGAGGGGATACTGTGTAATAATGTCTTCACCAACATTTGTACAGTGAATCTCCAAAACACAAGATGGTGTTCTAGAGGGTGCCTCAATGAAATAGGCACAGAAGACCAGCACATTCATGAGAGCAATGAAGGTAGGATAGCCCAGTGGCATGAAACACTGGCTAATCTGAAGTCAGATCTGCACTTGAATCCTGGCTCTGCTGTATGAACTTGGCCAAGTTGTCAATTTCGCTGATCCTTAGTTTCTCACACGTAAAATGAGGATGGTCATTCCTCCTCTGTAAGGTGTTGTAAGGGGTAGACAATCCACAGAAGGCACTTAGCCTCGTCCCTAGGATGTAGTAGGCAATATCATGTGTAGTTGCTGCTGCCACTGCTTTATCATCATTATGAAAGGAAATAAAATACAGTTCAAGTTCATAGGCAGTTTGACTTCGTGCAGAGATCAAACTTTGCACAGCTACAAGAGCGGATTGACTGCATGTCTATAAGTTAATATCCACGTAACAACATTTTTCACTTGGGCTTGGCAGAAGTTGGACCATTAAAGGGTCAATTCCGCACTTGGAGTAGAAGTATTAGGGTTGCAGCTTAAAGGAAGAGCTTGATACTTCAAAGTCTCACTGAGAAGATGTTAGAATTGGCATCCAGTATGAAAACTGAAGAGCCTAAACAAGATTCTTTGCCAAATGAATGGGCAGCTTCCTGGCACATAGAGGTGAGCCATGACAGCACCTGCAGAGAGGTTCCAGATTTTGCTGGAAAGTAGTTCCCAGCCCTCTCAGCCAGAGAATGAAGAGACCCTCAGAACCCCAAGGTGATGCAGAAAGAATAAGATCCATCCTGGGCAACATGTTGAAACCCTGTCTCTAAAAAACATACAAAAATCAGCCAGGTGTGATGACACATTACCTGTGGTCCCAGCTACTCCAGAGGCTGAGGTGAGAGGATCATGTGAGCCTGGGAGGTCAAGCTTTCTGTGAGCCATGACTGTGCCACTGCACTCCAGCCTGGACAACAGAGCAAGACCCTGTCTCAAAAAAAAAAAGCAAGAATAAGACTATTTTAAACGCAAAAGACTTTCTCTTGTTTTTAATTATCAAAATGGAAAGATTATTTTATGACTGTAAACATCATTAATCCTCATTTAAATAAAGTTCCAAAATACAAAAATAGAAATCATCCAGTCTCAATACGCAGTGATAACTACTATTCACATTTGATCCATATTGCTATTTTCTATGCATATATACAGATCCTATCTATGTGTATATGTATACATATATTTTTACGTAGTCTTTTAACCCATTATTGATTTATTTATTTTATTTATTTATTTTTAGACGGAGTCTCACTCTGTCACCCAGGCTGGAATGCAGTGGTGCGACCTCGGCTCATTGCAATCTTCACCTCCTGGGCTCAAGCGAGTCTCCTGCCTCAGCCCCCCGAGTAGCTGGGATTACAGATGTGCACCACCACGCCCAGCTAATTTTTTGTATTTTAGTAGAGACAGCGTTTCACCATGTTGCCCGGGGTGGTCTTGAACTCCTGAGCTCAGGCAATCCACCCGCCTCCAGTTTTCATGTTAAATGGCTACCTAGTATTCTACTTAATCAGTCCTCTAATAATGAAAAATTTAAACACTTTAATGAATATTTTTGCACATGTATCAGTGAACCCTTGTGCCTAAGAGATTTTCAAACTAAGAAACAAAAATCTTAGTGATGTACCAGTTAAAATAAATTAATTACCTTGGTGGCTAGAGCTTTTTCTAGGGGACAGATTGCCCACCATCTATGATGCAATTTTTCTCATACTAGACCGATGAATATGCTGCGTATAGCCTCGGGGACAAGGATGCGGGAGGACAGCGAGGAAGATCTCTTTGTCTCTCCATGAGCCTCCTCTGGATGTAATGAGAGTCTTGATGGACACTTTTACTCCCCCATGTCATTCAGTGATCACTTCCTGGACATTGTCTATAGGCTAGGCATGGGACTGGCACCAGGGACACAGCCCTTAACACTTGGAAGGAGCTTGGTAAATATCTGTGGTGATGTTCAATATCCATGATTGCCTTGAAGAAACCACAGTAAATATAAGCTGACCTGCATATCTTCAGCTTGCACAAGAAAAGTGAGTTTGCATCCCTTGATTGCCTTAGGATTTATCTTTATGATACAGTGGTTCCTTAAGCTCCTCTAATGTAGCAGTTCTTAATTCGCAGATCAAAATCCCAGGCCGGGCACAGTGGTTCATGCCTATAATTCTAGCACTTTGGGAGGCCCAGGCAGGAGGATCACTTGAGGCCAGGAGCTCGAGACCAGCCTGGCCAACACAGTGAAACCCCATCTCTGCCATAAAAAAAAAAAAAAAAATTAGCCAGGCGTGCACGCCTATAATCCCAGCCACTCAGGAGGCTGAGGCAGGAGAATCACTTGAACCCGGGAGGTGGAGATGGCAGTAAGCTGAGATCACACCACTGCACTCCAGCCTAGGTAAGAGAGTGAGACCCTATCTCAAAAAAAAAAAAAAAAAAGGAAGGAAAAGAAAAGAAAAGAAAAAAGAAAAATCCCTGGGGAAGAAGAGAAGAGAAGGGAAGGGAAGAGGGGAATTCCTGTGCTTTCCAGGAGGTTTTTCCCCATTGGACTGGGACTCCCTACCCTTCTTCCTAAATAGCCACTACTGAGGATGGGAGTTGCCTCGTATCTTTTACCTCACCCTTGGGGAAGCCAAAGATGAAGAATTCCTGTGTTGATGGTCTCTGTGGAGTCACGAAGTACACCCCCGGCCTGGAGGCTGCCTCTCAGCCAGACTGGGCATGAGACCCAGGCAATGGGCCAGTAGGTGACCTCACCACAGCCAAGATGGGTCAGTCACTTGGAAGCTCAATTGGCTCACATGTTTTTTAAACTTTTTAAAACAGATTACAGAATTTTTTTTATTTTATCTTATGTATAGTTTTAAGGTGTAATGGTCAAGAAGAGTATAGCCTCTCAGAAAGAACAACTGGATTCAAATCCCAGTTTGTCTGGGTGCTGACTTCATGAGCAAGTTATTTAACCTTTCTGAGCGTAATTATCTCATGTGCAAAATGGAAGTAATAGACCTACGGCATACAGATACGGTTAGGATTGAATTAAAGAGCCCATGTTGAAGCACTTAGCATGGTGCATGGCCACATAGTAAATAATAAATGCTAGCCGGTATTGCCATTTGGTTAAATAATATTATTAGCCATTATCAGAACAATCCAGTTAGGGGGTACTGCGTATGGTATTATCCCCATTTTAAGATGAGAAAACCAAGGCTCAGAGTATGCTGTTTTCAGTAATCAACCCTCACACCTGCACCCCGTGTGCACACACACACACACACACACGTGCACACATGCACACACATGCAGCTCTCTTTCACTGGTGGTCTCTGTAAGGTAGACAATACTCCAGACCAATCGCCGTAATAAATGTGTCTCAAAAGACTTATGCTAGAAAGACCAAAGCAAGTATCTTCCAATGAGCTTATATGAGACAGGAAGAGCCAAGGTCGGAGACAGGCCAGGTTACAGCATTCGAGAGACGTGAGGTAATAAAAGTAAAACTAAATGAGTTTGAATTTATGCCCAAGGGAGGTAGTAACTGGAGATGAGAGCATGATTTTGCTGACTTCACTGCAGCACAGTGGTTTGAGCCAGCAGATGGGATGGGACACCTTAGTGCTCACTGTGATCAGTGAGCTTCCCCACAGCCAGGGCAGCCAGGGGACCGGGTGGCTCCAGGATTGGCCTCCTGGCTAAGCAGCATTCATCACAGCTCCTGGGCTCATGGGTCATCTTCCTGTTGTCTGAATGAGGGTCCAACCAGCCTTCTGCAGCATCGCATGGTGTTCCAGTTATCTCTTGCTGCGTAATAAACCACCCCAAAATATAAAACAACATCCATTTATTATGTTCACAATTCTGTAAGTCAGGGATCTGGGCTGGGCGTGGCAGTCCTGCTCAACAACATCTGGGGCCTCAGCCAGAGTGCCTGCAATGGCTGGAGATGCTGGGGCAGCCCGACTGGAGCCATCTGTCTGGGTCTTGAGTCTTCTCCAAGCGATGTCTGCTGGAGCTCCAATGTCTTTGAGACCCCTTCACTCCCAAATCTTGAGCCTGGGCTGGCCTGGCTGAAACCGTTGTTCCTGTCCAGGCAGCCTCTCCTTGTGGCTAGCTCAGGCATTCTCATAGCATGATGATCTCAGGATAGCAAGAACTTTTTTTTTTTTCCTTTTTTTTTTAAGATTGAGTCTCAGCTGGGTGCGGTGGCTCATGCCTGTAATCCCAGCACTTTGGGAGGCCGAGGCGGATGGATCACCTGAGGACAGGAGTTCAAGACCAGCCTGGCCAACATGGTGAAATCTTGTCTTTACTAAAAATACAAAAAAGTAGCCAGGCGTGGTGGTGGGCGCCTGTAATCCCAGCCACTCGGGAGGCTGAGGCAGGAGAATCCCTTGAAGCCAGGAGGCACAGGTTGCAGTGAGCCAAGATCGCGCCATTGTACTCCAGCCTGGGCAACAAGGGCAAGACTCCATCTCAAAAAAAAAAAAAAAAAGATAGATGGAGTCTCGCTCTGTCACCCAGGCTGGAGTGCAGTCACACAACCTCGGTTCACTGCAACCTCTGCCTCCCAGGTTCAAGCAATTCTCCTGCCTCAGCCTCCCAAGTAGCTGGGATTACAGGTGCCTGCCACAAAGCCTGGCTAATTTTTTTTTTTTTTTTTTTTGTATTTTTAGTAGGGATGGGGTTTCACTAATGGCCAGACTGGTCTTGAACTCCTGACCTCAAGTGATCCACCCACCTCAGCCTCTATATTAGTCTGTTCTAATACTGCTAATAAAGACATACCCGAGACTGGGTAATTTATAAAGGAAAGAGGTTTAATGGACTCACAGTTCCACATGGCTGGGGAGGCCTATGGCAGAAGACAAAGAAGAAGCAAAGGCACATCTTATGTGGCAGTAGGCAAGAGAGCATGTACAGGGGAACTCCCATTTATAAAACTATCAGATCTTGTGAGACTTATTCACTATCACAAGAACAGCATGGGAAAGACCCACCCCCATGATTCAATTACCTCCCACCAGGTCCCTCTCACAACACGTGGGAATTATGGGAGCTAGAATTCAAGATGAGATTTGGGTGGGGACACAGCTAAACAATATCAGCCTCCCAAAGTGCTGGAATTACAGGCGTGAGTCACCGCATCCAGCCAGGATGGTGAGACTTTTTACATGACTAATTCCCCCAGAGTAATGTTCCTAGAGGCCCAGGAGGAAACTGCAAGACTCCTCATGATTCAACCTCACAAATTCAGCATGTTGCTTCTGCTATATCCTATGGGTCAAGCAAGTCAGTAAAACCAGTCCAGATTCAAAGAGCAGATTCGACTTCTCAACAGGGGAACACCATGGTGTGCACGGGAGGGGAGAGTTGATGGCAGTCATCTTAGAGACAAGCTGGGTAGACACATGGGTTGGGCCAAGAGTGGGGGATTTTGAGCACAGATATTGGGTCATGTCAAGTTCTGTAACTTTCTGTCTCTGTGATGTCTGGAAAGTTATTTCACCCCTCTGAGCCTCCACTGCCTCATCTATAAAATGAGGATAATATGCTACTGCATGTGATTTGGTAAGACTTAAATGAAACAAAGATAATGCTTGGCACATCTCTCACACCTATTAAGTTCTCCCTTAATGGTAGCTAGACTGAGTATTAACTAGAAATGTTACGATTACTCCAGTTAGTCCTGTGGATATTCATTCATTCATTCAGCAAGCAAGCAAGCATTTCTTCTGCACCTGGAATGTGCCAGACCCAGTACCAGGCGTTGGCCTCCCCACAGTTGCAGGGATAATATGTTGAAGGCAGAGACAGTTGGGCTTTCAGATTTTCTGGGTGTCACCATGGGCTCTTCAGAGCCAGCCAGCATCATTGAGGTTTGCAAGATGGGCTTCTCACCTAAGCCTTCTGATGTTACAATATAATTTTCAACCTCATCCCGGTAGAGTCTCCTCGTACATGATAGCAACTCTCCTCCCGTTTCAGATGGTAGGGATGTTAATAGGAGAGGCAGGAGAATTGAACCTACAAAAAAATGGGGGTTCTTTCCCCATTCACACATGTGTCCTGAGGTCCCATGGGATGAGCATCTGTTTCCCCGAAAGGGCCCTGGTGTGTCGGGATGGGCAACACAGCACTTGGAAGGTGTGTCTCGGTGCCCATGGGCCCTCCTGGCATCCAGCATCAGTACCACAAACAGGAGGGCTGCAGACAAGAGAGGAAAGGTAACAGTGTCCAATCCTGTACTATACATAATCACAAAAGAAACTTGACAAAGCATTCTAAAATAAAACCAAAGCAAGAAGTCAAGGAAAATGTAAGCGGAACCAGAAGAAGCCATTAGGCAGGAAAACTTAATCCAACAGTCTGGTCTGTGTGTCTTATTTGAGCAGTTTCCTAATACCAGGAACTAATTAAAAATGAAAGGGCAGGACTTCTAACACATTCTCTCCCAAAACCTTTAGGCTTCCCATAATCATGTGAAAAACCTCACTTGCTCAAATGAAGGTCTTTTTACTTTCCTTTGAAGATCCTGGAGCTTTAAGTAGATCTCGCTTTCAGTAACTTGTTTTTAGGTTAATGGTAAAGGAATTCACACTCATTAAGTTCCACTGTTACAGCAGATAAAGACCACATGTTACAGAATCACTGAATCTCACACCTTCATCTTAGTCTAGTTTCCCACCCAGAACAGGAATATCTGGTACATGTCCCCAACAGATGGGAATCAGCCATCTTCCACAGTAGCATGAACAAGACCAAGAGCCTGTGTCTTCATTGTGAGACTACAGAAGTCGGAAGCCCTGCCTGCCTTTCAGAGGGGACCCACGCAAACACTAAGAGGCAAAGCTGACAGTGACGTGAGTGCCAAGTGTAGGCAGTGGAAAGAGCTCAGCCCTCTTTGTGCAGTGATGGTCAGAGCTGTCTCCCAGACCTCCTCCACTATCATTTGCTGGTGCGTTACTAATTTACTAGGCTGACTCATCTCTGGAGGCAAACATGGGCTCAGTGTTCGTTGCAAGGAAGTGCTCAGCTTGCTGTGCAAGGTGCAGTATCTCCAGCAGGCAGATGTCTGTCTTGTAGGGTCAGTATTTCCTAGCAACTCACTTAAAGGAGACAGACACATCCTCTCTCAAACCGACTCTCAAGCTCAGAGGCATTTTCCCCACTTGGTTCTGAGACCATCACAATTGATCTGGCATGGATCTGGAATCTGGTTGGTCTAGAACCCTTGGGCCTCTTTCCCATGGCCTCAGAAGGCACCATCCTGCATCTTCCTCTCCATCATCTTCAAATGCGAACAATCGCAAACACATCTCCCCAGCAGCAGTGTGGGAATCGGGCTCCCAGAGCGCTTGATGAGGGTGGAGATGGGCAGGAACAGAGAGGGCCAGCTTAGTTGCAATATCAGCATCAGCAGAATGACATTTCTGTGATTTTTGAGAAACCGTGAGTGGACATTCTAGGGACATTCATCAGAATGAAAACTTGGATGGTCAGGCACGGTGGCTTACACCTATAATCCCAGCACTTTGGAGGCCGAGGTGGGTGGATCCCCTGATGTGGGGAGTTCAAGCTCAGCCTGACCAACATGGAGAAACCCCATCTCTACTAAAAATACAAAATTAGCTGGGCATGGTGGTGCATGCCTGTAATCTCAGCTACTTGGGAGGCTGAGGCAGGAGAATTACTTGAACCCAAGAGGTGGAGGTGGCAGTGAGCCGAGATTGTGCCATTGCACTCCAGCCTGGGCAAAAAGAGCAAAACTCTGTCTCAAAAAAAAAAGAAAAAAGAAAGCTTGGGGCAGACCATGCCTGCTCTCAGCTGCTACAGTGACCTTCAGAACACTCTCTGTGACCAGTATGCATCTGCTTCTCTGATGCTCTGTGACCTCAGGGTGTGGTGGCCACCCTGCCTCTTTTGGGTCAGACAATGTGATGGTTTCTCAGTGAGAGAAGACAAGGGGAAGCTGTGCTTGGAAGAAAAGGCAGAAATCAAAGATACACATTTGGAGAAGAGAAGAAAGCTAGAAATCATCTTGAGAAAAGGACTGATTGAAGGTCGGAAGAAAAGAACTTTTCTCCCAGGCGCTGCTTGGCGTGGCATCTAGCCTGACAGAATCACCTGTCTCTTGCTGATTTCATGATAAAATATAGAGTGGACCCACAGGGAGAGCAAAAGCCTCAAGAAATAGCTGGGGAATTGGCTCTGTTGGAGCACTGTTTGCGTGCTCACTGCTGCGACTGTGAGCCGCCACACCAGCATGACTAATGCCTCTCCTCTAGGCCTAAATTAGATTTTGATTGTGTTTCGTAGATGTTCACTGAATCACAGATGTTTGAGGTAAAAAGACCCAAACTTCTCAGGAACACCTCCTGTGGAGTGTGTGGGATCATCCTCACAGGCAAGGTTGAAGTGCTCCCAGGACTCAGCAGAAATACCAGTAGTAACCCCTTACCTTCCAAGGCCTTGGGGACAAACCAACTGCCCACAGGGAGAGCTTTGAATGGTGTGGGCTCCTGGGGCCACTGGGCTGTGGGGCCTGCTCCTCCTGGGGCTAACTGGGGATCTGTAAGCAAGAGTGCCCTATCAGTGTGTAAACCAAAAATATCTGAGACAAGTCTCAGTCAATTTATTTTGCCAAGCTTAAAGATGCACCCGTGGACCAGGCGTGGTGGCTCACTCCTGCAATCCCAGCACTTTGGGAGGCTGAGGCGGGTGGATCATGAGGTCAGGAATATGAGACCAGCCTGGCCAACATAGTGAAACCCCGTCTCTACTAAAAATACAAAAATCAGCTGGGCGTGGTGGCACGTGCCTGTAGTCCCAGCTACTCGGGAGGCTGAGGCAAGAGAATCGCTTGAACCCGGGAGGTGGAGGTTGCAGTGAGCCAAGATTGTGCCACTGCACTCCAGCCTGGGTGACAAGAGTGAGACTCCATCTAAAAAAAAAAAAGAAAAAAAATGCACCCGTGACACAGCCTTGGGAGGTCCTGAGACCATGTGCCCAAGGTGGTCAGGGCACAGCTTGGCTTTATACATTTTAGGGAGGCATGAGACATCAATCAGTATGTGTAAGAAGTACGTTGGTTTGGTCTGGAAAGGCAGGACAACTAGAAATGGGAAGGGGGCTTCCAGGCCATAGGTAGATAAGAGACAAACAGTTGAATTATTTTGAGTTTCTGAAGATCAGCCTTTCACTGAATACACAATTTACAGGAATAGTCACTTATGCCTTAGTCTGGCTTAGGGAAACAACAGGACAGGGGAAGCAATCTGATATGCATTTATCTCACATGAGCAGAGGCATGACTTTGAGCTCTGTCTTTTGTCCACAGGAAATTTCCTTTTGGGCAAATTGTGAGGGAGGTATGTAGCTTTTTTATCTTTGTAGCTATCTTATTTAGGAATAGAATGCAAGGCAGGTTTGCCCAACACAGTTCCCAGCTGACTTTTTCGTTTGTCTTAGTGATTTGAGGTCCCAAGATTTTTCTTTTCACAAATGACTAAAGCCTGGTGTAAACCCTAAGTTGGACCCGGAGTGTCCTGTTCTTTGTAGATTTCCACCGAATCGCTGCTGCCTCTGGTGAAGTAGTTCAAGTTCCTCCCTAGTTCACCTCCCTCAGTGTTCCTCAGCCATTCGACCCATTCTAATTTGCAGTGTGCCAGTAGCAAATGCTTTCTCATTTTTCTTGCAGAATTTAGCCTATGAAATCATCCTAACCCTGGGACAGGCATTCGAAGTCGCTTACCAGCTAGCACTACAAGCAAGAAAAGGGGGACACTCCTCCACACTTCCAGAAAGCTTTGAAAACAAACCCTCCAAACCCATCCCCAAGCCCCGCGTTAGCATTCGCAAGTCCGTGGTAAGTAGAAACGATACAGATGTTCTAAAAAACCTTGAACAGGAGGAAAAGGGGCTGCTAACCAGGCCCTTGTGTGGTGTGGGTGCCATTAGAACCCAGGGCCTCTTCTTCATCCTTTCCCTTGGCCTCCTCCTGGCATGTGTCCATCATCACCTCTGCCTGGTTCCCACCAAGTCTTGGGCACCATCTCCCTCAACCTGGAGCCTCCAGAGAAATCCACTTTCTCAGTCACCTGCAGCAACCCTATGAAGGGTCTCAGCAGCAGGTACTGCTGTTCTTGGTGAATCTTACCTAAAGATTCAGGAAAGCTTGGGAGCAGTGTTCCCTGGGGCTTCAGCTGCCATCCCATCAGAGGGCAAAGCCTCCTACAAGCCCCTGGCCTCCAGAGAGGTTTGCAGAGGTACACAGTGATGATGTCCTCGGTCCCCAGCTAGAGGAAGCTGGATGCACAGGCTGCCCTGCTATATGCAAGGCCTGCGCCATGGCCTGCGTGCTTTGTCTCCCGCAGCTGAGGCTTCCTGCGGCATGGTGCCTGTTCAGAAGGTGCAGCCCCTCCTTCTCAGCATCTGCCTTCCTCCAGGAATTTCTTCCCCTTCCCTCCCACAGGCTCTGCAGACATCCTGTCCCAACAGGCTTGCATGACTTCAAAGCGGCCTCCTCTGGTAGTAGCAATATTCAAAAGCTGGAAGATTCCCAACCAGCCTCCCATCTGGTTTCTGCCCCGGCTGCCGTATTGCATCCTAGAAACCCTGGGACTCCCCCAGAATGCATTGCTCTCACGCCCCCGAATCCTTCCATCTGGAACTGTCTCTCCTCCTTCTCACCAGCCCCCACCTCCACTGTCATGGGGAACAGCAGCAGGCATTTTTAACATTTGCAGGGAGGCACCTCCCTTTGTGAACATGCAGTTCTTGTTTTCAGTCTTCTTTTGGGGGCCTACCCCTGTCACCCTTCTTGGCACCATCAACATCCACAGGATTGACCCCTCCAGCATCTGGTCTCACAGTTCCCTGACAGTTTACTTTCGGGATCTTTCCCTCCAGCCCCGGCCATTCGCTCCTGTGTCCATCACTCATTACCAGCCATCCCCAGGAGCTGTATCTCCTCTGAAGTCTTTCTTCCGATGCCACGCTCTGAGCCCCTGGTCCTCCCATTCAGCACTGACCCAACCCAACACACTGGCTCCCAGTTCTGTATCTCCAGCCCTGGGCACCCCCCAATTCCAGACTCACGTGGCCAGCTTCTTTCACATTTCCACCTTGATGCTTCACAGACATCTGAAACTTAGCATGTCCAGGACACAATTCCTGATTTTCCCCTCAAAGCTCTTCTCTCACCAACTTCCCCACCCCACAGCCACTCACCATGCAACTCAAGCCCAAAGTCTACAAGTCAGCCTGGATCCCTGTCTTCCCCTTACCTCTGTATCCAGCCCATGAGCAAATCCCATCCACCCTACCCCTAAAATATATCTCAATCCTGTCCACTCTTCCCCACTTCCTCCATCTCTCTTCCAGTCGGGGCCACTGCCACCTCGCCCCAGGCCTATGCAGTATAGCTCCTTGAGACTCCCCTCCCCACACAGCAGAGATCAGTCATGGCACCCTCTGCCCCAAGTACCCAGAATGCAGTTTCCCACCACAGTCCTCTGTGATGCTCAGCTCTTCCCATTCCTTGACTATGTAATGCTCACTCCTACCTGAGGCCTTTATGCCACCTGCTCCCCACACCTGGAATATCCTCCCCCGGTTTCTGCATGGCTGACTTCATCTTGTCATTCAGGTCTCGGCTACTTGAAGAGGCGGATGTCCTAACCACCCAATCTGACATAGATACCCAGTCACCTTCAAGCATGTCATCTGCTTTTAATTCTGTGTAGCATTTATTAATTGAGGGTTTTTTACTGATGGCTTATTGTCTATCTTCCTCCACAAAAATCTAAGTTTTGGGCCGGGCACGGTGGCTCACGCCTGTAATCCCAGCACTTTGGGAGTCCGAAGCGGGCAGATCACGAGGTCAGGAGATCGAGATTCTCCTGGCTAACACGGTGAAACCCCGTCTCTACTAAAAATACAAAAAAAAAAAAAAGTTAGCTGGGCGTGGTGGTGGGTGCCTGTAGTCCCAGCTACTAGGGAGGCTGAGGCAGGAGAATGGCTTGCACCCGGGAGGCGGAGCTTGCAGCGAGCAGAGATTGAGCCACTGCACTCCAGCCTGGGCGACAGAGCAGGACTCCGTCTCAAAAAAAAAAATGTAAGTTTCATGCACACAGGGACCCCACCTGTGTTGTCACCACCGGAACCAGGCCCATAGCAGGTGTTCAGTGAATATCTGTGGATGACAAAATGAGGGCCTGTGGATGGATTTCACAAGCATATCTTTGAGATTGATTAGGCTGCTAAGTGTCCAGGAATTTGCAGAATGTTTTAGAGATTATCTCTTAGACTATTGTATTCATTCTCATGTGGGCTGAATAAATCTGTTCACAGCAGGTGCCTCTATCTGACCTTACCCTGGTCCCCACAGGCTTCTTCCAGAAGAGCACAAAGGGTTGGGTGGCATAAGAGCTCATAGAATATTCATCCAGATGCCTTCAAGGGAAATAGGAAAATATACAGTGAATAATACTGATGTTATTTATGTGCTTCAAGATCAGTCCCCCTCGACAGGCATTAGTATTCTAGTTCCTTCAGCCCCAGGCATTTCTTGGTAAGAAATATTCAGTGATCCCTAAGAACACGTGAGGTCCTCCCCACAGCTTTATGGAGATACAGTCAAGGCACGGTAGAAGGCAGCTGCAAAGCTCATGGTGCCAGAGAAATGGGAGAGGCCTTCCCACAACCTCAGGCTCTGAGAAGAGCAGGCAGCTAGGACAGGGCAGGCAGACCTGGAAACACCAAAGGAAGAGGCAGCCATGGTGTAGATCCACCTGAGGGCCGTTCCTGAGAGCGGACAGCCCGGCCCCGCCCCAGGAGTGTCCCGTTGTATTTGTACGCACAGGGACGAAACCATTTTAGGATTTGTCTCAAGGCTTAGCCTGACTGGGTCCCTGCTCACCTCCTCACCCTTAGCTGTCTGCCTTCCCGCTCCCCACCCTGCAAACTGACCCCAACCCCTCAACGACCATTTTCCCTTACCTCTGGGACTGTTTTTTATTGCTATGTGATATTTTGACACATGTATACAATATGTAATGATCATATCAGTAATTGAGATATCCATCTCCTCAAATATTTTTCTTTTGTATTGAGAAATTACAATTCTTCTAGTTATTTTGAAATATACAATAAATTGTTGTTAACTACAGTCACCCTACTGTGCTATCAAATACTAGAACTTACTCCTTCTATTTAACCATATTTTTGTACCTATTAACCAATCTCTCTTCATCCCTACTCTCCCTTCTTCACTTTCCAGCCTCTGGTAACCACCATTCTACTCAATCTCCATGAGATCCACTTTTTATAGCCTCCACATATGAGAACATACAATATTTGTCTTTCTGTGTCTGGCTTATTTCACTCAACATAATGACCTTCAGTTCATTCATGTTGCTGCAAATGACAGGATCTCATTCTTTTTATGGCTGAATAGTATTCCGTTGTGTATATATACCACATTTTCTTTACCCATTCGTCCATTGATGGACACTTAGTTTGATTCCATGTCTTGGCTGCTGTGAATAATTCTGCAATAAACATGGGAGTGCAGATATCTCTTTGATATACTGATTTCTTTTCTTTTGTATATATACGCAGTAGTGGGGTTGCTGGAACATATGGTAGCTCAATTTTTAGTTTTTTGAGGACCCTCCATGCTATTCTCCATAGTGCCTTTCCTAATTTAGATTCCTACCAACAGTGTAGAAGTGTTTCCCTTTCTCTGTAGCCTCATCAGCATCCATTAGTTTTTGTCTTTTTGATACTAGCCATTCAATAGTAGCGGGGGTGAGATCGTATCACATTGTGATTGTCATTTGCATGTCCCTGATGATTAGTGATGTTGAGCATTTTTACCTATACCTGTTGGCCGTTTGTATGTCGTCTTTTTAGAAATGCCTGTTCAGTTCTATTGCCTGTTACTTAATCAGATTGAGTTGGTTTTGTTTTTGTTTTTGTTTTTTATTTTTGTTTTTTGCTATTGAGTTATTTGAGTCCCTTATTTATTCTGGTTGTTAATCCCTTGTCAGATGGATACTTTGCAAATATTTTCTCCCATTCTGTAGGTTGTCTTTTCGCTTTGTTGATTGTTTCCTTCGCTGTGCAGAAGCTTTTTCACTTGATGTAATTCCATTTGTCTCTTTCTGCTTTCGTTGCCTGTGCTTTTGAGATTTTACCCAAAAAATCTTTATCCAGACCAATGTCCTGTAGTGTTTCCCCAATGTTTTCTTCCAGTTCTTTCATCGTCTCAGGTCTTCCCTCTAAGTCTTTAATCCATTTTGAGTTGATTTCTGTATATAGTGGAAGATGAGGCTGTGTTTCATTCTGTTGTATAGATTATTCTGGGACTGCTGCATGTGCTGTTTCATCTACTTCAAATGCCCCCTCCTCCTGTCTTCAGGCAAATACTTGCTGGTCCTTCGGCTGTCCATTTAAATATTACCTCATTCTTTTGATACCATTTATTCAACAAGTATTTATTGTGTGCCTATTATTTACGGGGTTGCCAGGAGCTTTTCTGCGTTTTGGAGAAAATGGCAGTGATGAAAACAGACAAAATCCTGCCTCCATGAGCATACGTGGCAGTGGAGGATGAACAAATAAATATGTGATGACGCATAGCGGCAATAAGTATTGTCAGGAATAAGGCAGAAGAGGAGAGCAGAAAAGTTGGGGTGCTTTTTGTAGGAGTAAACAGGAAAGGCTTCTAGGAATACAGGTGCCAGTGGAAGTGGCATTTGAGCAGAGACCTGAATGGCATTAGAGCATGAGGCATGCAGGTGTCTGGAGAAGGGAACTCGGGCAGAGCAGATGATGAGCGCAGAGGCCCTGGGCGTGGGCTTGGCGGGCAGGAAGAGCAAGGAAGCTGTGTGGCTGCAGCAGAAAAATCAGGTGGGCAGGGGTACTGGAGGTCACGGTGAGGAGTTCGGGTTTTGTTCTGACTGACTGTGATGGAAACCACTGGAGAGTGAGAGCCGGGGAGTGGCATGCCTGATTCACCTCCTCCAGGAAGCCCCCCTGGCTCCCAAGGTGTGTGTGCCCACATGGTGCCCTCTCTTCCCCTCGTATCTCACCTCTCAGCACTGAAATCCGCCTCTGTCTGCTCCCCGTCTGTGTGCTCACAAGGGCAAGGGCTGTGCCTTATTCACCGTCACCCTCAGGGTGCCCTGCAGAGAGTCGGTATGCGGTAAATGTGTGTCCAAAGAGCGAGCCCGCGAGCCGCCTAGACCAGCATCGCCGCCCCGCGCCTGGGGCGAGGGGCCTCGCGTGGGTTCGCCAGCGGCGTCCGCGTGCATGCGCGCACCCGCGCGGCGACCGTATAACAGGCATCAGCCTTTCTGTTTTAAAGCAGATCGACCCATCTGAGCAAAAGACTCTGGCCAATCTACCGTGGATTGTGGAGCCGGGCCAAGAAGCCAAGAGGGGCATTAATACCAAGTATGAAACCACGATTTTCTGATACTCGCCGTCCTCCTGTCCTCGCGGTGCCTTGCTCGCCAAGCGGTCCCGGAGCAGGCTTTCCTTCGCGCCTCCGCGTCCACCCAGCCCAGGAGGAAGACTGCTCTGAGCGTGCGGCCTTGTTACGGGCGAAAGGCCACTGGCCATTCCTGGGGAAGTTCTTTCTGCACCAGTGATGGAAAACGCAAGACTTTCCAGTCGCAACCCCTGAGAGGCGTGAGTTGAGATGGGTTTTCCCTGATGCTCCCGACTCCCCTCCCCACCACCTCCCAAGGTATTTCTGATGACTCCGCCCCAGTACTTGCTTTGCTTCATTTGGGGAAAATAATACCTTTTCTTTAAAAAAAAAAAAAAAAAAAAAAAAGTAAAGGGGATCTCTAATACTGCCTAAAAGTATGCTTTCACTGTCAGCAGTTTTAAAGGTGAAATCAGAGCAGCACTACCCCTCCCACCTCCAAAGCATCTGTAAAATCATTCTATCATTGAGTATCGTTTAATGCAAAAGGACAAAAACAACTCCCGTGATATGATTGCCAGGAGATTCTGTTTCCCCATTTCTATATTTGTGGATTTTATATGTAATCACCTATGTCAGAGAAAGAAAACCTTTCAACCAAATGATTGGTTCAAAAGGAAAGAATGATTCAAAGCAGAGGAATTTATTATGCACAGCAAAATGTGTCTTGTATTAAATATTTTTATTAAAAGAATGTTTCATTAATGCATTGATAAGAAAACTAGGTTAGTTGCGAGGGATGTTTCTGGTTTCATTTCAAATAATTAAATTTCTACTGCTACTACCAAGAGGACTGGCTCAGTGGTGGCAAAATACTGGTGATGCTCCCTAGAGCAGGAGGCCCGGAAGTGCTGACGCAGCCATCAGCCTGCCAAGATTGTTTTTTAATCTTCACAGTGTTTTAAAGAACATGTTAAAAAAAAAAAAATCTAGTGCTCCTGCTGTCAAGATTTCTGTCATGGAAACCTTGTTTGAGAAAGGTGTTAATAAAATTCTATTGCAAAAATTTCTTTTTCTAGAAAAAATAAATACAAAAAAAAAAAAGAAGAAATTCCAAAGTAATAAAACTTTTCTTGAGACAAACAAAAAAAAAGTTTGCTTACTATTTGATTAAATAAAATTTACTTACATTTCTTTAAGGTATTTTAATTTTTTAATGTCTCTGTGGAGTATTTGTATGATACCATAATGTATATTTATGTAGAATCAAATTATATAAACAGTACCAATATCATTATAGAAAAAAATAACATTTTAATGTATATTGTTCTAACAATCATATTGTGAATCATTTTGAAGTTCATTATAGCGATATTGATAAATTGTGGAATTGTCTTAATGTTTTTTTATTAACTGACATTATTTTAAACCTAACTGAGATGATCAGTTACATTCATCAGTTGGTGAGTTTTGAAGAATAACTACATTTTATTTCAAACTAACAAATGTATACGGTTTTAGTTCAGTGTTGAAGAATTTTAATACAATATTAAATTACTTGAACTGAACAGTTCCTTGTATATATTTTGCCTATTCACTGTTGATATGTATGTAGCAAAATGAGAGTTAAATAACACTAAAATATGGTACCAGGAGGCAATTGTATAGGAGCAAAGTTAATAGGAGCTTTGCTGAAACAGAAGCATATGTGTAAATAAGCTTGGGCTTCCAGTTATAAATTTTGTAATTTTTGTCATTATTTATATCCTATAAAAAAAGCACACAAAAATAAAACAGAAGTTGTACAGCAGTGGTGCTTGGCATCGTTCTGTGAGCACCTTCCCCACTCCCATTTAGGAGCAGAACCAAAGGCCCAGCCTTCTCAGCATCTACAGCTAAAGGGACTTTTTTAATTGGCAAAATTGTTGAGAAAAGTTGCACAGTTCCAAGTTCAACCAGTCTGAGAAAGATACACAGGCCTCTGAAACTTTAATTTTAACCTAAAGCCCCCACTGCCTTCTTTTAAATATTAAAGCAGACTGTAAGGAGGAATTGTCAAAACAGGCATCTCTAAAAGAGAAAGGACCACCAAACTGGATCACTTTTGTAGCACAGCCTCGATGGTATGTTTGGAAAAACATTATCTACATGGTCATCAGTCCTTTCATTTTTTTCTATACACACAGCAGCCCCATAGACCAGAGCAGGGACGGGAAAAGGAAGGGCTAGGCCTGCAGGGGGCAGATGAGAGGCGGCCCATGCATTGACGAAGAGATTTGCAGCTGATTTTCTTCAAGGGGAAAATTGATACATTGATAACTTCAATAACCATGGGCAGGGGGGGTCATTGAATGCTAACATCATTACTCAAAAAAGGACTTGAATTCAATTACTCCATTTAATTGTTTCTTATTAAATTGTATTCTATGATAAATCTGAGTTAACGAACCCTATGAAAATTATCCCTAGTTAGTTCATTAATAAGTCATGGAAATGATTTTTCTCAAGACACACAAGATTTTTCTCAAGTTGGAATACTTGGGAATATTGCTGGTTCAATGTTTGTTTGGATAAGATGGAGCAGAAGACAGGCTTGGATAAAGGAACACGTGGCCAAATCCTCAAAAATCAATAAAAATTCACACCTGGATTCAAGGTAGCATCACTCCTAATTACTTCTGAAAAGAAATGAAAATTTGATAAGTGATCTAGCCTCAAGAGAATTAGAATATAATGGCCATGTTCAGGAAATCCGTAGGAAGAAGACTTTTTTTAAAAAAAATAACTTTCTAAGTTCTCTTTTTAGATAGGCTAGTCGATCTGAAGGTTCGAAACACATTTTTTGAAATAAAGTTGGGTAACTAACTAGCCAACACAGCCAGCACAGAGTCTACATGCAGCAAGGCCCACTGGCCCACCCCATATTCCAGTCCTAGCTCCCCAACAGCCAGCCAGCCAGCCCCACATTTACTGCCTCTAGGCAAATGGACACAAGCATCTGCCTGCCCCAGCAACAGAGTCCTGCTTCCCACAGAAACCGGTTCCAAAGCCGGCAGAGACGGCGCTTTGAACTTGCTCAGGCCTTTTGACCATCACCATGCTGCATATTGTGACTCTGTTAGTAGCTAGGAGCTGGAACTTAATTTTGTGGTCGAAATAACCCTGAGACCTTGGTGCCAACCAGGGAAATGCCAACTCCACTTAACTGTTTCTGTCTTCCGCTCAAGTCGGTCTACTTATTGAGAACTCACTCTGTGCTTAGCGTGGCATCACTTTCCTTAGAGTTGCTTCTGCAAAGATGGTCATTCTGCAGCCAACATATTGCACTCAGTGTGCAACTCATCAAAAAGCATAGCTACAAATTATTATTAAAACAGTTTTTGTTTTTCTCTCCAAAACCTCAGAGACCTATGTTTGTTTGGGGAAAAAAAAAAAAAAAGCTGCATGGGCATTTAACTTTCCAAGAGTAGTTAACGACCAGTGCTGTGAAGACTTACACATCAGGCTGAAATAAGACATCCTTCATTTGTCATCTCCAATGGGGTCACCCCGGCGGAAGGTGGCGACTGCAGCCGCGGAGGTTTAATCAGGGCTCCTAACTTGGTTCAGACAGTGGAGGAGCGCGGGTATCAGATGACAGACTTCACGAGTACAGATGAGCTAATATGCATGTTCCAAGCCCTGCTATTTAAGACATCTTGAAGTTCTGTCTCATCACCACAGTAAGAGCAAGAGATGGAGTCAGATTTTACAACCAAAGTCAGCTCACAATGTGGTAATAAAAACCATTCAAAGCAATTCATATTCAATACCCAATTTAATTGTCCTCTGGCTGTCTCAGGGCCTCAATCAAGCATCCCAACAGCTGCTCCCCAGGGAGCCTGCCTGCCTGCAGCCCTCCCTCTCAAGTGGCAGTAAGACACGTGGGAAGTCAAAAGGCCCCCAAGTAAGAGGCAGCATCAGCTGTTTTCTGACATTTGAGAGGCGGATTTCTCTCTGATTCTCAAAAGTGCATGCTGAGTTGTCTGAGAGGAAAAAAACAATGCCAGTGTGCTGTGTTGAGTCAGGGGAGACTGAGAAAGAAGAAAGGTACAAGTGGATTCTGAAATCCCATTTTAGCGGGCCGTTTCTGGGGTGTGGGTTTGAGCAGGTTGCAAACTCACATGCCTTCCAAGCCATACAGGTGACATGAGTGAGGGGGATGGGGCTGTGCCTCATCTCAGGGGCAACCACTGCTGAGTTCCAGCTGATTGTTGCCAGGCAGAAAGGAAGACCCTGGGTCCACAGATTTTCTAAGAAATCTGGATTTTCACGCAAAATCGTTGGGTTTTGAAGTGTTGGCAGCAAACCCAGTTTTAAAAAATAAGTGTGAGCCACACAGAACTCATCTGTGGGCTGGGTGTGGTCTATGCATCACTTGTTTGTGAACTTGTTCAGTAGCTTTATGACTTTCTGAGATTCCACAAAGCTTCAGCAACCTTACAGCTAGATGCCCGGTTACTCATCAGGAGAAAGAAAGAGTGTTTGTAGCTGGGGTGAGTGGGTGGAGGAGGCAGAGATTCAGGGGTCGGTGACATTTGTTGAATTGCTGTTATTCACCAGGTTTGTTTTGGGAAGTATCAGTTAGGAATTGAACTAAAGAACTAGTAGCAAAGACCAGCAATAACAATGTCTTAAACGAGGCAGGGGTTGAATTTTCCCTCATGTAACATGAACTTCAGAGATAGGCAGTACAGAGCTGGAATTGTAGCTTTATGATATCATTGAAATCTCAAGATCCTTCTATATTTCTACTCTGCCATCCTTTGGAAGTGGCTTTTAGCCTCAAGATTGCCTCATTGTCACAAAATGGCTGCTGGAGCATCCTCCAGCACACACATATTCCAGGCATTAGAAAAGATGGTAAGGACCATAGGATGGAAGCATTGTCCAGCTGAATAAGGCAGACTTTTAAGAGCTTTCCTGGAAGCTCCACCCCACAACTTCTGCATACAGCTTATTGGCCACCCCTATGTAGGAGGATGGAAAATGTGGCTGCAATTGTTAGTTTTAGCTGAGCACACTGCAGCCCCCAACAATGCAGGGGTTGTTAGTGAGGAAAAGGGGGAGATTGGATATTGCGGTGGTCACTGGCAGTGTCTACTACATTGGGAATCATCACAGTAATAGCTAAAAGGCAAACACAAGCACACACATGTGAGACACTTGAACAGAGAAAGCAGTGCCTGTAAGAGGGATTGGTGATCATCCTGACAGAGCTGCTCTATAAATTAGCCACCAAACCTGAGCAGGAAAGATCCCCACAGCTGGGTTAATATGCACACCAAACATCTGTGCTGTCCAGCAAGCTCCTGAGAATGTTATGGGCAGAGCAGGCACAAAGGGGCATGCTGCATTGGCAGACATCGCAGCATCATGGGCTGTGCTAAAGGAGGAGACTGGCAATGAGTTGGTTGGGCATCAAGGGTGAGAGTAGAGGGCGCTGGCTCTCAACCTCCACTGCACACTGGAATCACCCGGGGACATTTAAAGCCTCCCTAGGAAGTGAATCCTTGAGGAGATTAACCCATTTGCTGAAGTCACACAGCTGGAAAGTCAGTGTAGCCAGGGTTGAACTTAGATCCACTTGACAGCCAAAGCCACACACATACCACCACACTCCCAAGCTACTGGCCCCAGCAACAAGCCCAGGGTCTTTTCTCCCCTCATTCCCAGTCTTCTTTACCACTTGATGGGTGTATGCGTCGCCCAAAGAGAATCAAGTTCGGGATAGTTCAAAAGAAAGCAGGTGACAGCTTTCCTGCTAAGTAAGCAATGTCTGTCTCCTAAAAGCCAATGGCCATAAGGAGAAGGAGGTGGTAGAGGAGGGTGCCTGGAGCTAGGTGTCTGCCATGGAGCAGAAGCAGCAGGGTCGCAATTTGTGAATCATGGAGATTTGGGCAGTACAGGAATGGGGGTTTGTAACTGGGACGAAAGATAAGTATTATGCTGTTTATTGAGATCTATATCAGATTCTTGACATGTTTTTTCTAAGCCCCACAAAAGCCTTGTACATTAGGTTCCCTATTTGACAAATCAGGAAAGTGAGGCTCTGAGGGGCTGCATCTTTTTTCAAATGAAAGGAAAAGGAGAAGGGGGGAGATGCAATCAAGATGGCAGAAGACAGCACACAGATCCACTAACCAAGGCCTGCCACTAATTTGAAATGAATCCCTTAAGAGTTTCAAAGTAGAAACAGGCTTCCCCAAAGGGAAGGCAACAGTAGCTCTGCTACCTTCCTTGCTCAATACCTGAATCATCTGAGAATTGAGAGCAGGTTGGGCAGTGGCCAGGTGCTGGCAAATCCAACGCATTCCCCCCACCTGTCCCATCCATTGGCTTCTATCAGAATGTTCCTGCTGCTTTTTTCAAAGAGCAATCTCTACAGGCACAGATACAAGTTAAGCAGACTACCAAAAGTAGAAGCTCCTTGGGAGCAGACAGCATCTGATGCCTTCTCCGAGAGCTTAGTAGTGATGCATCTGTCCTGATGCAAGTGAGTAACGAATGAAATGCAGAACTGAAGTGATGCTCTTGGACCCTCTAGCCCAGGGGCTTCAATGAGAAGGTACAGGGAGTGTCACCCAGTGGAGACAGAAGGCCGTGGACCAGAAACCCAGCTCCACCACTTGGCTGTGGGGCCCTGGAAACCTAACCTCTCTGCATCTGTTTGCACACCTATGAAAGAGATAACACCTTGCAGCACTGTTATGATTCAGTTAAATAACGTATGGAAAATGCCCAGCCTGTGGGCTTGGCACATAAAAGGCCCTCAAAAAATAGTAGCTCCCTTCCTTCCTTCTAAAAGACTTGGTGTGTCTCCAGAGGTTAATTGACAGCAAGTAGGGCAATAAGCCCAAGATGAAGGGCTTAGTGAAGGGCTCACTGCTAATTGAAGGTGAATATAAGAACATCTCCAAAACCATCACGTAAGCTATTGGATGACTTTCCCCAGCTAGTGAAACCAAGCCTTATGACCCCTAGGCTGATGTCATCTGCCACTGAACCCAGGAGTATTCTACTTCCAGTTGTGACTGACAGGTGACTTACAAGCCTAAGAGTCTTGGCCTTTCTATCTATAAAGAATAGCAGATTTGGATTCTAGCCCTGGCTTTGTCACCGATTAGCTGCTGGGGTTTAGTTCTTCCTCTATCTAAAAACTGAAGCTGCAGTCTGCAGATCCACTCAACTTCTGTGAAGATAAATGAGAGTTGGGCAGTGCCTCGAGTGGAGCGGCGATAAACATTTGAATGAATGCGAACGTGTGCTCCTCAGAACAGCAGGAGTCTCCACTCACCTGCTCAGTTTTCCAGTTTGATCGGTTGCTCTGAACCCCCAGACCCAAACTCAGGCCTCGACCACCCTCTCTAGTTACATATTCTAGCCCTGGGTGATGGAAATTACAGAGGCAGATTTTTCTATTCATTTCTATGTGATAAGGAGCATTCCCAGTTCTGGGGGCCTGACCTCATAAATGAATTTACAAAGAACACCAGTGACTCATTTTCCTGAATCTTAATTGAAATGAAAATTTCCCAAATTCTGGTTTTCTCACATCATTTGACTCAGGAGCAAGTCATTGTTGATGCCAGAGGACTTCAAAGGCCTGGTCTCTGCTACGTCTCAAATGTGACCCCCTTCTTCTGCCCCTCTCGTGTGAGCATATACAGTAATTCTTCTATAGTTAAACTCATAGCCCAAGAGCAGCAGATTTTCTAATTCAGGCATTTTAATAACTGTATAGTATATCCACGGTCCCAAGGGGAGTGGTTATGAGCAAGGAATGTATTCCAGTGACAATCTTCAAAGACTAAGAATTATTAGAAAATCATTTTCTCCTTCGTTAAAGTTCAGTGAGTAAATTATAATATAAAATGTCTGTGGAATAATAGATGGCCATACTTGCTGACTTAAACACTCCAGGGATATGTTTATTCATTTTATATAATTTGGTAGCAAACCTCTTTTGTCCAAGTAAAGTTTTACTTTCCCCTAATGATGTTTCACAGAAAAAGGCCAAACTAAAACGGCAAGATAAAATGCTGGTGATATGCTACATCTTCATTTGACAGCCTCATGATATCCTTATGGAAAGGAAGAACATAGACTGTGTTATGAACACGTGGGCAAATTCATCCCATGGAACTCAGGAGATGAATTCCAGTCATCCAACAAGTGTTTACTGAGGCCCTCATTGCAATGCTAGGCTCATGTTAGACTCTATACAGTCCTGGCTTTCAAGGAGCTTACGATTTACTGGGGACCTCAATAAGCAAGCAATTCCAAAACAACAAAAGCCATGACAGAGAAAAGAGAATGCTAGGAGAGGGCAGGGCAGCCCTTCAGCTCTTGAGGGTCATCTTAAAGAATTTGTGAAACATAGGGAGTTAGCGGGGAAAAGAAAATCGGTGAGAGGACAGCATAGAGAAAACAGTGTACACAAAGCTACAGAAGAGAACTTGGAGCAGGTCCAGGGTTTAAACAGAAGTGTAAACACAAAGTTTAAACAGAGAAGTTTAATGTGATTCAGATGAGTGCTCTGGAAAGATCATGCAGAAGGGCACAACTGGAGGCAGAGATGGCAGCTGGGGCTGTTGCCAGGCAAAGAGGAGGGAGCTCAAATGGCATTGCAGAATGTCCCCTGAGCGGTCTCTTAGTGCAGGCAATGAGATAAGTGCTTCAGGAGCTTTATCTCATTAAATCCTACAACAATCTGGAGGGAGGAACGGATCCTCATTTTTCAGATAAGACAACTGCTGATACTGTCCTGTTTTCTTATCATCTGTTGTCCCCATGATCTCTCAACAACTCAAATGTATTTACTTATTGCTTCCTCTGCTGCTTAAAACAGTGCTTGGCATGCAGATGCTCAAGGAGTACAGGATAGATAGGTGGGTGAATGAGCAGACTGATCAAGGACTACAGACAAGAAGACGTTAAGGGGCCCATGCCTGCTGCATTCACTGTACTTACCACACTAATTTGCAACTCTTAGTCTCTGCTGGTCCTTTTTAGTCTCCTGGGCTTATCCCTCATCCCACTGATCTCCAGACTGCCCTGGACTCAGTCTTGGGGCCCCCTGTCTTTTCTATCTACACCCACTTCACTGCTGATTTCATCTACTCCTCTGATTTTAAATACCATCAATTCACTGATGACTCTCAGATTTCTACCTCCTGGTGGAGCTTTCCCATGAACTCCAGAGCCTTGCATCCCGCCTACTCAGCATCCCCACCTGGATGTCTCGTTAACGGGCATCTCAAACTTACCGCGTCCGCAAAGCTGCTTTCATTGTCTTCATCTCAGCTGACGGCAACTCTCTTCTTCCAGTTGCTCAGGCTAAAACCTTGCATCATTCTTTTCTTGTCTCTCTCACAACCTTTATCCAATCCATCAGCAAATCCTATTAACTCTTATCTTCAAAATATGTCCAGAATCCAACTTGTCACAAGCTCTGCTGCTGCCACCCTAGTCTGGCCCACCTTCATTTTGTCCGGATGATTACAAAAGCTTCTCACTGGTTCCCCTTTCAGTTGATTCCCACTGCCTGGGTGATTCGTTAAAGCTTAAATCAGACCACTGCTCAAAACTCCTACACTGGCTCCCAGAGTCAAAAGTGAAGTCCTTACTGTGGCCTAAGAGGCAGCCTCCGGTGCTACCCCAATTCCTCTCTGCCTCTCCTGTTAGACTCCTCACACTCACCCTTCTCCAGCCACATGGGCCGTCTGGCTGCTCCCAGAATACACCAACCATCCCACTGGAGTCTGCACCTGCTGTATCCTTCAGAATGGTTTCCCGACAGATGCATAGCTCACTTCCTCACATCTTTCAGGTCTGTACAAGTGTCAGCTTCTGAAAGAGCCAGTCCATCTAAAACCGTAACCCCTTCCCCTCCGCTTGTACATACCACCAAATTCACTATAGATTTTACTTATTTACTTTTTCTGCCTCTCCCTGGCCCTTAACTGCAGTAGAGCAAGACTTTTGTTTTGCTCACTCCTGTGTTCCCAATACCTACCACAATGCCAGGCACATGGTACATCTCAATATTTATTAAACAAATGCATGAACAAACTAAGTGAATAAATAAATGAATTCTCTTTTTTACAGGATCTTCTTCATGCCAGCCATACCGGGCAGGAACCATCAGAGAGACACACTGAGGAGGCACTCAGAAAATTTTGATAGAATTGAATTTACATATAGCTGATAAAGCCTAAATAGAAAGGTTGATGTATTTAGCTTGAATCCTTCACTTTAGTGGTCTAATCAACAGATAAATGACAAGCAAAGAATGAAACAATCCAAAAATGTTTTTCAAAACAATTTTGTGAATTTTATTTTTACAAAAATTTTTTAAATTCATATTTTAAAATGTATACCAAGGCAAAAAAATCATATAAGCTATATCATAAATACAAGAGTTTCAAAACATACAAGAGACATATAATGTAAAAAAAAATTATATATATGAAGTCCAATGTAATTTATAATACAAAAAAATACAGCAAGGGAAAATGCTTTAGAAATGCTCATCTGCAAACTACAAAACAAAATCCTCCTCTTGACCGACTGCATGAACTGCCATGAAATTTGCAGCTCCATCATACTAGGTATCTCTTCTTTCTTCATGTTACCTTGTCTTTCTTCCCATTTTTCTTTTAAGACAGGGTCTTGCTATGTCACCCAGGCTGGACTCAAACTCCAGGGCTCAAGGAATCCTCCTGTCTTAGCCTCCCAAGGAGCTGGGATTACAGGCACGTGCCACCGCACCTGGCTCCTAATTTCTTTTTAAGACAAGGGCCATTCAAGGCTTTTTAAAACCTGATGTGTGTTGTTATACTTTATAACAGTCAGTGGCTTTTAATTCCAAAAGGTAATACTTTATACTCTGCCTACATGAGATGAGCCCCTAACAGTGTGTACAAATAAAATTATGATTTGGGTATTCTAAGGAGACATACCATTTACAGAAATTTCTTTTGATAAAATTAAGGTTTCACTTTTCACATTTGCTTAAATCACAGTAAGCCTGTAAACTAGCTCCTTGACCCACCATTTAAAAACAAAAAACCTCCTTAACAATGCAAAGGATTGTATTCACTGTATTTATGATTCCATCAAAGGCTAAATAGCTTATCTAAAATACATCTGAGTGATCTATTCCCTTACCCTCTCCCCGACCTACCCCACAGTTATACTAATATGCACCAACAATAAAAACAAGTTATCTACTATTAACACTAGTAATCATTTGATTTAGTTCCAGTTACAGAAACAAAAAAAATCTTTGAATTTTGATTATATTTTCTGGGAACCACATCTACTATTAATTTATCTCCATTGCCCTTAATAATATATTTCAGAGAAAATGTTTCTTTAGATTTACGCTTCAACTAAAGTTCCTGATCAGGAGGTCAAAAATAGCTAGTTATTGAGTTTTTTCCCCTGTCAAAAGCTATTTTTCCTGATTAACCTTGGAGATAAAAGAAGAGAAAGGAAAGAAGGAAGGAAAAGAGGATGAGAGAGACAAGGGAAAGGAAAATAGGTTGGCTGGAAGGTTAATCTTCTAGAGTTACAGTGACTCATCTGGAATTACACAGAAAACCAGAGAATTCTCTTGAAATTCATTAAAAGAATGGCATTCACAATGCCATTCATCTAAAAGTAAATGGAATTAGATGAAAATTGTTCTATTTCACATTTCTTAGAAAAATCTTATTAAGGCTTATGATTAAAATTGGCCCCACCTCAATGACTAACATTTAGCAGTGGAGAAACTGCTTTTTAAAAAAGAAAAAAGTGAGGATTAGGAAAGATCAGGTTTCATTCAAGTAAGAAGTCTGATATGTAAGAAACAAGAGGGAGCAGGAATAGTGTCCAACTCAGATACTGACAACTAGAGTCCAGATATGGCACAGGGCTGCCAGCAGCTACAGTGAGAAAAGGGTAGACCAATAAAATCTACTCTTTCCAACATACAAGTTTTACTTCACAAAAAGAACTGCTGAAGGCCAGGCCAGTGGCTCATATCTGCAATCCCAACACTTTGGGAGGCTGAGGCAGGAGGATTACTTGAGGCCAAGAGTTCAAGACCAGCCTAGACAACATAGTGAGACCCTGTCTCTACAAGAAAACTTAAAAATTAGCTGGGTGTGGTGGCTCGTGCCTGTAGTCTCAGCTACTTGGGAGGCTGAGGCAGGAGGATTGCTTGAACCCAGGAGTCTGAGGCTGCAATGAGGTATGATTATGCCACTGCACTCCAGCCTGGGTGATAGTGCAAGACCCTGTCTCCATTAAAAGAGAAGGGGCCTGGCCAGGCACGGTGGCTCACGCCTGTAATCTCAGCACTTTGGGAGGCCAAGGCGGGTAGATCATGAGGTCAAGAGATCGAGACCATCCCGGCCAACATGGTGAAACCCCGTCTCTACTAAAAATACAAAAATTAGCCTGGCATGTGCGCACACCTGTAGTCCCAGCTACTCGGGAGGCTGAGGCAGGAGAATTGCTTGAACCCAGGAGGCAGCGATTGTGGTGAGCCGAGATCGCGCCACTGCACTCCAGCCTGGCAACAAAGCAAGACTCTGTCTCCAAAAACAAAAAAAAAAGGTGGGGGGGCCTGCTAAATCCAAGACTCACTTATTGAGTCAATTAAAGGAAATGCTGCAGACTATGCACACAGACACAATATTTTTAAAGCAAATTTAAAGAGTGCAAAAAACCTCTAAGATTGTATTTAGGAGAACAAAACCCCCTTGGGGTAAGTGTGGTTCAAAAAGCAGGCCACTGCTACCCTGAGGCACAGCCTGCATAACAGTAATAAATACAGACAGTATTAAAATACCAATTTCTTCCAAATTCTTCTCATTAATTATGTCAACCATTTTGAATGCATCAAGACAGAATTTTACCAACAGTACAACAAGGTATGTATTCACATTTTCATTTGCATCCTAAGGACAAACTGTTAATGATGATCATGAAAAACAAGATTAAAGGTATGTTCATTTGGGAAAAAGCTACATTAATATTATTCATCCAACCACAAACACTTTTGTAATGAATGCAATACTGCACAACAATTAAGAGCTTTATAAAAAGTTGATATCAGGGTTTCATTAGAATTTTTTTCCAATTCAAAAATTTAAAAAGTTCAACTACATTAATGCTTAACTATTTTATTCTAAAGTCTGTAAAATATATAAAATACCAAGATTATCCACAGTCACATATGTTTTGAAGTCAGGGGACACGTGTATTTTCTTAAGATTGGTTCCATTTGTGTAGAAGGTCTGTGAGGATTCCCCAGTGACAACGTTCCACCACTGTTCAGAGAAAAATAAAATTCTCATTAGATTGGTAATTACACTGTGTGACAATTTATAGTGCCAGCAGATCCTTTACCCTATCTCCTCCCCCCAACCGAACTCAAGCAAACAGGAGGAAAATGTCTCGGATTTAATGCTGAATATACTATTCAACCTGGTCAGCCTCTTCCTGATGAACACTGGTGATGGCCTCACTGCTCCGCCTACACCCAACTCCAACCGTTGAGTTGTGCTGGAGAAACATGCAGCCTGCTTGAGAGCTGCAGACAGGAAGCTATAGAGTCCATTACAGCAGTGGCCAGACTCAACTCTCTTGTCTGCATGTCCTTCTCGGGAGAATGGGCAGAAGATTCCCCCTCTCTTCACTCAAATGCCCCTTTGCAGACACAGACTGGTATTCTGACAGAGACCCAAACTATTCATAATATGGGCTACAGGAAACAATGTTCTCTCTACTGAATCTTCCCTTTCCCCAGGTGTGATGCAAGAGCCCTTGACCAAGTTTCTTTATAAAATAATCTATATTATTTATTTACTAAACAAATACTGAACATCTCAAACGTAGCAAGGGCTGTAGCCAAGTCCTTCCTTTCCTTCCCAATCACTGAATTTGCTTATAATATTTATATTCATTTAACAAATGGGAATCATAAAGTTTACCCATGAATCTCACAGCTAAAATGGGGGCAAGAGACAATACATGTAAACTTATTCTGAAAAGGCCTCAAGCTCACCATGATCCTGAGTATTATGAACACAGTAATAGTGTCACCCACCTTTGTGCCTATGGCAGTACCTAGCATTTTGTCTTTCCCATGTGAGTGGGTCAAGTAAGCATGTTCACTATTAGTAATAGTAACTGCTAAAAGTATACCCAATGGACTTTGGTAAACCTCACTGAACCAGCATGCACTAACTTGGGATTTTCCAGAACTCACAAGTTTGCTTTGTAAAATAACAGTGTAATCAAGCACATTCCACCAACCTGAGATTCATTTGTTTTCAGTCACTAAGGCTCTTAGAGATCACTTAGTTCAACTACCCGAAAAATGTACAGCACCAAGAACAAACCCTAATTACGGACTGTGGGTGATAATGATGTGTCAATGTGGATCCATCAATTGTAACAAATGCACATCTCTGGTGGGGGGATGTTCATAATGGAAGAGGCTATGTGTTTGTGGGGGAAAGGGGTATATGGGAAATCTGTGAAATGAGTTAGGTATTATCATTACATCAATTTACAGATAAGAAAATCAAGGCACAGAAGTTAAACAATCTTGTGCAAGGTCACAAAGCTAATGAGTGGCAGAGGCAGGCTTTGAACTCAGGCAGCCTATCTCAAGGCCAAAAGCCCACTCTCCTGACCATTACACTCTGCTGCCACCAAGTCATGGCACACCACCATTTATCACCATGTATTCCATACTTCAGATCAGCTTTCCCTTCATGCACATGAATTAATGTGAATTTCTTGTCATTCAGTATGTACTCTGTGGCATAATGCAGGTAAACAGCTAAATTATTTTTTCACTTATAAATAGGAATAATTTGGAAGTTAAGAACTTTTTAAGCTTCTGGATACCTACTTTATCTTACTGGCACTCAATTTATACAGCTTGGATTCTAAAGTAAACAGGCTCAAAAGGCCTATTTTCTTGGACACTACAGCAGCTGTTCCTTTTTACTTTTAATTTGCTCTGTGCTTTTGGATAGTCTCATTAACATGCTGGGTAGATGCAGGCTGGGCTATATCATAATCAGTTGAATAAGCTAGTAATCAAACCAGAAGGCAAAGGCAGCCTGATTGTCATTTAAATATACAAACTAAATACATAGGCTAGAAGTTCTTTCACCCTTCAGACATAACATCTATACTATGTAAACCTATTCTGCTGCTTTATTTCAAGGTTCCCCAAGAACTCTGCAAATATGGTCACTGATCTTTGTAACATCTTATAAACCAGACTCTCAATTATGTGATGGAATTCTGTGGAGGCCAGAGAATCAAATGATGTGGTCTCTAGAAACTTGGTGTCAAAGCTGAGCAGTTAAATTTGTCAGCAGCTAATATAGCCGAAGACTCCCCAGCTTCCAACACAGACAGCAATGACTCTCCTCTAAGCATCATCCCCAGAGCAGACTGAGTTCTAGTTTATCTTTACACTAAAGGAGAACAATTGGTGGTCATTTCTCAGGATCTCCTAATAACTGAATAAAGATGTAGGTTAATGCAACATTTTGTAAACAGAATTGTGTTTTCAATGAAACCTTGTAAAGGGATAACATACATCCTTTCTTTTTTAAAAAAATTTTTATTGATAATTAAGTTGTACATATTTTGGGGGTACATGTGATACAATGTGTAATGATCAAATTAGGATAATTGGGATATCCACCTCAAATATTTATCTTTTCTTTGTGTTGGGAACATTATAATTCTTCTAGCTATTTTGAAATATACAATAAATTGTTAACTATAATTTCCCTACTGTATTATCAAATACTAGAAATTACTCCTTTTGTTTATCTGTATTTTTGTACCCCTTAGTACATCCTTTCATAAAGCTAAAAACTGTCCTCTAATTTATCTTTTTTATAAGCTAGATTCTTATGGTGGTAAAATTGCAGCTGTGTGGGTCTCATGTAACCAAAACACCAGTCATTCAAATATTTCCAAACACTTATCCTGCCTTAGACAATTAATGAGAATCATCTCCTACACTTGAATGTTTTCAGTAAGAAATAACAGTATCATAAGATCTTATTAGGAATCAATTTTGAATGAAAAAGCTTTCAGAATGTCCAAGTGATCAGCCCAATATAGAGGAGTCCCCAGTCCCTGGGCCATGGACCGGTACTGGTCTGTGGCCTTTTAGGAACCCATCCGCAGAGCAGAAGGTGAGCGGCTGGTGAGTGAACATTACCACCTGAGCTTTGTCTCCTGAGAGATCAGTGGTGGCATTAGTTTCTCACAGGAGCAAGAGCCCTGCTGTGAACTGCACATGCGAGGGATCTAGCTTGTGCACTCCTTACGAGAATCTAATGCTGATGATCTGAGGTGGAACAGTTTAATCCTGAAACCATTCCCCGCTCCCCACTTCCTACCACCACCCCATCTGTGGAAAAATTGTCTTCCAAGGAAACCAGTCCCTAGTGCCAAAAAGGCTGGGGACCGCTGATATAGAGTATCATCTTCTACCACTTTTACAAGTAAACTGCTATTCAAAAGACTCACTTCAAGCATTCCCCTCCAGGTGAAGCCTCTGCTAACTCTCTGAGGTTGGTCTGGTCACTCCTCTCCTTTGTGCTTCCACCTCCCTCATGAAAGCATGTCCCAGACCCCTTCTAAACTTTAGGGACTTTATTGGTTTACCACCTGCTTCCCCCATAGACTGTAAGCTGCTGAAAGGCAGGAACCAAGCCATAAACATTGTGCCACAGAGCAGTAGCTTAGCACACACTGGACATTCAACACAGTCTTTTTGAGTGGATAGATAAAAGATACATCAAAAAAACACCAAAAATATGACCCTGAAGCACCACAACACATTCAAATTGCGGCCTCAATCACTAGTAAGTTTTAAAAAGCCAATTAGCTAGAGAAAGCAGAGGCAGAGACCTGGGTTTGAGTCCTGGCTTTTCTATTTACTAATTATGTAACTTTATTTTTGGTTTTTTTGTTTGTTTGTTTTTGAGATAGTCTCGCTCTGTTGCCCAGGCTGGAGTACAGTGGTGTGACCTTAGCTGACTGCAACTTCTGCTCCCCCGGGGTTCAAGTGAGTCTCACCTCTCAGCCTCCCAAGTAGCTGGGACTACAGGTGCCCGCCACAAAACCCAGCTAATTTTTGTATTTTTTAGCAGAGATGGCGTTTTGCCATGTTGGCCAGGCTGGTCTTCAACTTCTGACCTCAAGTGATCTGCCCGCCTTGGCCTCCCAAAGTGCTGGGATTACAGGTGTGAGTCACCACACCCGGCACTAATTATGTAACTTTAGGAAAGTTATAACCTCCATAGAAAATCATTTTCCTCATCTGTAAACCAAGAATGAAATTTAAGCCTCAAAAAGCTGGCTAGTAAGATGAGGGGAGTGAAGCGTTTTGTAAACTATAAAGCCATATACTGCTGCTATTATTATTACTGAAGAAATTTCAAAAATATGTTTTTTTAAAGATTTTCAACCAACATAGTTAATTGTGAATGACATGGAAAACAGAACTAAGTTAAACACCCAACTTGCTAGTCATTCTAATGCCCCAAGTTTAGTATGAGGCAGTATGACAGCTCTGGATTGAGGGCATCCCTGCCACTGTCACCAAAGCTTCCCCAAGATCTGAGGAAAGCAGTCTTGTGGATCTCAGTTTCATCACTACAAAATGGGGATAATAGTAACTGCCTTTTTTTTTCTTTTCCTTTTTATTTATTTTTTTAATTAATTAATTAATTAATTTATTTATTTATTTATTTTCTTTTTTGAGACAGAGTTTTGCTCTTGTTGCCTAGGCTGCAGTGCAATGGTGTGATCTCGGCTCACTGCAACCTTCACCTCCCGGGTTCAAGCGATTCTCCTGCCTCAGCCTCCCAAGTAGCTGGGATTACAGGCATATGCCACCACGCCCGGCTATTTTTTGTATTTTTAGTAGAGACAGGGTTTCGCCATGTTGGCCAGGCTGGTCTCAAACTCCTGACCTCAGGTGATCCGCCCACCTTGGCCTCCCAAAGTGCTAGGATTACAGGCGTGAGCCACCGTGCCTGGCTTTTAATTATTTTTTAAAGTTTTTTCTGGTTCTTTTTTGTTTTCAATATTTTTTTCTGTTCTTTTCTTTAGTTACTAAACTCATTTTACTGCCAGATTTTTTTTTTTTTTTTTGAGACAGGATGTCGCTCTGTCACCCAGGGTGGAGTGAAGTGGCGCAAGCATGGCTCAAAGCAGCCTTGACCTCACAGACTCCAGCGATCCTCCCACCTTAGCCTCCGGAGTAGCAGCCTTTTTACTCTGCTGGGTTGTAAAAGGCCCAACTGAGAAACAGGAAGTGAAAATAGCTTGGAAAGTATGATATAGGCTATTATTTTCTTTCACAGTTCTTGGGGAACTCTTACCTTAATATATCCTCCAGCAGAGATAAGCATTTTGCCATCTGGAGAAAAGCAAAGGTCAGTCACCCAGCCTCCATGGGTAGCAGCTCCTTCTTCTGAAAGCGGAGCACACAAATGAAGAAGCTCACCGTTTGAGACATTCCATATCTACATAAACATGATACACAATTCATTAACAGAGTTATCCAGAAGCTTCTCTGGTTTTAAAACATATATATGTCCATATATATGTATTCTAAAATTATTTTACTAGACTTTATTATAAACAACCCTAACACAGATACTAATATTGCCATTTATTTCCAGTGGCATTTAATATATAAGCAGTGCTCTAATTTTTCAAATAAAGGTACACCAGAATAAGAAAAAGAAACAGAGGCATAAATGGTAAAAGAAAATTAAACAATCATTTGTAAATCTCTCCCTAGAAAATCCAAGAGAACCGAATGGAAAAACTCATTAGAAACAGTTCAGTAAGGTAGTACATATACAAACAAAAATCAGTAACTTTCCTATATTCTGAATAATCAGGGAGAAAAAAATTTTTTTAATGTACCAACAAAAATTTTTAAAATAACACAATTTTAATGGAGACAACTTTTTCCTGCAGTGGTTGAAAAATGAAACACCGCCTCATAACTGGGAAAGGAGCACTTTCATCCAAAGACGCGAACTCAGAGCAAAATGAACATTTCCAAAGCAGCCCTGCCACTTCAGCTGACACACATTTATGTGACTGGTAGAGAGAAGGTTGGTTACTTAGTCCTCAAGAAGAAGAATCTTAATTTCCCTGGAAAGCCCATCTGATAACACCTCTGTTCCTGCAAACTGTATACTCTCCTAGTCTTCTGCACTATATACCTGTTCCTGGAGTTTTAGATCCTCCTTTGTAATGAAAGGGGGAAAACCCCATCTTCCTCATCTACACTGGTTACCAAAGTAGTCATCCCAATACCCAAACTTTTCCAATCGGCTCCCCAATTCTTCTGACACAACTAGGTCAACTGACTCCTTTTCCATAATTTCTAATCTTTCAGCATGCAATTCTTTCCATATGGTACTATATTTCCACAGACACAGAGAACAACATTCTAAGCCTCCTAAAAAGATTGTTTTCTAAAAGTCAAAATTATATATCTAAAAAAAATAGATTGTTTTCTAAATAAAATTGGCATGGTTTGTATGTATATCTTAAGCACTGCAGGGTAATAAAAACTGGCCTAGCATGCAGACTGTGACTCAATTAGGAGCCCTTCGCTGCCCCACAATGACGGAAATGTGAACCTCTGCACTGTTTAACAGGCAGGCAGTCCACAGAGGACTGCAACAAACCACACTGGAAATGGCTATCAAATGGGTATAGTGCTAAAGAGATCTTTTCTTTCAGCACAGAAAAAGCAGAATTTGCAATTCATTTATAATCCAGACCATAATTTACAAAATTATTTTCCTCAAATTCTGCTACCAAAAACCTTTGGTTCAAGTCCAAGAATTAAGATGAATCATTCTCAAGCTAATGGCAGAGAATGAACTACAAATGACTAGAGCACTTGCTTCCTCACATATACAGGGAATGCTTCACTCTAACTCTAAAATGAATCCGTTTCTGCAGTGGAGTGCAGCTGTGAATACAATGTGCACAAGAAACAAAAAGAATGCCTCATCCAACCACAACTTCAGGACTATGCTTCCCTGGCCCGTGAACAAAGGTCCCCACTGTGAACAGTGCTAGCCCAAGCTACAAGAAGAGCAGTGCTCTCATGTCAGCAAACAGCCTACCCTGATTTCTCCATTGTCATCTCCCGTTGCCAGCAGGGTACTGTCCACAGAGAAGGCAGAGCAGCGCACACAGCCGTTGTGGCCCCTCAATTCATGAAGTGGCAAAAGGAGATCAAAACTCCAGATCTGGAAGGCAATTAGGATTGTTTAGCAATGCTATAAACACTCAAAATAAGCATCTGCCTTGATTGCTATTCAGCCATAAATTCAATCACATGGACATTCTAATATCTGGCAATTCATAAACTGTCATGAGATGCCCAAGTTCCAGCATGCAACCTTGTTAATTTTTCTGAGTTTCCCTTTATTTACTCAAGTTAAATTCAGCTCAAGGATCAATGTCACTCCTTCCTTAATTTAGACCTAGACAGAAGAACACTGAATCAGCTAAGAGCAGTCTGTGGAGTGAAGCAGACCTGAATGTGAGTGCTAGCTCCACTGTTCACTAGATTCTTGTGACTAGGACAACTCATATAAGCTTCTATAGCTTCAGACACGGCATCTGTAAAATGAGGACAATTGTACCTATGATGTGAAGATTAAATGAGATTATAGAGAGTGAAATTACTAGCATGTGACAAGTAATCTTTAAATGTTAGTCACTATACTAGCCTACTTCTTGGCAGCCAAATGCTATTTTTTTTTTCTTTCAATATTGTCTCATGGTTTTGTCAACATCATTTAGCAACCACATACTGAAAACTACCAAGTTCCAAGCGCTGTGAGCTAAGAACTAGTGGTACAAGAAGATAAACTAGCTACAGTCACTATCCTTGAAAAGTTTATAGTTTAATCACAAAGACAGGCTCACGAACAGTTAGTGAACAGTTGTATGAAGTAAATGTTCTAACAAATGAATAAAATGTAATAGAAACACTGGAGGTAGAGCAGCTAACCTTGCTTGAGGGTCAGGAAACGCTTCAGAAGAGCTGCCATCAAATCTAGGTCTAGAAAGATGAGTCATAATGCTTCAAGGTAAAAGAGTAGAAGGTTTATCAAACCAAAGTTAGCAGCATGCACAAAAAGATGAAGTTGGAAAGTAGGCTGGCACAGAGGAAACAATATAGCAGAAAAAGATGGTGAGGAGCTAAGTGGTTGGCCTATAAACCGTTAGGTAATAGGTGTTTCAACAAGGGACACAGGCAGTGGTATGGAAGATAAAGTGGAAGAGGTGCAGACCAGAGGCAGGATGCTGGGACAGTTCACCAGTGGAGGAGGAGGAAAGCATGCTCTTCAGGGTGGTGACAAAGAGGAGAAGATAACTCTAAGATGCACTAAAGAGTCATCAACAGAGCACAAAAGACAGGATACAGCCCTGACAATTCCAAGGTTTATAGTTTGGAAAGACTGGTAGAAGGAGAAAAAAGGAGAGAAGAGAGTACTTGAGGTCCCCCACCAAGCAGCATCATTCACCAGAATGTGATTTTAGACACACGTCAATTATATTACATTAATTATATTAAAATTGTATTGTCAGTGTATAATTAAATGTAAATGCTTTTCAATGATTTTTATTGCCTACAATATGCAGTAGAGGTTGCATTTGATTAGTTATAGACAAAAAGTAATCCATAAGGGAGAAATCAGAAGTCCTCAATGTATTTCATTTCATTCATTTGATACCAACTAAATGCCAATGGGCATCCTCCAAAAGATCACAAAATATGAAACAGACATGTAGAGAGCAACTGTTATGTCCTTTTGCATATATTATTTGAACTCATTATACATAACCACTACCAAAGTTTTATGCATGGTTTCAATTGATTGACCTACCTTTGCAGTCTTGTCAGCAGAGGTAGATGAAAACTTGGTAGCATCGTGAGAAATGTCACAAGAAAGTACTGTACCCTGGTGACAGACAAAGTCTTTTTCTTTATTTCCAGTAATAATATTCCATACCTTAAAAAAAAAAAAAAAACACTTGGAGGTTGACACTTTTAAGAACATTTTATATTAAAAAGCATAATCAGCTACAAGACAGGTCTATAAAACAAGAGTTTTAATACACTGGCTGTTCTGACCCCTTTACTTTAAATGTGACTAACAGTATAAATGCTCATTAAACACAGCAGATGTAGGTGACTGCAATTAACAGAAAACAAGCATGAGAAAAATTAAAAATTTTTAAGTAAGTAATTAGCCTCACAGTGGCTTTTGACTGTCTCAATATAATCATTGCAATATGAGAATACTTTTTCAAAAAACAAATTTATACTTTAAATTACCTTCACTGTTCCATCAAATGACCAAGAAAGCAGTCTTGAATTTTTCAAGAGTCTAAAGTCTTTCACTGTTTCCTGATGGCCTCGTAGAAAGATACATTTGTCCAATTGCCAATTCCATACCTGAATATCAAAGAAATAAGTCTGTTATAATCCTCCCCCGATCCTATCTCATTGGAGGGGTGGAGAGAGTGTACATTCTCTTGTCTAAAGTCTTTTACTCACATGGCATTTCAGTAAAACAGAGAGGAATAAGAGAGAAGACTGTGGTGTCCACATTTTACAGACAGAAGCTGCGGTTATGTAAATTGACTAGGGGCAAAATAAAATACTTTTCCTCCTAAATAAAATTTGTTTTCTTCAGTTGCTTGGAGAACAGTTAATTATACCAGAAGATAGAAAAAAAAAAACACACAATATGCCAGTGAGCTCACCATCTGATTAAATTTTCCTGAGAAAATTATCCTAATTACATAGTCACAGATTTCTGAACCTACAAGCTGGGGAAGTCTACAGATCCTGGCCCCACTGAAGCTGGCCTGGGAAGGCCAGTTGATCAAAGCAGCTTCAAACCAAAACACAAGAGTTCCCAAGCTTCAAATATCTCAGCTATCCCCCATCGCAATCCTCAAAATGACGGAAGTGAGAAGGCATTGTTTTTCATGTGGAGCTTCAGGAGGAGCTCCTCAGACATAAGGAAAGGGGTGGGGGGAATGAAATAACATGAGTAACTAGCACAAAATATGCATACAAACGTATCTGAGACACAGAGGTACACAGAAGTTTATTTTTATGCTATGTCTATGTAAAGGACATTTCTTAATTACTAAAAGCAACTGTATTTAGAGCTTTATTAATACTTGACTTCAAATTAACTTATTTAATAAATGTCTATTTAGTACCTATATGCAAGGCAAATAGGAATCAAACAAGGATCTAGCATAAAGAAACTTAAGAGTTTAGCAAAGAAAATGAGAAATACAACAACAAACCCAAAAAGTCCTACAATAGAAGATACAATGATAGAGATAAAAGTTCTGTGAAACTCAAAAAAAGTAATTCCTTAGAGAAAATTTGGAGATAGCACATTCAAAGTAGGCTTGAGGAATGGGTTTAAAGTGTGATTCACAAACTGAGAAGGGTTCTTCAAAGGGAATAAATGTTGGAGTTAAAGTATAGGAGCAGGGAAACGTGAAAAGGGACCTGCTCATGAGTCCATCTGACTAGAGCATAGGAGACGCAGAAGAAACAGAAGAGAAAAAAGGTTGGGAAGGTATCCAAAGAAACAGCCCCGTGGGCCTGATGAAGCTAAAATTCTGAGGTATGGGAAAACAGGCCAGCTCCAAAAGAATAAAAAGATAAAGAAAAAGCAGCCACAACTACAGGTATGCACATGAGTAACATTCTGAGTCTAGCTTTTTATTGGCCAATGCTAAACAGCAGAAATATCTTTAATCAGACCTAGGCAAAATCTTAAAATAAATGACATCTCTTATTCCCCTTTTTTTTACTTCTTTTTCCACCACATTTAGCAGTCGTCCTCCCCAACAAGCCCTGGCTTTCAGATCTCTCATCTTCTGCCTCAGAATGCTCATTCACAGAAGCAGGATATCAGGAGCATGGGGTCTTGTATGCAAGCAAGAGAACTTTAGAAGACGAACTGGAAGTGAGAGTAATTCTAAAGAGAATGAATTAGTAATTTTCATATTTTAAGAACCCAATGAGATATGCTGGGGGAAGGGGAAGAAATGGAGGCATTTCTGGCTTCCCAAATCATACCAGAGAGGAAGGGCACCCCATATGACTAAGCATAAAAGACCTTATTCCATTTCTACTAGGAAACTCCTGGCTCTCTCCTCCCGCTTTCTGGGCTTCACTGGACTGGAGGATCAATGGCTATGCTGAACAGCTCCTCCTAGTTTACAGACACTGCCTATTCTAGCTTTGCCTGATTCAATGTTCATTTCTAACTTAGTATCTTACTTCTGCCCTCTGCATCAAGAACTCAGACAGCCTTCTGGAGCAGATATAACAAAGAATTTGACAACCACTGAGGGCAGATTAAGAATAGCCTTTGCAGCTTTTGTTACAGAAGGTTTCTGACTAGGCAATGATGATGAGTGATTTGTTGTTGTTGTTGTTGTTGCACGGAAACACACTGTGCTAATTGAATAACCTTAATATCACTAAACTTCCACCACCATTAGTCAAATGCAAAAGTTGAGTTTGGGGATGTCTCTATCATTGACTATTTTTGCAATGTATATATACTTGTAGAATTTTTTTCAGCTATATGAATAAAATTTAAATTGTAGAAATGTTAAGGAAATTTTTTTTTTCTTTTTTTTTGAGACAGAGTCTTGCTCTGTCGCCCAGGCTGGAGTGTAGTGGCGGGATCTCAGCTCACTGCAAGCTTCGCCTCCCAGATTCATGCCATTCTCCTGCCTCAGCCTCCTGAGTAGCTGGGACTACAGGTGCCTGTCACCACGCCTGGCTAATTTTTTTGTATTTTTTAGTAGAGATGGGGTTTCACCGTGTTAGCCAGGATGGTCTCGATCTCCTGACCTCGTGATCCGCCCGCCTCGGCCTCCCAAAGTGCCGGGATTACAGGCGTGAGCCACCGCACCCGGCTGGAAACTTTTCATACCAGCAAGAACTAACATAGTCCTATATACTGGCTCATGTAAGCATGGGTAATACTTGGCCTTTATTTACTTCAAGGTAAAGGATCAAAAACTACCAAAGTAGACCTCAATGTTCACAATCCTAAGGGCTATAATCAGGTGAGCTGATTCTTCAAAGTTTGGCAATAACTTCAGCTCAGCAAAGATTTACAGAACCCTTACTGGATTCCAGGCTTTGGGGATACAAAGATAATTAAAACAAACCTCCACTTAATCATTTACAAAAACCTTAAAAAATGAAAACAAAACCCAACCAGTCATTTCTCGAAAATATCTATAGAGTTTTGTTACATTTAAAACACTGTAAATGTAAAAAGTATTCTGAGTAGAACAGAAAAAGAGGAAGAAACACAACTACTTAACTCATATTTCTAAATATAATCTAACTCCTTTTCTAAAAATATCTCTAGAAATTATTCTTCCCCCTAGCTGAGAATACCTGAAATCGTCAAGCTGGTCATAAAAACCTTATGAATTTAACTTTTGATAGAATACATAGTATACAATGTCTCAAAAGAACTTCATCAGATGTAGTTTTTAGTTTTACCCATTCCAAAGACATCTGGAGAGGAAGAAAGGTGACTATTACACTGAGTTTTACAGCTAGAACACCAGTGTCATGGGAGCCTATAACAAGTAAGTTTCTGTACTAAAGCCAAATTTCATTGCAATCATACTGCTTCCTAGGACTCACACAGACATAACATTAAAAGATCTTTTTCCCAAAAGGGTTTTTAACAATACAATTAAATATTGCCACCACAATTAATATATATACTAAATAAAAGAATATAATAATTTCCACTGAACATATGCATTCTATCCTTCACTTCTAAAGCCCTACTAAAATGGCAAGATCAAAAGAATGAGAAAGGAGATAACAGCAACAAAATGTGGGAGGCTGGAAAGCAAGAGAATGGTAACTGACTCAGCAAAGTCAAGAAAACAGAATCCTAAAGGCATTATAAAAAGTCAAAAGTGGCCAGGCGTGGTGGCTTACGCTTGTAATCCCAGCACTTTGGGAGGCTGAGGCGGGAGGATCACAAGGTCAAGAGATCGAGACCATCCTGGCCAACATGGTGAAACCCCAACTCTACTAAAAAAAAAAAAAAAAATTAGCCGGAAATGGTGGCACGGGCCTGTAGTCCCAGCTACTCAGGAGGCTGAGGCAGGGGAATTGCTTGAACCCAGGAGGCGGAGGCTGCAGTGAGCCAAGATCATGCCACTGCACTCCAGCCTGGCAACAGAGCAAGACTGTCTCAAAAAAAAGAAAAGAAAAGAAAAAGTCTAAAGCAACAAAATCGGCATTATGAACTCCCAAAATGCTCAAAAATGGAAGGCACTAAGTATACCCAAAGGAGGAAATGAGGGTGGGGCTAAGAATATAAGTATTAAGAATTAGGAGGCAGAGAATCCTAAGATAGCCACACAGTGTTCACCGAAAAGTGCAATGGAACAACTAGAGAAGAGCAGGAGACACTGAGTGTGAGGTACAGTCTGGAAGGACTGGAGCAGTGTGAGCCTTGTGAGCTCTCAAAATTAACCAGAACAACCCTACAGTGAGGAGAAACCACAGGGAATAGAATCCAATGGAGTAGAACGAGGATAAGGGCATCAAAGGAAAGAGAAGGTCGAAATAACTGAGAGGGAAGGAGATGGGGCAAAGAGATCTCCTAAGAACAAGGCCATTATATATTTGAGATGGGGACTTGCTCTGTTGCCCAGGCTGGAGTGCGGTAGCATGATCATAGCTCACTCCAGCCTGGACCTCCTAGGCTCAAGCGATCCTCCAACCTCAGCCTCCTGAGTAGCTGGGATTATAGGCATGCACTACCACACCTGGCTAAATTATTTTGTTTTGCAGAGATGGGGTCTCGCTATGTTGCCCAGGCTGGTCTCTAACTCCTGCCTCAAGCAATCCTCCCACCTCAGACTCCCAAAGTGCTGGGATTAAAGGTGTGAGCCGCTGCGCCCAGTAAGGCCATATTTTTAATGCCTCGTGAAAATAAGAGAACGAGCTGCAGAGCTGTGAAGCTAGAAATGCTGGACTTCCCCACTCCTCCAAGGAGTTTAGGAAACTTGATTTTACATAAAAAAGAAGGCCGGGCACGGTGGCTCACACCTGTAATCCCAGCACTTTGGGAGGCCAAGGTGAGATCACTTGAGATCAGGAGTTCAAGACCAGCCTGGCCAACATCGTGAAACCTTGTCTCTACTAAAAATACAAAAAAATTAGCTGCATGTGATGGCAGGTGCCTGTAATCCCAGCTACTCAGGAGGCTGAAGCAGAAGAATCACTTGAACCTCGGAGGTGGAGGTTTCAGTGAGCCGAGATTGCACCACTGCACTCCGGCCTAGGCAATAGAGCAAGACTGTCTCAAAAAGAAAAAAAAGAAAGAAAAAGAAAAGAAAAGAATTGCTGTTGAATCCCAAAGTTACTATGGGAAAAAAAGGAAGAAAGTAGACAGACAGTGACAGCAAACTAGAAAGAAGAATCTCTGAATTTAAGGGCACCAGCACAACTGAGGGTAGAATTACAATTCTGAGAATGAGGGATCAAGGGAAGGTGTACATACTAAATGTTGAGATCCAACATCTATTAATACTTCCTGTTATCTTCCCCAACTTAGCTCTGAGAACCTGCCAGCCAGGTTTATCCTCCAGGCAAAAGACCAGAAAATTCCTCTCTAGGAATCTGAGGAGACCAAGACAAAAGACCTGAAGATACTCACAACAAAGTTTCCCCTTTCAGATTCACCTTTTAGAGAAGATCTCAGTCAACACACAGAGCTTTCAGCCAGTTGTTCAGTACAGATCTCTGATAGCCAATGACCACTGAGAGCTAAGGAGGCCTTCAAAATAGGAGGTCAAAACAACCAAACAGAAAAAAGCAACTTGGAGGGAACAGCAACTATGCAGCAAAACAAAAATTTATGGGGAAAAAATTATATATATAAGCCAGGCACAGTGGCTCATGCCTGTAATCCCAGCACATTGGGAGGCCAAGGTGGGTGGATCACCTGAGGTCCAGAGTTCAAGACCAGCCTGACCAACATGAAGAAACCCCATCTCTACTAAATATACAAAAATTAGCAGGGTGTGGTTGTGCATGCCTGCAATCCCAGATACTCAGGAGGCTGAGGCAGGAGAATCGCTTGAACCCAGGAGGCGGAGGTTGCAGCAAGCCAAGGTCGCACCATTGCACTCCAGCCTAGGCAACAAGAGTGAAACTCCGTCTCAAAAAAAAACAAAAAAAAATTATATGTGTGTGTGTGTGTATATAATTTCTATATATATATTATATATATTTACCTGTCTGTGTGTATATCTCCTCAGAGAGATAAAATATTCTATCTACAAAATAAGAATTTAACACATTAGAAATATACTAGTAGAAATGAAAAACTCAATAAAATGGCTGGAAGGCAAAACTGAGGAAAACTCCCCAAAAATAGAGCACAGTAGGCCAGGTGCGGGGGCTCATGCCTGTAATCCCAGCACTTTGGGAGGCCGAGGCGGGCGGATCACAAGGTCAGGAGTTCAAGACCAGCCTGGCCAGCATGGTGGAATCTCATCTCTACTAAAAAAAATACAAAAAATTAGCTTGGCATGGTGGCATACGGCTGTAATCCCAGCTACTCAGGAGGCTGAGCCAGGAGAATTGCCTGAACCCAGGAGGCAGAGGTTACAGTGAGCCAAGATCGCGCCACTGCACTCCAGCCTGGGTGACAGAGTGAGACTCCATCTCAAAAAAAAATAAAGAAAAAAACATAAAGCACACTATAGAAAGATGAAATGTGGAAAAAGAAAACTAGATTATCAGTCCGGGAGATCTAACATCTGAATAATGGGTGTTACAAAAAGAGAAAGCAAACTGGAACAAAAAGGAAAGAATCAAAGAAATAATTCAACTTCCATGAATTAAAAATCATAGGTTTCCAAATTGAAAAGGAAGACTGAATATCCAAAACAATGAATAAAAACTAACAACACAGTGTATCATCAGGAAATTTCAAGATTCTGGGGATAAAATGAAGATCCTAAAATCTTCCAGAGAGAAAGATTAGGCAGCAAAATGGCTTCAGACTTTTCAACGTGAACTTTGGAACTTGGAAGAAAATGGAGCAATGTCTTCAAAGTTTTAGTGTAAAATAATTTCCAACTACACCCAAAGGTCAAATTTTCCTAAATTGCGTTAAGGCAAAAAATGCATTCACAGTACCCTTAGTACACAGTGATCATAGTAACAGGAAGGATCTAAACAAAATTTCGTTATAATTGGGATAAATGGATTGATAAATGAGTGTCTGTGAACGTGTGCATGCACATAAGCTGAAGGCAGGACAGGTGGAAGGCGGAAAAAAGCAACATCTTCCTGTAGGGAATTCGGTAGATAACTTCTCAAATGGGAAAATCAAGAAGAGCACTATAAGCATGCCATATAGAGGCATGAAGGTAATATCAAAAGAATCATCTAAAAGCTAAAAGTGGTGCCTCTGGAGAACGAGAAATGGGGGAAAGGGTCTGTTTTTCATAATAAGTCTTGTAATACTATTTGAATTTTAAAAGAATGTGCATTGGGACTTTAATAATCAAGTAAATTTTAAAAGAATATATAGTAAGTTTAGGCCTCCATATCCACAATTCTTTATTATGTCAAACCATTCTCTTTTCACAGAATTTCATTCCTGTAATAAACATTTTGTTCTTAAAAGGAAAGAATGAAATGATTTCCATTGGATTTTACTACTGTAAAGAAAAATAAAGAGAAATTACATAAATGTGGCAAAAAGTATACTTACTGATACAAATCCAAATACCAAGACAGGCAAGAAAATGCAAACAAACCCTTCATTTTCAAAATAAACAACCTTCCAACAGAGGATTCTAAGATAAACTGTCTGCCTCACCCACAGAAAAATATGAAACACCCATAGGTTTCATCTAAGCCCATGTACATAATCTGAATGTATGCCCAACGTAATGTGTTTAAAATATACACCAGATTTTAGGCATAATCATAGTGTTCCTTTGCTAGAATCAGCATTAAATATGTTAAGAGTTCATCCTCCCTCTCACCTGAATTTCAGCATCATCAGAACTTGAAATAAGAGTCTTCTCATCGGCTGTGAACTGGATGTGCCATACAGTTTTCTTGTGCTGAAACCTGGACTGGAAGATTCTATTGTTTACAAGTTCTAAAATCTTCAAAGCAGAAAAACACAGAAAATTAAGAAGAAACTAAGCAATACATAGGCATTACACCCCAAAGATATTAAACTAAAATTAGACTGGAGGGTACAGAATTTCCATCTGGTGCTTCCAGCCTAATTAAAAACAAATGAATGTCATATATATATATATATATATATATATATATATATATATATATATATGCACACCATGTATGCCTACATGCAAACATATTGGACCCTAAAATAAAACACTCACTGCAATCATCAGACAGCAGTAGGAACCAGTGGTCCTTCTGAGTACTCAACTACCCACTTCATCAAACAAGTGGCTGTCTGGGCTTGCCCTCCAAAAAAAAAAAAAAAGACATTTAAGATGGATAAGAGAGAAGAAAGTAAGTAAGTCCTGGATGAGAAGGCAAATTATTCATAAAACAACACAAACAAGGAAAGATAAAAGATGATGAGGGAGACAGGATATCAGAAGGCTGGTGGGCAGTGCAATGAGAATACTTAAGAGGGCCAAAGACTAATAATACTCTAAATAAAAGTAGTAACAAATTCAAAAGATAATGACTATGTCAAAAAAAAAAAAAGAAAAAAAAAGGCTTTCAAATGAACTCATACCAAAAAAACAAAAAGAGAGGAAATATGTTTCATTGACCAAATTAAAATGTACTCAAGAAAGCCTAAGGAAAATACAGATGATGCTAAAGCAGGAGACACCAGAAACTCAAACCTAACCCACGTCTGGAAGAAAAGCCCCTTGAAAACAAAGGGGAATTGTGTGAATGGAAACCTTCCTAAATGAGCGGGATGAACGATCTCACAAACCCTGAGGCAAGGGCAGGATAGCATAACAGTTGAGCACACAGCCTCAGAGATCTGGGTTTGAATCCTAGCTCTGCCACTTACTGATTTTATGAAAATTGTGGAAATAAGAGTTTAGACATCTTTAAAACAAGAATAACAACATCGAACATCCAGGATGTTATAAGAATTCAATGAGAGCATCTGGCACAGTAAACAGTTAATAAATGGTAGTTGCTATTATTTGATGATATGAGGCTACACCATATGAAACTGCCACTTTATAGGTAAATGCTGGTAATTTCACATGGTTCATTATGTATTATTTATATTATTTGATGACTTTGAGGGAACTAACGATGTGGATGAAGCACATATGTGTGTTGTGAGTTTATTTTTAAACTATCTAAAAGACTTATTTTAAGATAGATGGTAAAAATGAAAAGAATGTGGTACTGACTTGGCATCAAGGTAAAGAGAAAAGGGAAACCAAGGACTCTTTAAGAATAAATAATAATACACAACAGTTTGAGAGATGAGCCTGAGATGGAAGCCTAAGGTTCACCTGTAAACATACAATTATCCCTTGCTTAAGAAATACATATCCATGATGTACTTTATCCCAGAATAGTACACATCTTAACAAATGATAAATAAATTTTTCACAATAATAAAGAGAAAACAAAGCCTGAACTCTCAATCCATGACATAAGGGCCATGACAAATATATAAGAGTATTGAGATCACTGTGTAAATGCTTCCTTCTTCACTTTGTGTCTAAGCATATAGTCTCTTCTCTGTGGGGCCATATGGACTAGAGAATATTTGTGTAATTCCTTATGAAAATGAATCCAAAGTAAAATAACTGTGGCCAGTGCCATAAGTAATTGGTTAAAAAATAATTCCCAGACACCTGGTGAGAAAAAGTGAGAGAAGGAACCAAGGTTTTTGAAAAACCACTATAAAGCTAGAGAAAATGTGCTTTTGGGATGAATTTCACTTGTGATAAAGACAACAATATTTTTACCCAAAATGCCTTTTATTATACTACATTTTTGCCTTGCAAAGTGTTTCTATTTTTACCTATTTGGTCTTGTTAGATAAATTAAGGATTTCAGGTGGTGAACTGAGGTTCTTCTGCCACCAAAAGTAGAACAGCAAGGATTGGTGGAACAGGCAAGCACAGGCAGCCCTGCACCCATATTCCCCATGAGCCTTATCAGTACCGAAATGGAAACAACTTATACCCCACATGGCTGGGCTTCTAAGAAGAGGAGAAAAAAATGCTCTTTGCATAGTTAGCGAAATCTTGATAGATAGTATTTGATATATGTGGAGAACAGCCAAACAACTAAGTAGAGAATAAGGGACATAAAAAGACAAAAAGCATGAGAAACAGTAATAAAGGAAATCTGAAAAATATACAGCCAACTGGATAAGATGATTGTTAGTTTAACGAACAATGACTAATAGATCACAGAAAGATTTATTTAGTATAAAAGTGTACAATAGGCTGGATGTGGTGGCTCATGCCTGTAATCCCAACACTCTGGGAGGCCAAGATGGGTAGATCACTTGAGCCCAAGAGTTTAAGGCCAGCCTGGGCAACACTGGTGAAACCTCCATCTCTACAAAAACAGAAAAATTAGCTAGGTGTGGTGGTGCATACCTGAAGTCCCAGTTACTCAGCAGGCTGTGGTGGGAGGATTGCTTGAGCCTGGGAGGCAAAGGCTGCAGTGAGCCAAGATTGTACCACTGCACTCCAGCCTGTGCAACAAGGTGAGATCCTGATTCAAAAAAAAAAGGTATACAATAGCCAGGCACAAAAGCTCCCATGCCTATAATCCCCACACTTTGGGAGGCTGAGGCCGGACAATCGCTTAAACCCAGGAGTTTGAGACCAGCCTGGGCAACACAGGGGACCCCATCTCTACAAAAAAAAAAAATTAGTCGGGCATGGTGACGTACACCTTTAGTCCCAGCTACTCAGGAGGCTTAAGTGGGAAAATCACTTGAGCTCAGAAGGTCAAGGCTGCAGTCGGCTGTGATCGTGTCACTGTACTCAGCGTGGGTGACACAGCAAGACCCCATTTCAAAAATAAAAATAAATAAAAATAGAAGTGCACAATGCCAGACATATAATTAGTTTTATTTAATTCTGTACAGAAAGATTCTGAAGACTAGCACTGAATACCTCAATGGCTCCATTTTCATCTCCAAATGCAATGTACTGAAGATGTGGACTTAAGCAACAGCAGCTAACTTGAGCTTCAGTCAGATAATCAATCTGACCTGTTCTTCCATTAATGAGCTAATGAAAAATGAGGCAAAATCAGTTATTAGGCTGTAAGAGCAGTTTTTGTTCGTCAGAACAGAGGCTTCAATTGAAAAAAATAAAATAAAACACAGAAAATAACCAACAAGAGCTCTCAGGGGAACAACAAGCCATATCCTAGTCTTAGCAGCTGCATTTAGCACTTCACACTTTCATTTCAATCCACTTTGGTGGTTCAAATACATTTTCATAAAATAAAACAAGCATTACAAGGTTTAAAAAGCAGCTGCTGCGCCCGCCACCTGAGACACATCTATCTGATTTGTAATCCCACAGCTAGCTCCACACCATTTCTTCACAAAGCCCACTTTTAATAGGGCTATCATTTGTTAAAATATACTTTTCTGCTACATTTCAAAGCTGTTGGTCAAACAAGACTGAGACAGACATAAAAAGACAAATTAAAATGGGGCTTATATCCTCCAAATCACTCACAAAACAGTGTAAATTAAGATTCTTTTTCTTGGAGCTGGGGCAGTGAGGACAATGGAGAAGAACTCATAAGCATAATTTGTGTAGCTGGATTTACAATGCTTGAACAAAGATTACCTAATTTCATAATCTGTACCAATGCTTAAATCCCATGAATTATGATGCCTTATCACTCATCTAAAACATGTGACCTGGGAAAATATTTCTCAAGCTTAAATCAGTTGTCAGATACCTCTCTCTTAGTGTCATAAACTAAAATTCTTGAATTATTTTTCAACATGAAATAGGCAGGCATCTTTGTTTCTAGTACAAAGATTACAGAGTCAACCAATCACAGGTAGTTTTTCCTTAACATTATTTTACATAGCACATTTTGATCTATTAGATATTCAAAATGAAAATTGAACTACGAAGAGCTGAACATCTTCTCTCAAAAATCAATTTCAAGAATTCTTTAAGTAGTAACTAAAAAATGTTTTATTCACTTAAATGAAACTATTAAGTTTATCCTCTAAACTCTCCCACAACCACTGACATAGAATGATACCTTTATAGACAGATGACTTTTTAAGTCTCACAGTTACAACAGTCATTAAAGAAAGGTTGCACAAATTTAATAAAGGAAATACAAGCATGAGGACACTAAATTTGTCAAGAAAACTGAAGTAGAAATATCCCAAGTGGAAGAATCAGCTTTCTAAAAAACAGTTAATGAGAAATTCACATTGAATTCCATATCCCAATTCACCCCAGAAGTACTGTGCATTAGGAGCTCCTAATCAGCATATTGAGGACAATAGTAAAACTTGTAAAATCAAAGCAAGCCATATTCAGAGGTGACTTACAGCTTGATTTTGACACCCACAGTAAACAAGAAGTTACCACATACCAGGCGATTTACTCCCAGTATCTACTCCTGAATTTGGATTCTACTTTGACCCTGTAACTAGCTCAGAGACTGTAAAGATGAAAAGGACCTTTACAAACTGAGGCTCAAAGACGTGATACAATTTATTCAACATCATAGAACTAGTTGATAAAGAAGTCTGAACTTACACCTAGGTCTCCTTAGTGAAAAGTCACTATTCTCTCCACTACACCAAGCTGAGCTCTACAGCTTTACAACTTGTTAAGGTTTGAGTGGGGCATGGCAGCTCTTGCCTGTAATCCCAGCATTCTGGGAGGCTGAGGCAGGAGGAGCACTTGAGGCCAGGAGTTCAAGACCAGCGTGGTCAACATAGTGAGATGCCCCCATCTCTACAAAAAAAAATTTTTTGAATGACAACTCATTAAACTCTGTCCTACCCTCTGTCCATCTGTCTCAATTGTCTGCTTCCTCTCAGACCTTCCACACATGTGCTCTATTACTCTCGTCTTCTCTATTCTGCTCCTCTCTCTCCTCTCTAGCTTGACATCACTATCTCATTTCACTCTCTCACACACATTCATGCTCCCTATCTTTCAATAAGCAAATCAAGAAAAATCAAACGAAAAGATGGCATAAGACTATGTTATCACTGCCAAAACCTTTCCCTAGAAGTTAATAAAGCACTTCTAAAACCCATATGGAAAAAGTTAACTCAAGCTGTATTCGTGCTCTTCAAGAGCTAATGAAAGGCCCTAAATATACTATGAGAAAATAGTTTCATCTCTACTAAAAATACAAAAAAAAAAAAAAAAAAACCCTTAGGCCGGGCACGGTGGCTCACACCTATAATCCCAGCTCTTTGGGAGGCCGAGGTGGGTGGATCACTTGAGGTCAGGTGTTCAAGACCAGCCAGGCCAACATGGCACAAGCCTGTCTCTACTAAAATTACAAAAATTAGCCATGCGTGGTAGCACACATGTAGTCCCAGCTACTCAGGAGGCTCAGGCATGAGAATCTCTTGAACCCAGGAGGTGGAGGTTGCAGCGAGCCAAGATCGTGCCACTGCACTCCAGCCTAGGCAACAGAGAGAAACTGTCTCAAAAGAAAAACAAAAGAAAGAAAATTAGCCCTCACTATGAAAGGGTTTCTGTCCTTCTCAATCCTATGTCTCAGGGAATCCTCAGGGCAAGGGAGAATGTCCCACCAGTTCACATAAAAGCCATGCCACCTCCTGCCCTTCTTATCTGGCTGCTTGCTCTTACCACCTCTCTCAGCCACAAGTCACAGTGACATGCTGTCAGCTCCACATGCTGACACTTCCTTCAATGGTCCATACTCTGCTGTTCTGCTTGGGCTGACCAACATATAGATAGCCTCTTGTGTTTTAATCTTCCATGAGGCATCTGCTTTCTCTTGCTGCCACTATCTACAACGCTATCACCACTTCCAGGACATCTCTGTCAATGCAACGACACCTTATTTAGCCACCAGCACAGTGATGCCAACCTGCTCTTGAATTCCAGTGCTCCTTAGGGCATCTGCTCTTAGGGCATCTGTTACCACCACTCCGAGCTCCTGAATACCATTCCTCTGCCAATGGATCTTTGGGACTCCTTCTCTCTTCAGCTAGTTGAGAAATGCCTTCCTCTCACGTGTCCCACTCTTTGTTGGGTGGCAGAAGGAGAACAGACTAGAGTAGTGCTGTTTGGATCCCTAAGCAATACAGTTCTTTCAATTGTACTATACAACCCTTTCCTCCTCAAGGACCAAAATAAGCATTCAATAAATATTTACTGAACAAAGGTGTGTGTAAATGAACAGGTGTACTTCAGTATGTAAAGCCCAGCTCCTTTCACCTCAGTTCCAATCAATCAGACTCCTTCCTCACCTAAAGTGACTTCTGTTCTTTCAAAGACCCTGGAATCCTTCCCTTTTAAAAATGCTTCCATATGCTCATCCCCCTTGCACACTCCATCAGACATGTCTGAATCACTCTTGTAGACAACATGAGTTTGTCCTCATGGTATTCTTAGACTCCATGCAAATCAAAGAATGTGATCATAGATAGCAACAGAAGAGCAGTGAGATGAGGAATTATCTAATTTAATTCTAAATATAAGCATATCTGAGCCTCAGCTCAAGACTTATATATATTTATTTAACTAATGTCTGCTGGACACCTGTTAGATACAAAATAATTATGCTTAATCTCAAGTCCAAAAACAAGAAAAACCGTGAATAGAAAATTCAACCAAAACAATTTTCCAATTGTTTTCTAAAAAATACTCACTTGCAGACGTCTTATATGGTCAACTGCAAGGACCATCACTTCATTTTCTTGAAACACAACATCTACTTCTTGCTTTAACATTACAGCAGAGTTCTTACATACTTTCTTTGTCTCCCAGAGCTGATTAAGAGATAAAGAAATTATCATTCCATCTCTAAAATAACATGTCTTCATCTTAAAGCGAGAGACAAACTATGTTTCACATAAAATACCTATGATGCTAGAAAGGTTTCAATATTAGATTATAATCCAAAAATAAATATTTACTAACACAATCTATAGTAAGATGCAGTTAGTATTAAGAGTTATGGGCTCCAGAGCCAAAATTCCTCAGTATGAATTCTAGTTCTACCTAAAGTTGTAACTTCAGGCAGGTTGCTTAACCCAGTGTTACTCAAAGATAAAGACCTCCTGCTGGTTATCAAACTGTTTGATACCAATCCACAAGGTAAGAAGTTTGGGCCAGGCGCAGGGGCTCACACCTGTAATCCCAGCACTTTGGGAGGCCAAGGCGGGTAGATCACCTGAGGTCAGGAGTTCAAGACGTCTGACCAACATGGTGAAACCCTATTTCTACTAAAAATACAAAACTTGGCTGGGCATGGTGGTGTGCACCTGTGGTCCCAGCTACTCAGGAGGCTGAGACAGGAGAATTGCTTGAACCTGGGAGGTGGAGGTTGCAGTGAGCCAAGATAGTGCCATTGCACTCCAGCCTGGGCGACAGAGCGAGACTCCGTCTCAAAAAAACAAAAAGAAGTTTGTACCAGAACGTAAATCAACTACATCACTAAACACACTGTAACTGTGTCTAGTGATGCAGCTTATTTCATTTCAAGAAGACTTTCTTGATGAAGAAAGCAATGTGTTGATTTATATTCTGGCTCAAGCTCATTGAGACTGGCATGTTAAGAACCAATGACCTTTCTCAGTCTTTCTCTGCCTGTTTCCTCATCTGCAAAAGGGACTATTGTGAGAATTAGTAAATTTATATGTATATATATATATATATATAGTACTTTGCATAATGTCTTGAATATAGTAAGCACTGAATGAATTTTAGCTATAATTCATACATAATGCTGTATTAGGATGCTGTGGGGACCAGCCAGGGTTCCTGGCCTCAAAGAGCTTATAATGTAAGATACGTCAATGAGCCAGAGAAGCAGTGGAGTGTTGGAAATAAGGAGTAAATCATATCTGTATTTAAATTCAAGTCAAAATTTGATAAGCACCACTAGAAAATGACATAGAATTAGATGGCATTAAGAGAGACAGGCATTCTCCCCAAATAGAGAAGACTTGAGGGGACTTATAGAATGGTTAGGATTTCAACAAACAGAGATACAGGTAAGTAGAGCATTCCAAATATAAGAAACCACTTAAGGAAAAGCACAGAAGCAGGGAACTACGGAGTGTTTGGGAAAATGTGAGCAGTCCAGTGTTGGTTCCCTGTAGGAATAAACTGGGAGACAGAGTGGAGCAGAATAAGGCCATGCTGTGGAGAAGCTTAATGGCAGAAACAGAAGTATATATTTACTTTGGTAGACAAGGGAGCCACTATCTTATTTTTGAGCAAAAATGACATGACTGCATTGTACATGAAAAAAAAATATCTTAGAAGCTGCATGCAGAAAAGCAAGAAAGAAGACTTGTGGCAGAGACTAATACAACAAGAGAAGTAACAGTTAACAAAGTCCTGAACTTGGGCAGCAGAAATGGAAAGGTAGAGATAATAATAGAAAATGAAAAGGTAGACTCTCTCAGAATTGGCAAGTAATTGGATGTAGGAATTCAAGGTAAAGAAAAGGGTCAAAAATTTTTCTGAGGAATCAAATGCAGTATTTTAAATTAACCAAAATACAGTTTAATCACTGAAGTTCCCACAGCACTTGGCCCATGGTAATCCTCAATGAACATGTAACGAATGAATGAGACTGTTACAGTCCATATAACAGCACTTTTCCAGGGTGAATAGGAATATAGTACTAGTTTCCTATTCTGCTTACCTCAGTGCTACCCATCAATTTCTTAGTTTGTAGGAGGTTTAGCTCACCATCAGGAAATGTTCAAAATGAAAATCTCAATATTTCTCACCCTGATTGTCTGGTCATCAGAAGATGTCAAAAATGATGATCCATCAGGAGAAAACATCACACCATGAACCCAACTTAAATGTCCTCTGCAATCAGCCACCTTTGAACGTGAGTCTGTATTCCACAACTACAGAATAAACACAGCATATAGGAAATCACATACATAAGCATTTTGAAGAGAGCAAAAATATTGAAAATAGCAAGAATGAGCCAGCAATACCACTTCAATGAATATTGCTCAGAAACACACTATCAAAACTACAAAATGTCTTATGCAGAAGATTATTTAGTGCATCATTATTTTTTATAGCAAAATACTAGGAAACTAAATACTCATCAATAGGGAACCAACTGAATAAACTACATTAATCACATAATGGAATATCATGCAGCCATTAAAAACAATGAGAAAAACACCTTGATGACGACAAATCTCTAGGATATATTGTTAACAGAAAAAAAGCAAAGTGTAGAAGAGTCTATATACTATACACTACTATCTTTTATATGAGATGGAAAAATATGTACAAGAACATATAGAAGGATACAGGTATGGATATATATGCATATAGATATCTGCTTATATATGCAAGAAATATTGGACAGTTAAGCCAAAAACAGAAAATAGTTTACATATGCAGGGAAGGAGGGAGAGCGAGGCGAAGGGATAGGGATGAAAGCAAGACTTCTCTGAATATAACGCATTATAAAACTTTGACTTTGGAATCATGCAAATATTTTATCACTTTAAAAAAGTCAATCCAAAAAATAATAGGATGAACAAAAGCAGCTTCCATATTCAGATTATTTTCCACTAATACTGTCATCTAACCTTCATTTCAACTGACTGTAAAACCTACAATAAATTAACACAATAATTGTAACATGTACACATTTCTCTTGTTATTCATGCTTATTACCATGTCTACCAGCAGCCTGGTATTTTATCCTGGGTTCTGCTGTAAATTACTCTAATATATTCAAGTCTAATGAAGTACCATATGTGACTGAGTTCCTCTCATTACACTTTAAATTACAGAACTACTTTATCATTTCAGAACTAGCATGGACAAAACAAGTACCTCATCATAGGCCCAGTGACTGGTTTTCATTCAGTGAGTTCTGTGGTTATGAACTAATTATATGAAATTTTCTCCGCCTTATCTCTAAGAGTCCAAGCTGGGACATACAGAGCTAAGGGCCAAAAATGAAAGTGGTTCCACAACTGAAAATCTCTCCTAAGAAACTGAAAATCTCCCTTGAGAATCCTCCCCTCTCTTCCCACTTTCTTCTCCCCATCTCTCTCCCATCATTTCTTTGTCACTCAGAGCCTCCAGAGCTGAGTCCCTACATTTCAAGAAGGAAGATACTCTTTCATTGTTTCCTGGAGATTGCTAAGGATGGCAGAGGGTAAGGACTTTAGAAGTGACAAGAAAGGCTGAAAGAGGGGTTGCTACTTAGTACTGTTTCTAAAAATCCTAACAAACGCTCCACATTTACTTTGAGGATCTACACATAAGGTTCAAGATCTCCTAGGAGATCTAAAACCCAATAAACCCCAGCACTTTGGGAGGCTGAGGCAGGTGGATCACTTGAGGTCAGGAATTCGAGACCACCCTGGCCAACATGGTGAAACCCTATCTCCATGAAAAATACAAAAAAAAATTAGCCGGGCATGCTGGTGGGCACCTGTAATCCCAGCTACTCAGAAAGCTAAGGCAAGAGAATAGCTTGAACCCGGGAGGTGGAGGTTGCAGTGAGCTGAGATTACAACACTACACTGCAGCCTGGGTGACAGAGAGAGACTCTGTCTCAAAAACAAAGTAACACAAAACAAAACACTTCCAATTCAAAGTCTCTGCCCAACAAAACACTGCCCACAGCACCCTACTTCTTCCCGCTGTTTCATACAGGACTAGAGCTTTTTCACACTCCCTGCCTCTGTGTGCAATGGGAAGAGTCTCAGTAGGGAAGTTCTTCAGTGTCACATGCACTGCTGCACCTAGAATTAGGAGAAGCCTATGGATCTCATGCCCTCACTCTCACCTGTGCCTCTATGTTGAAGGGCTATAGCTTAGCAACTCTCCCCCAACACCTTCACAGTAATGGGCAAGGCTGGCAAACTCACTAAAATTTGCTAAATAAGCAGAGAACACTGAAGAAGTGCTTGCAGTAGTCATGGCTCCCTTGATGAGGAGCCTGTGAACCCAGTGAATTTCTCTATTTTCCAAAAGGCCCATACCCATCTTCTTGGAACTGTGATCTGAAGGGGTTTCAAACTACCTGGTGGTAAAACCAACCTAAGGAATGAAGACTAAGAAAGCCTGGAAAAACTAATCTATCTTTGGCCAGGCAAGGTGATACACCTGTAATCCCAGCATTTTGGGAGGCCAAGGCTGGGGGAGTATTGCTTGAGGCCAAGAGTTCAAGACCAGCCTGGGCAACACAGTGAGACCCCCATTTCTATTAAAAAACAAAAAAAAAAAGCACTAATCCATCTTTGAAGGAAAAAAATAATTCACTACTTTATGAAAAAACTAATATAGCACTTCACTGGGTGGAATTCTTCCAGGGCCAGCTAGGTATACATTCTGAACATAAAATTTAACAGGTAAGTACAAAATCATAAAAAAGTAATTTATATGAGTTATTTTATTCATTAGTGCCTGGCAATGAACATCCTATCTTATCCTACTCAATGATCTAAGAAATCTGAACTGGACTCATTTCTCACCACCTTTTTTAAGAAGAAAAGAGTCTGTGCCTACACTGTTTAAGAAATGCCACATATCTATACTGGATAAGAGATGTCATGTTTCATGACCAGCAGTCATTCCATTGTTTTCCCAGTTCCTGGCACATGTTAGGCATTCAGCAAATGCTTGCTGAATTCCCTGTCATACTGTCAAATCAAGTCTGCAATCACTGTTAAAATAATAAAGCTGGCTATGTGGTTTAATATCCCAAAGTTAGAGGTCATTAGGCTATAAAGAAAATACTCTATAATTTCTCAAGCAAGGCTCCTCAGCAGTTAATGGTTTAAGCTGCCCATTCTCTGTCATCCTTTGATCTCTGGAAACCCAGGCTTCACAGAATAAATTCAACTACTCACCTCTACACAGTACTGGGACAAAGCAACCACTGCCAAATGGTTTTGTGGGGAGAAGTCACAGTACTGGATGGTGCTGTGATGGCCCGTGTGGATTTCTCCCAATAGGCCACTAGTATGAATGTCAAAAAGCTGTCAACATAAATAGAGATACCTATGAAGGTAAAATACTTTAAGAGATAAGCTATTCTAATATCCTCCCATTTCAAATATAAGTCCTGAAAAAAATATGACAATTACTGATAACTGGCATAATTATTGACAGTCATAAACAAAATATGGATCAATATACATATACTTTAAAAATACTGCTCATCTTAAAACATATTTTCTATAAAGGAAAATTCATCACAGATGAGCTCTCAAGCTAGCCTAAAGAGAAATAAAAGCTTTGTGAATAAATGAATAGACTGGCCCAATTAACATACAGAGTAGTTCTCCCTAATGCTTGTTTATTCAAAAGAGAAAATGAATACTCATAAATGAAGATGATCAAAATAATATAGAGCAGAGGTTTGCTAAAATAAAATTAGCTCAGTCATTTTTATTTCTCTCTAGAACTACCAAATTGCTCCATTATAGTCAATCATTTTCCTGTTTTTGAACCCCAAAAAACTACTTTGGGTAATCCAAGTTTCTTCAATTTTTTTTTTTTTTTTTTGAGACAGACTTCTGCTCTTGTTGCCCAGGCTGGAGTGCAATAGCGTAATCTCAGCTTGGGGCGATCTCAGCTCACTGCAACCTCCACCTCCTGGGTTCAAGCAATTCTCCTGCCTCAGCCTCCCAAGTAGCTGGGATTATAGGCATGCACCACCACGCCCAGCTAATTTTTTTATTTTTAGTAGAGACGGGGTTTCTCCATGTTGGTCAGGCTGGTCTCGAACTCCTGACCTCAGGTGATCCGCCCACCTTGGCCTCCCAAAGTGCTGGGATTACCGGTGTGAGCCACCACGCCCAGCCGCAGTTTCTTCAATTTTTAAGATTTATAAATGCTGAATATACTCTTCCAAAGTTTTTGCCAAATAAGATGATTTTTATTTACTACATGTATTGATACAATATACTGATTTAAGATCAAGACATAGACCTTAGAAAGAAACAAAAAAGCTTCCAGTGGGAGCTATTAAAATGTTTAGTAGCCCAGGCACGGTGGCTCACGCCTGTAATCCCAGCACTTTGCGAGGCCAAGGCAGGTGGATCACGAGGTCAGGAGATCGAGACCATCCTGGCTAACATGGTGAAACCCCGTCTCCACTAAAAATACAAAAAATTAGCCGGGCGCGGTGGCAGGTGCCTGTAGTCCCAGCTACTCGGGAGGCTGAGGCAGGAGAATGGCGTGAACCCAGGAGGCGGAGCTTGCAGTGAACCGAGATAGCGCCACTGCACTCCAGCCTGGGCGAAAGAGCGAGACTCCATCTCAAAAAAAAAAAAATGTTTAGTGAATGCATAGTCCCTGCAAGCATGCACATATGGTAGGCAGCGTAGCGCCGGAGGCCAAAAACACAGGGCAGGAAATCAGATTTAAAATGCTTCCCAAGATAGGTCATTTTTTAAAAAATTAGTGGCTGACAGTGATCGAGGAAACTTGGCAAACTTGCCTATTCCACAATAGGCAGTTGTCCCAATTATGGAATAGTAAAAGAAAAAAGACCTAACAATAGGAGTAGACTCACATAGGAATTGGAAAGAAAGAACAGGAGGAGGAAGGAGAGACCAAAGGGTAAGAAATCGGGATCTACATGCAGTTAAGGAACACCTTTGGGTAGCTTTCTTTTAGCATGGTAAAACAGGGAACTGCTGTACAGATTTTTAAAACAAGGCATTTCATGCAATATAAAATTATCTTCCTCTCACTAGAACAGGTCTCTTAAAATCTTTTCAAAAATTATCTTTTGTTCAACATCATTGGTAATTGGGAAAACACAAATCAAACCACAAGGAGAAACCACTTCACACCTACTAGGATGGCTATAATTTTAAAAATGAACAATAACAAGTTTTATCAAGGATGTGGAGAAATTGGAACCCTTGTACATTGCTAGTGGAATGTAAAACGGTGCAGCTGCTGTGGAAAAATCTAGTGGTTCCTCAGAAAACTAAATAAATAAAGAATTACCATATGACCCAGTAATTCCACTCCTAGGTAAACACACAAGGCTCAAATAGATACTTGTACACCAATGCTGCAGCATTATTCACAGTAGCCAAAAGGTGGAAACAAACCAAGTGTCCATCAACAGATGAATGGATGAAAAAAATGTGATATACAACCCAAGTATGATAGTCCAATTCCTTTTCACAGATCACACAAATCACTCAGTTATTCTCTTAAATAATTAAGCCCATTATATACATAAATATATACTTGACAGAAATTCAACCATTATAGGTCGGCTAGGGGATAAGGTTCAAAGTTTTCTGAAGAGGAATATTTTGAGTTTTGATCTGTACATTGGTTACAACAAGGCTGTATGTGAAAATAAACACTGGTTTGTAAGAAAAAAAAAAACAAAGAAAAAATGTGATATATACATACAATGGAATATTATTCAGCCATAAGAAGAAATACAGTTCTGATACATGCTACAACATGAATGAACCTTGAAAACATGCTCAATGAAATGAGTCAGACACAAAAGGACCGATATTATATGATTCCATTTATATGAAATACCTAGGCAAATTCGCAGATTACATTAGAGATTACAAAGGTCTAGCAAGAGAGGGGAAAGAGGAGTTATTACTTCATGGTTACAAAGTTTCTGTTTAGGGTGATGAAAAAGTTTTGGAAATATATAGTAGTAATGGCTACACAGCATTGTGAATGTAATGCCATTGAAATGCACATTTTTAGATGGTTAAAATGGCAACTTTTACATTATATGCATTTTATCACAATAAAAAAGTTTTAATCTTCAAGTCTTGCTTATGCAGTGGTTTCTTTTCTGTTCTTATAGATTTTAACAAACTTAAAGGGAGGTATTTTTCCTCTTAGTTTCCTGCTAAAGGGGTACAAACTCATAAGCAACCAACATCCAAGGATTGTAGCACTAAATCAATAACAATCATATACATGATCCCTCAGTGAGTTCTTATATAACCATATTTTATATTTCAATTATGCTCTTTAAAACAGTAATATCCCTCATTCAAGTCTTTTGAAATCACTATTAGATGAGAATGTAAGTGAGCCATAAATCAGAAGATCTGGTTCTCCTAATCACAATGTAACTTTAGACAAATCATTTGGCTGCTCTGAACCTCAGTTGCCTCATTATTATCATAGGGCTACTGTAACCCGCTGCTTCTTGAATACTTATATCAAAAGAAATTATATGTGAGGGCACTCTGAATACCACAAATACCAGCTACTATTAGATGTGGGGAAGAAAAGCAAAGAATTTTCTTATTTACTTTTTTCATATTTTCCTCATTTACTTTATAAAAATTTCACTATCTTGTTCAGTCATTGATGAGCATTTCTGTCAGAGTCATCAAATCATAAAATTGTAGGTGTAAGAAAACACTTTGAAAAATCACCTAAACCAATGTAATCAAAATTGAAGAAAAAAAAGGAGTGATGAAGAAAGCATTCTATGTTTTAAATACATTTGAGGAACACTGGATTCGATGGCATAAATTGTGTAAGAGGACTTCCTGGGGCCCTGAATATGTTAGTTCATACAGTGTGCCTAATAGGGGAAAGCAATACAAAACATATTTCCCAAACGGTGTAACCATGGAGACCTTTCCTTACAAGGCCATCCTTATCTCACGGAGCACAGTTCCAAAGAACCATGACAGGTTAGGAAGACTGCCCAAAATCACACAGCTAGACTTTATTTTTATGAATAAACATTGTAAAATGCAAAAATGAACAGAAGTTTTAACTTTCTTTAAATCAGACTGAAGTTGGCTTTTTAAAGTACTTACAAAGATTTTATTTTTTGCTGCCACCATTATCCTTGCACCATCAGCAGACCACGAACAACACTTCACTATCACTTCCATATCCTCTTGAGGGTCCTCCAAATTTAGGAAGAACTGTTTCACATTAATGCTTTTCCTCTCATTTGCTGATGTCGCATCCCAAAGCTTTGAATTAAAGTAATAAAAAAGAAAAAGTTTGTTTTACTCTATAATCACACTTCTAGAATTTTTCCTAAATTAAATGCCACATAAACTTATTCACTTCACTTGATGAATTATTTTTACCTATGCATGACTTTTTGTAAGGCTTTTAAATTAAGATCTCCAGTTTCATTATTACGTTCTTAAAAAGAAAAAATTAGAAGCACTGCCCAAAATGCAGAACATAAAATTAAATAAAAAGTTAAGAGTCTTGCATGGTGTGGAAGCTAAAAATTACATGTTGACAGTAAGGACACAAGTGGAAGAAAGGTGGTAAGATGAAGAGACTCACGACTTGCCACTGCTGCCCTCTGCTGTGCCAGGAATGAAGTGTGTTTCACGAACCTACCACATGCACAGCAGGAAGACTACACAGGACCCAGTCCAAGTTAGGTCGTGACCTAGCAGAGCATCCAGAGACATAAGGAAGTCTCTGAAAACAGGGACAAGCAAGACTCTTTGTGTGCTTGGCAGGGCCAGATAGGGCTACAAAACTAACTGGATCCTGAGGAATGAGATACAAAATACTGTAAACTTTGCTCACTAGTAGGACCACTTGAATAGCACAAAAGACAAAGGCCTTCAAGAAGATCCACCTTCACTCCTCTGGGCCATGAGCAGTGTCTCAGCCTCACAGAGTGATAATGACTGCCCATGCCCAAACCAAAGGTTGGCCACGGAGAAGGATGGGGGTTGGGGGAGAAAGCTGCTGCTCAGGCTTTAAGTCAGCTTCCAAAGCACAACTCCCAGGTAAAACCTAATTTTTCTGGCCAGGTACATTTTCAAATCTCTCGAGTAAAAAGAAGTATTATATATACTAAGAAACATGGCCAAAACCAAAACTTTTCTACTTGCAACAACTGCAGGTAATCTGGGTAATGCAAAAGAGACAGCAGGTGCTAAAACAGCCTTCCCTGATACTAAAGAGAAAAATAAATAAATAAACATAAAAGCCTGAACCTTCAGTTACATTATCCAGAATATATGAGAAATCAGTTTCCCTATTAATATGAAAATCAGGCTGGGTACAGTGGTTCACACCTGTAATCCCAGCACTTTGGGAAGCCAAGGTGGGAGGATCACTTGAGCCCAGGAGTTCAAGACCAGCCTGGGCAACACAGTGAGACCTCATCTGTTTTGTTTTGTTTTGTTTTCAATTTAAAAAAATTTTAAAAAACAAAAAGAAAAAGCAACTATTGCCTGAATTTTACAAAGAAAAATAAAAGTAGCACAATCCAACTTGATTATACATGTCTAAATTGCATCTGTTTCTGGACCTGACTTCAGCTTCTGTCCAAGCAGTGGTGAAATCCCACATATTGAGGGACCACATAAACTAATACCAGCATTTCATTCTGAGCAAGTCGCTACACTGTATCCAGGGTCCCTGTGCACCCCAGGCCTCTGCGTGCTTTAAATGGCAAATTTTTAAATAGAACTCACATTTTAAAACAGTTCATCTCAGAGCCTGAAAAGCACATGCTTATCAACATGATACCCTACAAAATGCTTAAAAAGTTATAGAGCCATTTGGGGCAGGACATAATTTTACAGTTTTCATCCTCTCAAAAGGTAAAAACTTACAGGAGAATTTGACCTTGAAATGCTGTTATCTAACATCATTTTGCAGGACCTCTGCTTACTACCTGTCATTATATCAGTGTGAACCAACCAATGATACTGACTTAACAGCACGGTGGGAAAGCCACCACAAACATGGGCAGTTCTCACCAAGAGTGCAGTAGTGTCTGTCCCCTGCTGCGAGTGCTCTGTGAGCCACAATCACATTTTGATACTCATACATGAATACGGAAATCAAAATCCTGTCCCTGTCAAATGATGACTTTTTAAAAAGTGTCCGAGTTTGAAGAAGTCTTAGTTTGACTTGAAGTGACACAGCAAGGGTTTATCATCTTTAACACATTTATTAAACACTATGCTAGTCACTTTGAGACTATATAAATGAATCAGATACAGATACTACCCTCAATGAGTTGACAGGCCAGTAAGGGAAGTAAGACAAGCACATAAATAACTTAAACACAAAATATGTCAGGTGTCATTTGAAAGGAAAAGGTATAGCACAGTGGGGAGGCTATATTCAAGCTGAGGGCTTGAGGGAACACTTTGTACAGGAGGTAGTCACCTCACTCTACTCCCTGAGATTAGCCTATCTTATACCAGCTTAAGACAGAGAATTTCAACATCAAAAAGACAGGGGAACACTCCAGGGCCTAGAGCCTATTCCAAGGGATCAGCATAAGCTAAAGTACAAAATGAGAAAACAAAGACAATGAAAAAGAAGAACAAGTTCAATCTGGTTGTAGTATCAGGTATGTGAACCCTTCCCCAACAGAGTCCTTATCTGCTCTCAGAGCACTGTCTTCATACGTTTATGATTTTCATGGTTCATCTGTTCACTTATGTTCTCTCCAACTTTATTCTGAACAGTTCAGAACAGCCAGGAAGTATACTTTTTTCTTTTTCAGGGTTTAAAATCCAAATACCTAGTACAGTATCTGGCACACACTAAGTATTCAATAAATACATTTTAAGTGAAAAGACTGATTACTCCCGGCAGGGTGCAGTGGCTCATGTCTGTAATCCTAGCACCTTGGGAGGCTTAGGCAAGCGGACCACTTGAGCCCAGGAGTTCAAGACCAGCCTGGGCAACATGGTGAAACCCCGTCTCTAAAAACAAACAAACAAACAAAAAGATCACTCCCAAGTTTCAAGCACAGGCGAGTACAGACAATAGTGTTGCTGAAAGAAATAGGGTTCAGGTGTTAAAGATGCAGAGAACACATACAGCTCTGCTATGGTTTGGAGATGGTTTATTTATCCTGACCCAAACTCGTGTTGAAATTGGATCCCCACTGTGGCAGTGTTGGGAAGTAGGGCTTGATAGGAGGTGTCTGGGTCATGGGGGTGGATCCCTCATAAACAGATGAATGCCTTCTAATGCCTTCCCACTGGGGTGAGTTCCCTGGGAATGGATTAGTTCTCAAGAGTGCGGGTTGTTGAAAACAGTCTGGCTTCCTGGGTTTCGCTATCTTCAATCCTCTCTTTTCATATGATCTCTTTGCACACGCCCACTTCCCCTCCCCTTTCCACCATGAGTGGAAGCAGCCGAAGGCCCTCATCAGGTGTAGCTTCCCAATCCTGGAATTTCCGGCCATCAGAATCATGAGCCAAGTAAACCCCTTTTCTTTATAAATTACCCAGTCTCAGGTATTATGTTTCAGAAAACAGAGAACAGACACAGACCATTTCCAAACTCTCCCAAAACTCAGGTAAACAATAGTAATAGGAATTTTTCTCTCGGCATAATCCACAAGGCGAAGGAAAATGGAGAAAGAGACAGCAGCAACAAAATCATCAAGTCTAGAAAGCAGAAAGGCAAGTAATAGGCAGACTCCTAGAAATTAAATTCTGAGCCTGCAGTGGAGAAATCCAAGCAGCCCAATCACCCCACAGAACTCCAAAAAGACTCAGGAAGTGCTGGCACCCAGTACCTTCTGATAAAGGTGAAGTTAAGTCCTTCAAAAAGACTCAGGAAGTGCTGGCACCCAGTACCTTCTGATAAAGGTGAAGCTAAGTCAAGAGGAATCTTTAAAAGTCCATTGAAATCTCCTCCCTTCACTCTGCAACCCAGGGGGCCTGTGTCCCTACTCTGGCAGAATACAAGGCTATTCTATACCCAACACAGTTGAGAGAAGGGTCACCTGAAAACAGGAAAATTAAGAGAAAGTCTTTTTTCTAAATGTTGAGATCTCTGCCCAGATATCATCTCAGAACTGGCCAGAGTCATATCCTACAAATAGGAGATTAAAATTTCTTCTAGCCAGGCATGGTGGTGCACACCTGTAGTCCCAGCTCCTCAGGAGGCTAAGGTGGGAGGATCACTTGAGCCTAGGAGGTTGAGGCTGCAGTGAGCTGCAATCACACCACTGCACTCCAGCACTCCAGCCTGTGTGACAGAGTGAGACCCTGTCTCAAAAAAAAAAAAGGGGGGGGGCGGCATTGGGCGCAGTGGCTCACACCTGTAATCCCAGAACTTTGGGAGGCCAAGAAGGGTGGATCACAAGGTCAGAAGTTCAAGACCAGCCTGGCCAACATGGTGAAATCCCGTCTCTACTAAAAACACAAAAATGAGCCAGGTGTGGTGGTGCGTGCCTGTAATCCCAGCTACTTGGGAGGCTGAGGCAGGAGAACTGCTTGAACCCAAAAGGCAGAGGTTGTGGTGAGCTGAGATCACGCCACTGCACTCCAGCCTGGGCAACAGAGCAAGACTCCATCTCGGGAGGGAAAAAAAATGCAAGAAAAAGAAAAAAGAGAAAAGAAAATTTTTACTCTGGACACCCAACCAGTTCAAGACAAAAGATATAAAGACTTTGACATCAAAAGTTCACCATCTTGCAGTGAGCCGAGATGGTGCCACAGCACTCCAGCCTGGGCAACACACCAAGACTGTCTAAAAAAAAAAAAAAAAAATTGTTCATGATAAAAACAGATAACCCATAGGAAAACCACAATTTAAAAGTTCACAATTCCCATTCAACTTGTTGGTGATGTATTCTTAAATATGAGCAGATAGCAAAGGATCAGATAGCTAAGATATATCTATGTCTAAAATCCAAACAGAAACCAAAACCAACAAATAGAAAAATATCTATTACACTGGAATATGAAAACTTCAAAAAAAACCCTATTACTAATGCCCATAAAAAGATAAAAGATACTGCATCCATGAAACAAGAACAGAATAATATTTAAAAGGAACTAATCACACAAGAATGAATACTTAAAAATATGGTAGCAGAAATTTAAAACTCAATAGAAGGAAAGAAAAGTAAAGCTAAAGAAATCTTTCAAAAAGTAGGGCAAATGGACAAAAAGAAGGAAGGAGAGGAAAAAAAATTTTAATCCAGAAACACAAGCATTCCAGAAAGAGAAAATAGGAAGAAATCAAATAATTCAAGGAAATGCCAGAACTGAAGGATAAGTTTCCAGATTGAAAGAAGCCACCATTCTGTAGGCAGTTTACTCTGTTGATAGTTTCTTTTGCTGTGCAGAAGCTTTCATTTAATTAGGTTCCACTTGTCAAAGTTTGTTTTTGTAGCAATTGCTTTTGAGGACTTGGCCAAAAATTATTTGCCAAGACTGATGTCAAGAAGGGTATTTCCTAGGTTTTCTTCTAGGATTTTAATAGCTTGAGGTCATATATTTAAATTTTTAATCCATCTTTAATTTTTACATGTGGTAAAAGGTAAAGGTCTAGTTTCATTCTTCTGCATATGGCTAGCCAGTTATCCCAGCACCATTTATTGAATAGAGAGTCCTCTCCCGCATTGCTTTTGTTGGCCTTGTTAAACTATGCATCCAACAAAGGTCTAATATCCAGAATTCATAAGGAACTCAAGCAAATCAGCAAGTGAAAAACAGAGACATCTTTAGACATTATAATAAAGACACCTTAAAAATTTACTTCCCATAGATTCTTTCTTAGGAAGCTAGAGGAGATTCTCCACCAAGCTGAAAAAGTAAGCCAAGAAAGAAGACGAAAAAAAAAAAAAAAACTGAAAAACAAGTGTTCCAATTTAAAAGAAAAGCAAAAGGAATCCCTAGGATGATGGTAAGGAAGACCTCAGGATGGCAGCTGGACTCTGGGAATAGTATTACCATTACCGACCAGAATGGAGCAAGATAGAACCTTCCAAAAATGTTGTTTCCAAGAAAAGACTTATAAAATGCCTGGTAAGTTTGAATCATTTAAGGAGCAAATTAACAAGAGAGAGTTTGAAGATAAGCACATATAAAAACTAAACAAATGAAAAAACAAACTTATCAACCCCAGGGAAAACAGAAAGCTAATGAGAGAGGAAAAAAATTCACACGATACGGCTCAATTGTGATTAGTTACAATGATGTAAACCCTGAACACTGTTCTAATCAAAATCAATGTACAAAAATCAGTTAGCCAGGCACAGTGGTTCATGCTTGTAAGCCCAGCACTTTGGGAGGCTGAGGCCAAAGGATCACTTGAGGCCAGGAGTTTGAGACCAGCCTGGCCAACGTAGTAAGACCTTTTTTCTATTTAAGAAAAAAAAAAATCAGCAGCATTTCTGTACATCAATAACATTAAAGCTGAGAGCCAAATCAAGAACACAATCCCATTTACAGTAGCCACACACAAAAAAATAAAATACCCAGGAATACATCTAACCAAAGAAGTCAAAGATCTCTACAAGGAGAACTACAAAACACTGCTATATAATTTTTATATATGTGTTGTTTTTTTTTTTTAGTCAAAAAATAAAAGATGCCAGGGAGGCTGCAGAGAAAAGGGAACGCTTATACACTGCTGGTGGGAATGTAAATTTGTTCGGTGACTTTGTAAAGCAGTTTGGAGATTTCTCAAATAACTTAAAACAGAACTACCATTCAACCCAGCAATCCCATTACTGGGTATACACCCAAAGGAAAACAAATCATTCTACCAAAAAGACACATGCACTTGTATATTCACTGCAGCACTATTCGTAACAGCAAAGACACAAACCAACCTAGGTGCCCATCAACGGAAGGTTAAAGGAAATATGGTACATATACACCATGGGATACAACACAGCCATAAAAAAGAATAAAATCATGTCCTTTCCAGCAACATGAATGCAGCTGGAGGCCATTATCCTAAGCAAATTAATGCAGGAACAGAAAACCAAATACCACAAGTTCTCACTTATAAGCCAGAGCTAAACATTGGGTACACAAAGACATAAAGATAAGAACAATAAATGCTGGGGACTACTAGAGTTGGGGAGGGGGGAATGAGGCACCTATTGGGTACTATGCTATCTGGATGACAGGACCAGTTGTACCCAAACCTCGGCATCAGCATCATGCAATATACTCACATAACAAACCTGCACATGTACCCCTGAATCTAAATAAAAGTTGAAATTTTTTTTTTTAAATCATGAAACATAGGCTGGGTGCAGTGGCTCACGCCTGTAATCCCAGCACTTTGGGAGGCCGAGGCAGGCGGATCACGAGGTCAGGAGATCAAGACCATTCTGGCTAATGTGGTGAAACCCCGTCTCTACTCAAAAATACAAAAAATTAGCCGGGCATGGCAGCGGGCGCCTGTACTCCCAGCTACTAGGGAGGCTGAGGCAGGAGAATGGCATGAACCCAGGAGGCGGAGCTTGCAGTGAGCCGAGATCGCGCCACTGCACTCCAGCCTCAGCAACAGAGCGAGACTCTGTCTAAAAAAAATAATAATGAAACATAAAAAGTAGGTCATGTTTGAGAAGAGAATAATTAACTCAGTTTGGAGTGCAATAACTTTGAGGCATGGTATGTTACTTAAGTGACAACAACTAGCAGGAAGTTAGGAATGAAGAACACAGCTCATAAAATGAAGGTTGCAGATGACATACCTGAAAAAAGATGAGTTGAAGCCATGAGACTGAATGAACTGGGATGGAAGAGCGGTGATAGAGGTGGTAGCCAAGGTTAGATGCTGCAGGAATAGCTACATTTTAATGGTCAGGGAAAATAGTTAATGAAGGGATCAGAGAGCTAAGAGGAGAAAGAATAAAACATTGATGTAAAATGAGGAGAGTTTCAAAAAAAACACAAAAAAACAAAAAAACTAGGTGGTCATTGGGGGTTTGACCAATAGTAATACAACAAAAATAATGAGAATCAGATAAAGAAAAATATCAGATTTCACACTAATCCAGAGGGCCTTAGACTACAAAAAAAATTGAAACTGAAAATAAAACTGGATTTTTACATTCTTCAAGGGAATACAGGGAAGATGAAACCAGGCTAAAAAATGGTTAAGCAGGGAGTAGGTAGTCAGGAAACAGAGGCAAGTATAGATGACTTAAGAAGCCCAGTCATGAAGGGAAAGAGAAAAACAGAATGACAATTTTAAAGAACAATACAATCAAGGAAGAATCAAAGGTTTTTCACTTTTTGGCTTTATAAGGCTCAGGAAGGCCCAAGAACATTTGTAAGCTGTGGAAAATAATTCAAAAAAGAAGAAAAATCTGAAGAAGCAACATAGAGAGGAAACAACTAATGAAACAAGGTGCCAGGAAAAGAAGGAAAGGGAGGAACAGTAGGTACAAGTACAGGATTTTTTCTTTTTTTTTCAAGACGGAGTCTCGCTCTTCCCCCAGGCTTGAGTGCAGTGGCGCAATCTCAGCTTACTGCAACTTCCGCCTCCCGGGTTCAAGCAATTCTCCTGCCTCAGCCTCCTGAGTAGTTGGGATTACAGGCATGCGCCACCACGCCCAGCTAATTTTTGTATTTTTAGTAGAGACGGGGTTTCACCATGTTGGCCAGGCTGGTCTCGAACTCCTGACCTCATGATCCGCCCACCTCGGCCTCCCAAAGTGCTGGGATTACAGGCATGAGCCACCATGTCTGGCCCAAGTACAGGACTTTTTGGACACTGTTATGAGAAAAAATGGAGCAGAGGCTTTTTACAGCAATTTCTGAGGGGGCTTATGATAGGGGACTCTTGGTGGATGGTTTTAATCCTTTGAATGGGTATGAGGTAACATTATTGCCATAAAATAAAAGGGTTAGGGGCTTAAGAACAGCAGAAAAGGATTAGAATAGGCACTAGTGGAAAAGCAAATAAATTAGGGATGAACAGACCATAATTCAGCGGCAAATAAGGCCCAGCTGAGCTGTACAACTTATATTTGTACAACACATAAATGGCCTAGTTTTACAGCTTTCTTGAACATTTGGCAACCTAATAATAATGGCAAACATGCTAAGGATAATGCAGTCTTCCCAGAATTTGGAATTAGCAAAGGAGATAAGATGAAAGGAAAACTTAAAATATAAAATGCCTTCTTCTGAAGTCTTTCACTGAGTAAAAACCAGGAAATAATAGGCTGACAAAATGAAAGGAGGGCTGCCTAAATCCATCCACGGGTATTCTGAAAAACCTCCCATGACATGGATCATTCTAAAGGAAGAAGCAGATAGATATAGCATAGAGGCCAAAATCCACTTACCTGAATATTCTACCTAAGAATGCTCCCAGCACCCACTAACAGCTAGCTAAACTCTACAAAGTAGAATTCTACCCAGAAAGAGTTTCTAGATACTCTGGAGTAATTTATACAAAAACAGTTATCTTCCGTCAGCAAAGCAAGATCAAAGATTCAACCAGAGTATCAGAATCAAAACAGTTTACCTTTCTCAGGAGTTAGTAGCATTGCTGAATCTCCTTCCCTAGAGATTCTAACAAACAAAATAGTGCCCAGGAGTATTTAAGTATTTTCCTAGAAAAGGTGTAGTCAAGAAAATTTACTGAATACTTGAGTACAATTCTGTACTATGAGTTACAAAGAAAGGTATAATACAACAAAAAGATGTCAAGTTCCCTGCAGATCATAAACCTATATTCAACCTAATCAAAGAAACAGAAGACACATTAAAATGACTGAACAGTACAACACATTTATAAGTGGAAATCAGAAGACAAACCAAGCAGTTTCTACCTATAGATATAGATAGATATATGTACTCAGAACCAAACAGATGGATGCTGTAAGAGAACACTTTCTGAAGAATGCTTTGCAGTCCAGGTGTGGTGGCTCATGTCTGTGATCCCAGTACTTTGGGAGACCAAAGTGGGAGGATCGCTTGAGCTTAGTTCAAGACCAGCCTGGGTAACACAGGGAGGCCCCATCTCTACAAAAATTAAACAAAATTAGCTAGGCATTGTCACACACGCCTGAAGTCCCAGCTACTCAGGCGGTTGAGGCAGGAGGATCACTTTAGTTAGCCCAGACCACTGCACTCCGGCCTGGGTGACAAAGTAAGACCCTGTGTCTCTCTCTCACACACACACACACACACACAGACACACACACTCTCTCTCTCTCTCTCTCTCTCTCTCTCACCCTCACACAAAAGGCTTTGCCTAAAGTTTTGACGGGCATTAAAAAATATGGCAAGTGAAATCGAAGGCAAAAAACATCCTAAGAAAAGCTACAGGGGCACACATAGGAAACATCCCAAGAAACACATACAGGGACAGTAGCTGAAATAAAACACCTTGCCCAGAACAGACAATTAAGGTATAGGGGTTAGAAGAAACAAACTTGACAGGAAAGGATGTGGCAGAATGACGGAAGGTGAAGAACCTTAGAAGTCATCCCAATGAGTCTGCGTTTCCTACAGTTTATACTATGGCATAATTTATGTTGAAAATAGTGGTAGGGCCGGATGCAGTGGCTCACTCCTATAATCTCAGCACTTCAGGAGGCCAAGGCAGGCAGACTACTCGAGCCCAGGAGTTTCAGACCAGCCTGGGAAACATAGGCAAAACCCCATCTCTAATAAAAGTACAAAAAATTAGCTGGGCATGGTAGCAGGCACTTGCAGTCCCAGCTACTCAAGAGGCTGAGGTGGGAGGATCATCTAAGCCCAGGAGATAGACTGTGGTGGGCCAGGATCAGGCCACTGCACTCCAGCCTAGACAACAGAATAAGACCCTGTTTCAAAAAAAAGAAAGAAAGAAAGAAAAGAGAAGAGTAAAGAAAAAGAAAAGAAAAGAAAAAAGAAAAGAGTGGTAGGCTAGGCTTGGTGGCTCACGCCTATAATCCCAGCACTGGGATTGCTTGAGCCCAGGAGCTGGAGACAAGCATGGGCAACATAGTAAGATCCTATCTCTAAAAAAAAAAAAAAAAAAAAAATTTCGCCAGGTGTGATGGCACATGCTTGTGATTCCAGTTACTTGAGAGGCTGAAGTACGAGGACTGCTTGAGACCAGAAGTGAAGGCTGCAGTGAGCCATGATGGTACCACTGCACTCCAGCCTGAGTGAAAGAGTGAGACTCTGTCTCCAAAAAAAAAAAAAAAAAAGAAAGAAAACAGTGGTAGAAGGTTATTCTAGTATCTCTGAACTTAGATAAGAAGAGATGCAGAATGCATCTTAGATGGTTGCTATCAGGCATGAGCAGACAACAGCCTGAACTAGAGCAACTACTACAGAACAAGAGGGAAAAATGTAGACCAAGAGACAACAATGTCAAAGATGGGTTGATCTTAAGACCAAAGAAAGAAAGGACAGTCAATAAACAGGAGAGACAATAGAGACAGGAATAATAAAGTGGAATTGGGAATCTTATTGGAGAAGGTGGGGATTTGAGGAAGAATTATTTCATTTTTTTAGGCCTATAAATTTCAGAAGGCTGAATAAGCTTTTTTCCCTAACTCTTGCATTTTTCCTACCTTGTGGCTTCTCAAAAACAAGAAAGCAATAATATAAAAGGCAGAATGAATAAATTATAAGTAAAAACAGGTCCCCAGACTGGCCAACGTGGTGAAACTCCGTCTCTACTAAAAATACAAAAATTAGCCAGGCTTGGTGGCAGGCGCCTGTACTCCTATCTACTTGGGAGACTGGGGCACGAGAATCGCTTGAACCCAGGAGGCAGAGGCTGCAGTGAGCCAAGATCACACCATTGTACTCCAGCCTGGGCGACAGAGTGAGACTGTCTCAAAAACAAAAACAAAAACAAAAGCCAGATCCTTTACAAACCTGACCCATAGATCTTGCTGTGGTTTAAACGTGTCCCCCAAAGTTCATGTATTAAATACTTAATCCCTGATGCAAGTATTGAGAGATGGGACCTTCAAAAGTGATTAGGTCATGAGGGCGCTACCCTCATGAATGGATTAATGCTATTACCTAGGTTCCTGATAAATGGATAAGTTCAGCCGCCTCCTCACTCTCTCCCTTCTCTGCTGGTACCCTCTCCCCCAGAACTGTAAGAAATAAATCTCCATTCTTTATAAATTACTCACAATTTATAGAAGCACAACATAAATTATAGAAGCACAAAATAAACTAAAACAGATCTCAAAATATTTTATGAACATATGCTTGAAACAAAATGTACACTTAAAATTTAAGAATTCAAATTAAAAGAATAAAAATTCTACATTACAGAACTTTTTTTTTTTTTTTTGAGACGGAGTCTCACTCTGTCGCCCAGGCTGGAGTGGAGTGGCGTGATCTCAGCTCACTGCAACCTCCACCTCCCGGGTTCAAGCAATTCTCTGCCTCAGCCTCCCAAGTAGCTGGGATTACAGGCACTCACCACCACACCCAGCTAATTTTTGTATTTTTAGTAGAGACGGGGTTTCACCATCTTAGCCAGACTGGTCTTGAACTCCTGACCTTGTGATCCACCCACCTCGGCCTCCCAAAGTGCTGGGATTACAGGCGTGAGCCACCGCACCCAGCCTACATTATAGAACTTTAAGCATTAGGTTGTACACCATTCATAAACAATCATTACGATAAGCAATTACAGTTACATTAAATATGCTCCTGGAAATTGAAAGAAGCAGGCTCTTTCTGTAGAAATGTGAAAAAACAGAAACCTATTTCTATAATCAAATCATAAGACTTTCCATAAAATACAACCTATTTTAATAGTGTACAAAAGCATACCTTTAAGGTTCCATCAGCTGAACAACTAGCCAAAAGCTTATCATCTGGTGAAAATCTGCAGTGATTGACTGAATTTGTATGACCAAACATGGTATTTCGACATTCTTTTTGATTCAAATCCCAAAGCTATTTGTGAAAGAAAAAAAGATAAATAAACAACTAGTATTGAGTGGGGAAACATCAGAAATCATGTGAAGTTCTTCCTTTTCTCTCATTTAAGCTTTTTGATTACAGAATGATGTTTAATTCACAGTAACACAAACGTATCAAACACAAAAATGAACTTGTGATTAACAAGCAATGGGGCAGCCTTTAGATCAGCATGTAAATCGACTAAGGGACTCAAAGGCTCACCGAGGTTTTTAGGCTGAGTACTAAATAACTAACTAAACAATTACTACTTATTTCAACGGAGTGGTTTAGAATCATTATTATTTTACTCAGTTACAAAAAGCCACAATAAGTAATATGTAATATAAATTACCCCCATATTTTTTAAATGTCAGGTTATCCAACCCTAAAAATGGTGGAGCAAGTCAAGTACCACCTCTAGGAAGCAATTAACCAAATCCAAAATATGGCACATTCCATGGGACAAATGACTAAATTGCTCTAATAAATCAATGGTATAAGAAAGCAGTCAGAGGAAAAAGGGAACTTTAATAGAATAAAAGAGACTTAAGAGGCAGAACAAATGCTACATAAAGTTTGTTTGGATTCTGATTCCAACAAACATGATAGAAATGCATGTTTTGAGAATATGGAATAAGTGAACATGGACCAAGTATATTACAAAACTATATTTTATTATGTTAGGTGTGATAATAGTATGGTATGATAATAAACATAGTATTTATATTTAAGATCTCTGAGATGCATGCTTAAATATTTTGGGTGAAATGACATATTTAGGACTTGCTGTAAAATCCTCTATTCAGGCTGGACATGGCGGCTCACCCCTGTAATCCCAGCACTTTGGGAGGCTGAGGTGGGCGTATCACCTGAGGTCAGGAGTTCAAGACCAGCCTGACCACCATAGCAAAACCCCATCTCTACTAAAAACACAAAAAATTAGCTGGGAGTGGTGGCCCATGCCTGTAATCCCAGCTACTTGGGAGGCTGAGGCATAAGAATTGCTTGAACCCAGGAGGCAGAGGTTGCAATGAGCCAAGATCGCTCCACTGCACTCCAGCCTGGGTGATAGAGGAAGACTCTATTCAAAAAAGTGGAGGAGTTTATAAGCTGGGCGTGGTGGCTCACACCTGTAATCCTAGCACTTTGGGAGGCTGAGGCAGGCGATCACAAGATCAGGAGATTGAGACCATCCTGGCCAACATAATGAAAACCCATCTCTACTAAAATACAAAAAATTAGCCAGGCATGGTGGCACGGCACCTGTAGTCCCAGCTACTCAGGAGGCTGAGGCAGGGAAATCGCTTGAACCCGGGAGGCAGAGGTTGCAGTGAGCCAAGATCGTGCCACTGCACTCCAGCCTGGCGACAGAGCAAGATGCCATCTCAAAAAAAAAAAAAAGGGAGGGGTATTTATAAAATAAGATTGACAAAATACTGATAATTGTTGAAACTAAATGATGGATACCACAGGGGTTTATATTATATCTCCTCTCTTTGGGTAGGTTTGGAAAGTATAAAAAATGCAAATAAAAGGGATTATAGTCATCTCTGGTGATTTATGCTAATAAGATTAAACCCAGAAGAAGAAATCAATTATTGCTAAATGTTAGTTTTGGCAAAAATTATTTAGAAATGATTAGTAAGTGAGATATATACTGTTCCTCATGTCCACTTCTATCTTTGACTCCTTTATCCCAGTCCTAGATAAACTCAATTCTTCAGATAAAGCAAGTTACATGAAGGCAGCTTCACAATTACATATTTTCACTGGCTTCTCTCTGCTCAAGAATCACAAGAAATGCATCCTAATAGTCCTTATGGTAATATAGGTAGTATAGCACATCTTAAAGTAAACCTTGTCCTTAATTAAAATGGCTTACTAACCAATAACCCCCTCCCACATGGCAGAGGTTTTTTCCTGTATTTATTTCCTCAACCTACAAAATGCCAAAAGCAACATCAAAAATTAGTCGTAAATAGTATAACAGTCTTATTTTTTTTTAGTGGTACATTTATTCAAATAGGGCCAAGTTTTTTTGAGTAAAAGTGAACCATAACTGTGATATAATTTTATGTTACTACATTACTCTGTAATTTTGGTCCAATCCAGTGTTTTCAAATTGTGCTCTGCAGGGTCCTTGGGATTCTATAAACATAAATATGCCTAAAGAGCACTATGTGGTGCGGAGAGGTTAGAGATGAAAGGGAATGAGAGAGAATGAGAGGGGGGGTGGGGGGAGGAGGAGGGAGGAGGAGGAGGAGACAGAAGAAGAGAGGGAGGAGGAGAGAAAGGAAGGTCAAGAGGAAGGGAAGGTGACAGGAAGGGAAAGGGATAGAGGGAGAGAGAGAGAGGAGAGGGAAAGGGGGAGGAAGAGAGAGTCAAGAAGAAATGTAGGTCCCATTCAGCCAGAGCAGCAAGCTTTAACTCTTATACACACTGAGCTTCTGTATAATTTTTTCTTCTGAAAAAATAAATAAATAAATAAAAATTTAGCTTCCTGAACAGGGGGATGGAGACGGCAATTTTCAATAACTGTTTCAGTACTTTCTAAAGATAATTTTTCTAATAATTTATTTAAATGTCAAAACATAGAGTCTATGAAGTTTTCCAAACTGAAATGTCTTTTACTACCCCTCTCAAAAATATCATGTTCAATTGCAAAGATGGTATGGTATCAAGGAAGAAAGGTTTGAAATCAAACCAAAAAACAATTCAAAAAAAGTTAGCAGATCTTTCTGGGATTCCAGAAAAGGTAATCTAGCTATCTTTATCCACTTAAGAGGAAAAAAAGATACAATCAAACATTACAAAGCATATGTGGAATGAATTTCTGTTTTTGGTTATCTTTCCTACCAGCACCTTTTCTCCCTCCTCTCTGTGATAACAGAACTCTCTTTTGAATTAAGCTCTACTTACGATTCAAGTAGAGTTGACCTCACTCATTTGTCCCACTTCCATATAACTAAACTTGTGACCCTTGGACAATCCAAGGATTCCATCCTACTGTCCACTGGGGTTACCCTAGCTATGAGCATGTAAGCCAAAATGAGTCAAATAAAGGCTTCTCTAAAATTAGATCTATGGGTTCTAGGAGAGAGCACATTTCTCTTACTCTGTGATTGTGAGCTGTAAGGTAGCCACATTTTCTGCCACAGAAAGAGCATGCCTGAACCAACACAGAGGAAGTCAAGACTCTGGAGATGGAAAGGGAGGTAGAGCCTGAGAACACAGTTTAAGCATTTGGAGTCAGCTATGCCTGAAGCCATGCTCCCTCTAGACTTTTCAGTTACATGAGCCAATAAAATATTTTTAAGCTATTTTTTTTTTGCTTCAGCTAATATATTATTGTAGTTTCTATCATTGTGACCAGAAAGTCCTAATAGTAGTATACATAAGAAAATCAAAGGAGATACTCTGATGTACGAATCAAATTTATCTACCTAATTCTCAATATCCACACTTACTTTGAGGAAGCAGTCACTTGACCCAGTGGCTAAGAGAAGATGATGACTACTGTTGGTGAAATGGCAGCAATTGACTTGCTCTGAGTGCTCATCATAGGTGTGTACTAGTTCCCCAGTCATAGAATTCCAAATCTAAAGAGAAAAGAGAAAAAATTTACAAATATCCATTATTTTCAAAGGGAGAACAGAGGGGCAAAGCAATGTCCATTGCTTTGCAAATGCTATCTTATCCTGTCATAGCAGATTTTCCTAGTTGGACAAGATGCTAATGAAACCTCTCCCCTTTCTAAAATATGGCAATATTTTGCCTTAATGTTTAAAAAAAATTATTTGCAAATATACATATATGTACCTATAGCATAACTAGAGTGTCATGAACACATGACATTTCTTAAGGGCAAGATTTCACATGTTTATATGAATGAAAGCAGGCAGAGAAGTGCTTTAAAGAGGTTAGCATAATAGATTTCTGGTCAGAAGGGTTGAGCCCAAGAGCTGGCTCTACCACTTATGACTTGTGTGTCACAAATCCCTAACTTACCTGCATCTCAGTTCCCTCTTCTGTAAAATGGGGATATCTATACCTCTCCCACACAATTTAAGATATCAAATGAGATAATGAACATGACAAGTGTTCTATGGACTTCAAGGTACCATATAAATAAGTAAAGGCAGATTGCTTAGTTAAAAAAAATAAAGGTTTTATAGTCTGAGAGAAACCCAGCTTTCAACCCTATTACTGTTCCCAGTTTAATGTAAGCTTGAGCAAGAGACTTCATCTCTGAATCTGCGTCCTCTTCTGTAAACGGGATCGACACTTAACCCTGCAAGCTGTAGCAGGAAATTGATAATGTAATATGACAAAGTGTGTAGTATTTATAGCCTCTTATAGTGTTCAGTTTTCAGTAAAAAGTAATCATCAGGCCGGGCGCGGTGGCTCACGCCTGTAATCCCAGCACTTTGGGAGGCCGAGGCGGGCAGATCACGAGGTCAGGAGATCAACACCATCCTGGCTAACATGGTGAAACCCCGTCTCTACTAAAAATACAAAAAATTAGCCAGGCGCGGTGGCGGCCGCCTGTAGTCCCAGCTACTCGGGAGGCTGAGGCAGGAGAATGGCATGAACCCGGGAGTCGGAGCTTGCAGTGAGCCGAGATAGCGCCACTGCAGTTCAACCTGGGCGAAAGAGCGAGACTCCGTCTCAAAAAAAAAAAAAAAAAAACAAAAAAATTAATCATCATTCTAGTTACTATGTAAGACAACTAAGCAGTCTATGCCATATAACAACAAACAAAAGAAATAAATTACCTAATGAACCTTCACTGGGATTTTGACTTTTTAGAGGTACTAATGTCCTTTGGCATTTCCTTTGTATGTTATCAAAGCACTGATTAGAATCCCCAGAGGTCCAGAGAGTTTATCTTATTTTAAAGTTCTTTAATAGGTATTTCTACCTCTGGCTTAGAAAACAGAAACTCATTATTATTTCCTTTTACTCCATGTAGCTCTGACTTTAGAACTGCCCTCAGTGGCCACCTCCAAGTCTGACTCAGAGTCAGAGTAGACACTACAGAGTGAATTAACTGTTGGTTAAGCCACGAGTCCAATCTATCAAGAGGTAGATTTTTCCAAGGTCTCAAATTTAGTCTGGACATTCCATAGCCCTCTTCCAGTAGGTGAAAACTTCAGGAAAACACCCAAGGCAAATTTCTTGCCCACTCCACCTAGCTACATCCAGTACTCCAGATTTAACCCCTTTGAAAAAGGGTTAAAGTAAGGTCTGTCTTCCATATATCAGTGATAACCCCCACAAGCCTTCAGTTTCTCTTGAATTCTATATTAGTATAAATGCTCCTGGTAGAAGCCAAATTTAGGAACAAGAGAATACTTAACAAAAATAAAAATTACTCTCTGGCGGGGCACAGTGGCTCATGCCTATAATCTCAGCACTTTGGGAGTCAAAGGCAGGCGGATCACTTGAGGCCAGAAGTTCAATACCAGCCTGACCAACATGGCAAAACTCTGTCTCTACCAAAACTACAAAAATTAGCTGGGCATGGTGGTGCACACCTGTGATCTCAGCTACTCAAGAGGCTGAGGCATAAGAATCAATTGAATCCTGGAGGCAGAGATTGCAGTGAGCCGAGATTGTACCACTGCACTCCAGTCTGGGTGTCAGAGCAAGACTCTGCCTCAAAATAAATAAGTAAAAATTACTCTGTTTACTTTTCTCTATTTATGTTTTTAGACCAGTAACGTAATTATTAGTTTGTTCATCCACCTGGTTTTCCACTGAATATATAAGCCAGTTCATAAGCAAATTAAAAAAATTGGGGTTGCATTTTAAAATTGTATCTTACAACAGGAATCCCCAAGTTTGTGCAGCAACACTCCTAATCACAATGCACTCAAAGATTTCAACTGATATTTAACCCATGGACTTGTCTATTAATGGAAGACAAACTCACTAATTTGTCATTGCTTTTCCCCACTGCTTGTTTAATCCTGAGGTGATCAACCTAGGCATTTTTGCTGGTGTTTAAAAATAAAGAATTTTCAGGCCACGCACAGTGGCTCATACCTATAATCCTAACACTTTGGAAGGCTGTGGCAGGAGGATCACTTGAGCCCAGGAATTGGAGTTTACAGTGAGCTATGATCATGCCACTGCCCTCCAGCCTGGGTCACAGAGCAAAATCCTGTCTCTTTAAAAAAAAGTAAAGAATTTTCAGATAGTGTTAATTTACAATGAATCAGGTTAGTAGATCAACAGGTGAGAGTCCTTTAACTCTACTTACTCTGGTCTCATGATCATGGAAAAATAAAATGAATTCTGTTGTGATTACAACTCAAGAGGAAAAGATTTTCCTACCTTCACTTTTTTATCCACTGAGCAGGTTGCTATAAATCTGTCATCTGTAGAGAATGCACAACAAAGCACTTCATCCTCATGAGCCTTGATTTCTAGAAGTTTCTCTCCTGTTTCAGCTTTGAACACCTGCACAAGTAACAATAAAATATTTTTTATAATAAACTGCTTAACTACTGGTCATCATTCAATAAAAATCTTTAAGTGAGTTTAATCATTGTCATTTTGCAAAACAGAAAGGAACCTTGGCAAAGCTACTCCCAAAATCAGAATTTCTGTCAGAATGTGTATGCCTTCACATAACTAGAGAACTATTCACTGTTACATGTTTGTAAATATCAATGAAAATGTTACAGGATCTTTGGGGTGTTGATTTTCTGGCCAGAAACTTCTGTGGCCGGTGGCGCCTTTGCCCAAGTTTTGCTTGGGCCCACTGGTCTTGTTTCACCCACTTGGCCTGACAGGCTGCATTCAGCTCACACTACCAGCCTGGGTCCCAAGCCTGCCAAGGGCGAGTCAGGCGTGGAACAGCGAGGCGTGTGTGAGTGAGCGTGGGGTCCAGCCACTGCGCACAGACGTGCTGACTGCTGCAGCGGGGCAGGCAGCTCCAGGTGCCAGCATGGGCTCTGGCTCTCTGTGAGGCTGTGGCTGGACCAGGCACACCACAAGCAGCTTACACGCTGGCACCGGGGAACACGGTGGTGCCCAGAAGCTTGGAGATGCCAGGAACCGCGGGGCCCCAAAGAGGGAGTCACAGCCCTAGCTTGGGGAGCTCCCAAGTCTGGGCTCCCCGAAGGGCCGCAGCTTTTCTTTACTTATCTTCACTTGCAATGCGGCAAGCAAGGGGCATGTCTCAGCCCTGTTTGTGTTACAGCTCTTTTAGCCTCACCATTCAGTGGGATCCCAAGTTCTTGTCCTACAACCAGGAAGAATGTGGTACGCTGACAGGTGGAAGGTGAGCAAGACAAACAGGAGCTTTATTGAGCGATAAAATAGCTCAATAAACCTGCGGGGGGCAGCTCCTTTCCACAGCTCAGGAGAGGGTAGCTCCTCTCTGCTAGGCAAGTCCTCCTGACAAGTGTTCAGCTATCAGCAGAGAGGGTAGCTCCTCTCTGCAGCTGGTCCTCCTGTCATCTGCACAGCTCTCAGCAAAGAGGGGGCACTAGAGTGGGTTGCTCCTCTCTGCAGCTGGTTGTCCCAGTGTCTGCTCAGCACTGGCTAAGCCCGAGGCTTTTATGGGCTTCAGAAGGGAGGAAGTACATGCCAACTGGTCCATGGGCAGACATGGGCAAGCCTGGAAAAGGCACTATAAGTTCCCACTCCAGTCCATTCAGTCCACACCAGCAGCCCAGCCCCCAGTCTTCAGGCCCTTTGTGGCCTGAAGGTGGGGCCTCATTGGTGACCCGCCCCCTTCCACCCAGGAACCTGTCTGCCTCCTGCTGCCATGAATGGCACCCAGGCTGTAGGTGCCAAGGGGAGCCTGCAGGCCAGTATCAAACTGCCCTCAGCACCCCCTTGGCTTCCCTCCTATGCTCATCAGCACCCAAAGTCCGGAGGGGGCCGAGGCGGCAGGGGGCTGGCATGTCAGCACTGCCCCAAGCATGTGCACATCTGGCCGGGCTGCAACAGCACCCAGGCTCAGCCCCAGCTTTGCTCTAAGATCAGAGTGGGTGCCAACAGTAGGGAGAAGTCAGGCAGCGGGAGCAGGCACTTCCAAGCCTACAAGGGCAGGGGGTCCTTCCAGGTCCCCCAAGAGTACAGGGATGCCTGAGTCTGCAGCCACCGCTTGGGCAGCTACAGCTGCACCAGGGGGAAGGGGTCCTGCCTGCTCTGTGGAGCCGGAGGCCCGAGCCTGCAGCTGTGGTTTGGGCGGCTACAGCTACACCCAGGAGGGCAGGGCTCTGGCCTGCTCCATGGAGCGGGTTCCCAGGTCCACAGCTGTGGCTTGGGCGGCTACAGCAGGAACCAGGAGCTCCTGCCCCAATTCAGAAGGGGTAGGGTTCCTGCTTGTCCCCAGCTACCGCCAGCTCCACAGAGCATGCAGCCCCAGCTGCGCCTCCCTGCTGCAGCCAGCATGATGGCAGCAGCCACTCCAGGCAGCCCGCCGCTGCCATCAAAAAGAAGTGTCAGAGCACAGCTTCAGCTCTTGAGACTATTTTGGCAAATTCTTAACAATCAAATAAAACATTTCATTTAATATGCATTCTCTCTGGAACTCAAAAGCCAAGATTAATAAAATTAGTAATAAAGTACACATATAGACATAAGCTATGGAGTCATAATCTTGCAAAGACTAAAAGTATCCTAAATACAAGTTTTAACTAATTTCATCATGTTCTCTGCAAAATCAAAAGGCAGAACACAAACATAAAGAAAAGTACTCATTAATATTTTCTGAAAACAAAGGGAATCTTAAAGGAAATTCTTTAAAACAACTTAGGAAATAGTCTAGTCCAGTTCCTATTTACAAGAAAAAAACCTATGCCTAAGACTTTGATAAAATAGGTATTTTCCTAATCACTGTTTTTTAATCACAGCCCTATTCCCTGTGCTATGAAGCCCTACGTCTTCTAACAATTATTTCCTCACTACCCTTAGCTGACAAATGGATGGCTGGGAACTGACTGGCAGGGTAAAGGGCACTTCCTTACCACCTGTAAGTTTAGAATTAGGAAAACATGTAACTGTATCTTTTAAATCTCTAGAGAAACCTTTAATAAAATGTTCAAGAGAGCTGGATTCCTCTGTTATTTCTAAGTTGCAATTTTCTTGAATTTTAGGATTTAAACATATTCTGATCTGCACAAAACTGGATACATGCCTCTTTGCATTTTTCTCAAGAGATGTGTTTTACCTGTAAGGTTTTATCAGCTCCACAAGAAGCTATTCTCTGACCATCCTCAGAAAAGCAGGCATGGTAAACAGCATCTGTGTGGGGGCGGACAACTAAGCGGGAAAGATTCGTGATGTTTTTTTTGTTTCTAAATACAGGGAAAAAATGAACAGAAATTAAATAAATGAGAGTAAAAGTAACTATTTTCTTTCAGTACTAAAATAAACTGTCTTTTAACATGGTTATGTTCCCCAAAATACAAAATTCTTAAAATCAGATTACTAACATGCAAATGACAGCACAGATCACCAAAAGAAAAAAAATAACAAAAGTAGCATTTGTAAGAGAAATGTTACCCTTTATCAAGCAACCTGTCACGTGTTACAAATGTCACTGAGTTGGAAGAAATCTAATTAATCAAATTAATCAAATCTAGTTAATCAACATGTCACTTTCCATTTTCCTTTGATACATTAATAATGATACATGTGCAGATAAATCATTATATAAGGATACCTTCAAAAATTCTCCATCTCTTTTTTAAAATAAAAATCATAGCAAAATGCTCATTTCCTAACTGAAGGAAACACCCACCATTATTATGATGTACTTTAAAGCTGCTCTTCTCAGCCAGGCGCAGTGGCTCATGCCTGTAATCCTAGCACTTTGGGAGGCCAAGGTGGGTGGATCACCTGAGGTCAGGAGTTCAAGACCAGCCTGGCCAACATGGCGAAACACCGTCTCTACTAAAGATAAAAATTAGCTGGGTGTGGTGGCACGTGCCTGTAATCCCAGCTACTTGGGAGGCTGAGGCAGGAGAATCGCTTGAACCTGGGAGATGGAGGTTGCAGTGAGCCAAGATCGCGCCACTGCACTCCAGCCTGGGCGACAGAGCAAGACTCCATTTCAAAAAAAAAAAAAACTGCTTCTCTCAAACTACAATTATTCAGACATACCAAAAAGATAAAGCAACATCATATTCTTTGTATCTCAATCTAATGAATATCAACTATTCCACCAGTATAGATATTATATTACTGCTCATAGTATCTAAAGTATAAAGGGGCCAGGCATGGTGGTTCACACCTGTAATCCCAGGACTTTGGGAGGACGAGGCGGGCAGATCACTTGAGGTCAGGAGTTCGAGATGAGCTTGGCCAACATGGTGAAACCCCATCTCTACTAAAAATACAAAAATTAGCAGGCATGGTGGCACACACCTGTAATCCTAGCTACTCGGGAGGCTGAGGCATGAGAATCGCTTGAACCCTGGAGGTGGAGGTTGCAGTGAGCCAAGATCATACCACTGCACTCCAGCCTGGGTGACTGAGGGTCTGTTTCTAAATAAATAAATAAATAATAAGGTGTAAAGGAATGTAATGTATACTTAAACCAGAAAAAACTATTAGTGCAGTGACAGAATTTCATATACGTTACATCCCTGTCACTTTGAGTACAAGTAAATATGTCAAATAGTATTGTGCTTATTTTAGAAATCAAGGGTTGGCAGTCAGACAAACCTAACCTCATTTCTAATACTTATTAGGTGTGTAAATGAGCAAATTACTTAACCTAACAAGTTTTTATTTCTTCATATGTCAAATGGAAGTAATGGTATCTATTCTAAACAGCACCCGACACATAAAGGTGCCACTACTATCATTCTTCAAAAAACTTAACCACACACAAGACAGATCAAGTGATAAAAGTGAACACAAAGGTAAATCATATTTAGATCCTGCCTACAAAGTATTACACTTTAGTAGAAGTGATAAAACAAACAAGTACAGTTGTTCCTCAGTATTGATGAGGGATTGGTTCTAGGACCCACTACAGATACCAAAATCCATGGATGCTCAAGTCTCTTACATAAAATGGTATAGGATTTGCATGTAACCCACCACATCCTCCTGTATACCCTAAATCATCTATAGATTACTCAAAATACCTAGTACAATGTAAATGCTATGTAAACAGTTGTAATACCATCGTGTTTAGGAAATAATAACAAGAAAAGAGTCTGTACATGTTCAATACAAACATAACCATCTACTTCTTTTCTAATATTTTCAATCCAGGTTGGTTGAATCTATGGATATAGAACCACGGATATGGAGGGTCGACTGTATAATATAAGAACTAGAGTGATGACAACTAGAAGAACAGATAAGTTCTAGCAAAGTTAAGAGGATTAGATTTTAAAATGTTCTTTATGTCTGCTTGATCTATCTACTCAATTCCTCAAAGCTCAGAAAGTGACTTTCATAATAAAGGATATATAGTAGATGGCCCAAAAGTACTAGACAAATAACAAATGAATGAGTGAATAAATAATTTCATTGAAAACAGAAACTCAATTAAATTTAAGCTTATACCAACCTAAACCTTTCTATAGTAAACACCAAAAAAGTTTCTAGTACTTAAATAAAGCATTCTTTGAATATGGACTGGTCAAACACAATTTAAAAATAAGCTATAAATAGCTAACCATTCTATGAGAGAACATCACAAGGAGAAATGCAGTTGATGCAATGGGAGAAAACAGGAAGAAACTCAACAATTCATAAGAGAACAAGAACTAAACCTATGCCCTTTGATCAGACCAAGTATTAAGATTCTATTTCAGCCACTAACTGAAACATGAGTTCATTCAATCTTCCATAAATTTATACTGAATACAGACCAGAAAAATGCTAAATGCTATTCTTAATAACAACTAATATTTATTGAGCACTTTCTATGAACTGGGTGCTGTTCTAAGTACTATATGTATGTCTATACGTTTATATACATATATACACTAATTTAATCCTCACAACAATGCTATAAAATACTACCATTAGGCAAAGGAAGTTAAATAACTTTCCCCTTATGATACACAACTAATCAATAGCAGAGCTGGGATTCAAACCCAGGCAGTCTAGAGCCAGGGTATGTTATTTTAACCTCCAAACTATTCTATACTTCAGAACACATGGACTAGTATGAGAGAAAACCAAGTAAACAGATAATCACTATAAAGTGTGACAAATCCTATGATATGGGGCAAACAGTTCTCTCGAATACAGACAGATCTAATCTAGCTTCAGTAAGTTAGGGGGCTGCTTCTCAGAGAGAGAGAGAGAGAGAGAGACCTCCACTTCACAAGAAAGTATTAAGGAATGGTCAACTCTGGAAAGTGGGAAGGTAGGAGGGAAATGGCTAGTCTTTGACTTTTCATCTTACATCCTATTACTATTGTTTTTTGTCTTAATCAGGAATGTATTATTTAAAATAAAACCTGCTGGGTGTGGTGGCTCATGCCTGTAATCCAAGAACTTTGGGAAGTCAAGGAAGGAGGATCAATTGTGTCCAGGAATTTGAGATCAGCTTGGGCAACATAGTGAGACCTTATCTCTACAAAAAAATAAAAAATTAGGCATGGTAATATGTGCCTGTAGTCTCAGCTACTCAGGAGGTTGAAGCAGGAGGGTTGCTTGAGCCCAAGAGGTCAAGGCTACAGTGAGCAGTGATCATACCACTGCACTCAACCTAAATGACAAAGTGAGGTCCTGTCTCAAAATAAATAAATAAATAAAACCAACAAAAATTAAACATTTTAACTTAAAAAAAAAATTTTAATTCTCTCAGATACCATTCTCTCCTTCATGGAACCCTCCCTTGAATTCCTCATTTTTCCAAGCCAAATACTTATCAGTTCTATCTCTACTTATACATAGTTCTGTTGTTATACTCATTGCATTATATTGTAATTATTTGCCTAAACTCCTTTCTTCACTACGAGATTTTGAACTCCTTAGGGGAAAGACCTCACATCTAGTAACAGTGCTTAGCACAGTAGAGAAACTCAAATGCTAGTGCTTAGCACAGTACAGAAACTCAAACGCTTCTTGAACTAAACTGAATCAAGAAAATCACCTACAGTAGTCTGACTTATTTGGAAAGAGGGCCTAATGCCATAAAGATCACAGATACCAACCTGGACTTCTATTTAGATATAAATTATACATATGAAAAGAGAGCCACTCATATTTATTATTTCAAGCTGTAAGGGAAGCATGACATATGGAAAGAGCATGCAAAATAAAGCCAGGCAGACCCAAGGTTTTTTTTTTGTTTTTTTTTTTTTTGTTTTTTGAGACAGAGCTTCACTTTGTTGCCCAGGCTGGAGTGCAGTGGCACAATCTCGGCTCACTGCAGTCTCTGCCTCCCAGGTTCAAACAATTCACCACATCCAGCTAATTTTTGTATTTTTAGTAAAGATGGGTTTCACCATGTTGACCAGGCTGGTCTCAAACTCCTGACCTCAGGTGATCCGCCCGCCTCGGCCTCCCAAATTGCTGGGATTCCAGGCATGAGCCACCATGCCCAGCCACAAGATCCAAGGTTTAAATCCCATTCAGCAAGTCACATGAACTTAGCCAAGTCCAAATCTTTCTGTGCCTCAATTTTCTCATTTGTATAATCAGAGGTCAATTTTAGGTACTTACATTTTTATAAGGTAAATAAAATTTAGGCCGGGTGCAGTGGCTCACGCCTGTAATCCCAACACTTTGGGAGGCTGAGGCGGGTGGATCACCTGAGGTCTGGAGTTCGAGACCAGCCTGACCAACATGGAGAAACCCTGTCTCTACTAAAAAAAAATACAAAATCGGCCAGGCGTGGTGGCATATGCCTGTAATTCCAGCTACTCGGGAGGCTGAGGCAGGAGAATGGCTTGAACCCAGGAGGAGGAGGTTGCCGTGAGCGGAGATCGTGCCATTGCACTCCAGCCTGGGCGACAAGAGTGAAACGCCGTCTCAAAAAAAATAAAATAAAATAAAATAAAAATAAAATTTACCTTATAAACTTGTTTTGAAGATTAAATAGAATAACTTGATTATGTAGCATTATAACAGGCATTAAAAAGATGGTATTAATAGCTATCCTTTCCTTTTTATAAGGAAAGGTAAGATTATACCTTTCCTTACAAGATTAAGGTAAGAGCAAAAGAGACTCCTTTAAGAGACAGAATAATCAGGGTTCAGTGGTCATTTAATAAGGACTATATGTGCAAAGGAAAGTGCAAATTACTTTACAGCCATTATCTCATTTACATCTTCACAGAAGGCCAGGCGTGGTGGCTCATGCCTGTAGTCCCAGCACTTTGGGAGGCCGAGGCATGCAGCTCACTTGAAATCAGGAGTTTGAGACCAGCCTGGCCAACATGACGAAACCCCATCTCCATTAAAAATATAAAAACTAGACAGGCATGGTGGTGGGCGCCTATAATCCCAGCTACTTTGGAGGCTGAGGCAGGAGAATCGTTTGAATCCGGGAGGCA